>NC_000016.10:28183455-28486486 GCF_000001405.40 Homo sapiens
TGCATTTTCCCATTAAATGATGGCTACATGAAAAAGGAAGCTCCAAAACCAAATCCGGGGCATTACCAGGTGTTTCTCAACAAGAACAAATAAGTGCTGTTTGCATTTTTAATCATTTCTATATCTGTAACAACAATACCTGCCTCACAGGGTGATATGAGATCCAATCAGGCGATCCATGTAAAACTGCTACATAAACCATAAGGAATTATCTAATCTGTAGTTATGGCTGATCTCATTTTTATTTGGTCTTAGATACCAAATGAAAACAGACCAAAGCAAAACAACAAAAGTGGTCAGGCCTACTTTGAAACTAGAGACTCATGCCCTCAGGTTTAAGGGCTTTCTCCCAATCATATCTAGTGGGGCTTTTCAGACTAGATTTCAAAATGAAGCTATGTAAAATGTATAGGCGGGAAAAATCAGGAGGCCAAGAATTTGCTAACATCACACAATCAGAACAGAGGTAGAAAAGACATAGAAGGCACATTCAAGGATACTGGTTCAAGGATACTGGAGAATTCCCTGGCTCCCGTTTGGCAACAAAGCCACCGGAACCTTGGCCAGCTGTTTCAAGCAAGTGGTGAAGCCAGAAAGTAGATTGGGTGAGTTAAGGAATTAACTGCAAGTGAGGAAGAGGTAATACTCCAAGCAGATTACACTTTCAAGTAATGAAAGGGACAAAGAACATAAAACAAAATCCAAGTGCCATCGTGTGGTAGGGAGACAAGGCTTCCATTCCCAAAGGCTATTCAAAAACTTTATCTCCTGCGCTGCATTAATTTATGAAGAATAAGAAAATTTATCTGACTGCCTCCTACCTTGTGCTTGGGATTTAAGCCTCAGACAGATCTTGACAAACTAAGGAAAGGTAAGATAAGTTTAAAACTAAGTGAGACACATTCACACACAAAAATTCCAGTTGGATTGTAGATACAGAGTATCTTCACGAGCTAGGGGTAGGGAAAAATTTCTTAAACAGAACACATAAACCACTAACCATAAAGGAAAAGACTGGTAAGTTGAAATGTTCATCAGATGGCACAATGGAGAGAGTGTAAAAGAAAGCCACAAAATAGGAGCTATCTGCAATATGGAAACAGGGAACTCATATCAGAGCATAAAATAACTTCAACAAATCAGTAAAAAAAAAAAAAAAGACAAAGGACTTCAATTTTTTTGGACAGGCAAATAATTAATTATAAAAGAGGGTATTCAAAAAGCCTATAAATAAGTGTTCAGCCTCATTAGTTATCAGGAAAATACAAATTTAAAATAAGATAGTGCTACACATCTACCAGAAAGGCTAAAATTTAAACGACTGACAATAATAAGTGTTGATGAGGAGGCTGAGCAACCAGCACATGCATGTACTGCTGGTGGGAGTATACACTGGTACAACCACTCTAGAAAACTGACAGCTAAACATATGCATATCTTATGACCCTGCAATTCTACTCCTTGATATATACCCAACAGAAATTTTTACATGTATACCAAACGAAAACATACACAAATGTTCACAGCACTATTATACACAATACCCAAAAAGTCAAAAGAACCCAAATATCCGTCACCACTGGAATGGATGAATAGTGATTTCTTGATAGAGGAGAATATTATAAGACAACAGGAATTAATATTGCTACATGCAACAACACAGATGAATCTCACAAACACAATGTAGAGTGAAAGAAACCAAAACACAACCTTTCATTATTCACTTTATATTAATTTTAACAACAACAACAAAAAAAAGCCAGGCATAGTGGCCCACATCTATAATTCCAGCTACTTGGGGGGCTGAGGCAAGAGGATCACTCGAGCCCAGGAGTTCAAGGCTGCAGTGAGGTATGATTGCACCAATGCACTCTAGCCTGGGCAACAGAGCAAGACCTTGCCTCTTAAAAAATAATAATAATAATAATTTAAATAAGTAAAACTTATCTATGGTGTTATAATCAGACTAGTGGTTACCTTGGAGGAGGAGGGATTCTGGTAATAGTCTATTTCTTTATCTGAGTGTTAGTTACACAAAGATGATCAACTTTACAATTTATCTGCTTCTGTGTAAATATATACTGCAATTTTAAACACTTAATGTTTTAAAATCCTCATTTCTAAAGTCCAGGTTGGTGTTATCAGACTCTTTAGAAACTGTATTTTAGCTCTATCAGCACAACTATGGCTCTGGGGACTGGCAATAAGCCTGCAGGTAACAGTGTGAGCATGAGGCTCCTGATTTCTAGGAACCATCTCTTGTCTTCAGAGCTGCCAGGATGGCAGCACAAGGTATTACAACCCCATAAGCCTATGCTTCCCCAAGAGTTACTTGGCTCACCTCAATAGCAAATGGCACATACACTTAAAATCCTTGGGCAGGATGACGAATTAAGCTTGGCTCAGAATATACTCTTGGAGAGCTCTGCATAGATCTAAAACAAACCCAAGTTTTCTGTTCCAGAAACAGTTAAAACTGCAAAGGTGATAAGCTTGCAACTGTGCCTGCCCTGACTTTATCTGCTCCTTTTACTTTGCTGCTCATGGGTCAGCAGTTCAGAGATCTATGCCATTGACTCATTTATTAAGGGACTACTAAGTCCACCAAGACCCATAATCACCTAAAAAAATTAAAACTTGGAAGAAGCAGAAGGGTGACATAATTTGAGATCGCCTTTGCTTCTTCCCCATATTCTCCATCCACAGCAAACACCATCAGGTCTGCGGACTGTTGCTTCTCACTCTTTTGCAGGTTTGTACCTTCTCCCTCACCACTATTTCTACGGAGCCCTAATCATCTCCTGCCTACGTTACTATAATTGCTTTTACCTGGTTTCCAGGTTTTCCAATTCCAATCCAAACAGTACTTTACCGCCAGATAAATTCTCTTAAATATAGATTTTTCTGCCCCAGTTATTCTTTTTTTTTTTTTTTTTGCTAAAGACATGGTCTCTGTTGCCAGGCTAGAGTTCAGTGGCATGATCCTAGTTCACTGAGGCCTCAAACTCCTTGGCTCAAGCAATCCTCCTGCCTCAGCTTCAAATAGCTGAGACTACAGGCACATGCCACCACATCTGGCTTTTATTTTCATTTTTGTAGAGCCTGGGTCTTGCTCTGTTGCCGAGGTTGGGGTTGAACACCTGACTTCAAGTGATCCTCCCACCTTGGCCTCCCAAAATGCTGGGATCACAGGTGGGAGCCTCTGCATTCAGCCTAATTTTTTTTTTTTTTTAGAGACAGAGTGTTGCTGTATCACCCCAGACTGGAGTGCAGTGGAACAATCACAGCTCACTGCAGCCTCAAACCCCTGGGCTCAGGCGATCCTCCCCACTTCAGCCTCCTGAGAAGCTGAGACTATAGGCACATGCCATCACACCGCTCCAATTATTCTAAACCTAGCTTTAATTCTGGAGTGACTAAGCAACTCAGCTATTTGTTGGAGAAATGAGAATTCAATACTCACTAAGTAACTGATATTGCTTAAATTAAGCCCCTGGGATACAATGATGAGTAAGACGGTCCCTAACTTCAAAGAACTGAAGGTGGCCTAGCAGTTACATCCTGTAGTCCTGGCGTACATATAAACAGCCTCAGAAGACCAAAGAGAAAACTAACTCTATCTGAAGGAAAGAAAGCTTCAAAGGGGTGATTTGGGTTTTGAAGAGCAAGGAAGTTTACTAGGAGGATAAGAAGGAAAGCATGCCTGATTCAATGTCACTCGCCATAGGAAGCCACTCCAATCTGAACACTCATGGTCTCATAAGCGAGTACCTAGCCCCATCCTGCATTTGCTTCTGAGACTGCAATTTATAGTTTAACCTTCATGAATTTTCCTACACAGATTACAGTACAGATCAGGTCATTTACATCTTGTGTCTTTGTCTTGTAATCAGTACTACAGAATTTTGCCCTTGGTGCTGTTCTCTGGTCATTTCAGAATGGCAAAAGTTTTAAAATGCAGGCTCTAGGGTCAGGTTCCCCAAGTTTGAATCCAAATGTGCAGCTTGACCTTGGCCTAGTTATTTAATGTGTCACTGTTTCTTCTTGTGCACAAGTGGGGACAGTAAAAGTACCTAACATATTGGGTCATTCTGAGAATTAAATAAAATGTAAAATACATAGTAAACACAATGTCAGGCATGAAGTGTGGGCTGAAAGTCACTGTTCATACGTCATAGATATTAGGCTTCTCTACCCAGAACATCAACTGTCTGGAAAGATGCTCTATCTAGTATGTCTGTATTTTCTACAATATCTACCATGGGCTGGTGGCTCAACTATCTTAAAGACCAAATTCAAGACAGTAAAAGGAACAAGAAAACTGTTGGTATCACTTTCAGTTTCTCAAGAATACTGGTAATTCCTCCAAATTGAAGATACATGTGACTCTTTACATTTTCCCCTTTAAGGGTTCTGACCATAAGCAGACTTCTGCTCACACGCAGATTCAATCTGTGTTGAAAAACAGGAGACTGCTAACACTGAGACTGAAGGTGGATAATAAGGTGCTTTTCCCTAAGATGTAGCAGCTAGAAGGTGGTTTCCTCAAACCCTGATTAAATCTGTAATATGTTACCTAATGGCCTCTAAAACAACCCCCTCTAAGCATAACCTTTTTACAAAATTAATCTTGGGGAATAATGACTATTTTTTAAATTTTTTTTAAATAAAGATGGGGTCTTGCTATGTTGCCCAAGCTAGTCTTAAAACCCCCAGGTTCAAGCAATCCTCCCACCTATGCCTCTCAAAGTTCTGGGATTACAGGCATGGGCCAACATGCCCAGCCAAAAATGACTATTTTTTAAAGACACTTCTATTAAGCTTTTTGCCATCCTTTCCCAGAGCCTCATTTTGTATAATCTACTAGGAGGTGAATCATATGGGTCTCCTATATTCAGGTTCATGGGCTCATAGATACCAAACCTCAACAAAATGAGGACTAGTATCCCAGAGTGCCATTCAAATATCCCTGTGGCATATCTAGAACAGTGTCATTACCCTATTTGCTGTATATAAAGGTTTCGAAGAAAAGTGATTCTATCCCTGCTGCCAACGAAGGTTAAAAAGTATGCAAAACATATCCGGTGTGTTACAACACATGCGATTAGCAAAGATATTCAAACTCATGTAAACTTTCTCTGAAAGCTAACAGGATTACCATAGATGTCTAAACTCTCAGATCATCACTCTCACTTCCCTACACCCTTCACCACTGCAAAAAAAAAAAAAAAAAAAAAAAAAAAAGGAGAGAAAAAAATCTTTGACCTGTAGGCCTGCACACAAGTATGAGATGAAATACTAAGCTTAAAATAACATGCATGGGAACCAGGGCGAGTGACATCTACCTATCCCCCTCCTGAAGTCATTCAGCTCAAAAAGCCAGAAAGCTAGAAAAGTGCATCAAGGAAGCCCCAGTCAGGAGAACGACATTCAGAACAATGCTTCCTCCCATCTCTCCCTCCGGTCACTACTGCTCTTTTGCATCCCAGCCCGTAGATATTTTCCTTTTCCTTTTGTTTTCTGGAGGCACAGGTCTTGCTCTGTCGCCCAGGCTGGAGTACAGTGGCACAAACTCTATCTCCCGGGCTCAAGCTATCCTTCTACCTCAGCCTCCCAAGTAGCTGGGACCACAGCTGCACACCACCACATCCAGCTGATTTTTGTATTTTTTGTAGAGCTGGGGTTTCGCCATGTTGCCCAGGCTGGTCTTAAACTCCAGGGCTCAAGCGATCCGCCTGCCTCAGCCTCCAAAAGTGCTGGGATTAGAGGCACGAGCCACCGCGCCCAGCTGACACTTCCTTTAAAAAAAAAAAAAAAAAGCACAGCATATTGAAGTGGAAATCTCACTTTATTCCTCTATTTAAAAAAAAGAAAAAGTGGTGAAGCCCACTGACCCTCCACAGTCTAGCAGTCAGCAGGGCAATCAGGGAAGCCCAGAGACACTGGATGACTCGCTCAAAGACACACAGCCAGTGAGCAGCCAGCCAGAATCTCAGCCCCAGCCACACCCATGTGAGTTCCTTTCCTTAGCCTGACTGTGATAGGACAGCGTAAGGCCAAGCAGAGGGAAGACCGAGGTACAAATATACATTGATGTAATTCATTCTAAACATTGTGTACAAGAGTTGCAGGAGAAAAAAAAATGTCTTCTACTGAAGCAAACAGACAACCACAGCATGTAACAGGACTGCTAAGGCTGGGCAGGCGCGCCCACCCCTCTATTAACACAATCTGGAACAAAGTCATCCCCTCGCATGAGAAAGGCTTCTTGTTTTCTTGTCTGCAGCTTAGATCTAGACATAACTTTGCACAATATCTTCACACAGACATTTAATATTTGATTAAAACATACACTCTGGCTGCATCTAAACATAATTTTAGTCATTAAAAAGCACTTTTCTGCTTTAATCTAAAACTACCATAAAGTTGATCGATGGCAGAACATTCCTCTATTATTTCTTGGGTTTGCACAAAGTGCCCAGTCAGATTGTCTGTCTCTTCCTCTAATTACTGCTGAGGACCAAGAGTTAGAAGCAAGATGACTGCCGGGTGTCTGGGCCAGGAAGTTCAACTGATCCCACTGTGGCAGTGATAACATGGAAGCAGCATATTTTCTCCCCATGGAGACCAGTTAGAGGAAACATCTTTGTATACAGAGGATGGTACGTTTTATGCTGGGAAACCTCATCCACATAGTATTGGAGAATGCATAAAAACAAGACTCATCAATCAGCTACCAATGGAGAGGTGCACCAGTTTCTTTCTTTATTTTTTTTTTTTTTTGAGACTGAGTTTAGCTCTATCGCCCAGCTGGAGTGCAGTGGCACAATCTCAGCTCACTGCAACCTCCACCTCCCAGGTTCAAGCAATTCTCGTGTCTCAGCCTCCCAAGGAGCTCGGATTACAGGTGCCCGCCACCACACCTGGCTAATTTTTTTTGAATTTTTATTAGAGACAAGACTTCATCATGTTGGCCAGGCTGGTCTTGAACTCTTGACCTCAAGCGATACCGCCCACCTCGGCCTCCCAAAGTGCTGGGATTACAGGCCTGAGCCAGCGTGCCCAGCCTGGTTTCAATAATTTTAAACAACAAATCTAAAGACTAAAGAGCATGACAAGTAAATGCTACACCTGACCACAGATTGATCCTGGACTGGAGGGAAAAAATGCTATGAAAGGCATGACTGAGCCAATTGACAAAACTGGAATACAGGTGGTAGTAGGTTAGATCAAAGTACTGAATCAATGTTCTATTAACCGAAGATGGTAACTGTACCATAGTCATGTGGGAGAATGCCCCTATTAAGAAATATATGATATAGGGCAATGGACCATGACAAAGGCAACTTACTCTAAAATTGTTCAGAAAAAAATACATGTGTGTGTGAATGTACATGCATGTACATGCATATATGTCTATATATACATATAAAGAGGGAACGTGCAAATAACGTTAACAGGACAAAATATTAACGGTAGGTGAGTTTGGGTAAAGGGTATGAGAGATCTTTGTATAACTTATTCCTTGAAATCTTTCTATTTGAAATCATTTTGAAATAAACAGTTTTTAAAATACCATCCACTGGCCGGTACCCTCTACCTTGCCCCTGGCTGCTCCCAGCTAGCTAGGCATATGGGAAAGAGAAATGGAGAAAAGGATACAATAGGAAAGAATTATTCTCTCAGGTGCCAGGTTTATTTTCACCACAGTTACACAGCCTAGACATTAAAATGTTTGCATCTACTGGTTGGGCAACAAACCATATCCACTAGGAGCTAAAATACATATATTTTATATACTTATTTATATTCCAGTCAGAAGGCTTAATTAAACAGCCAAAAAAAGTAAATGATAAAAATAGTTATTCTGCAGAAACTGTCTAAAGTAAGTAATACAGCCAAGAGTAGGCTCTGTCTTCACAGTCCCATCTGCTTCCCTTTCCCAGGTACATATCCCAGGAGGATGGATGTTTATATCTGCATGCCTAGTATTAAACTCAAAAGATACTTACTGGGCACATTAACACAAGGCAAGCTACCAAGAAATGCTAAAACACGATCACAGAATCTTAAGACAGAAGTAAACAAACCCCAGAGCACAGCAAGTCCAATCTTGTTCTACAATGAGGAAAATGAAGCTGAGAGAGAGCATCCTCCCAAAGTCAGCTAGCTGTGGGTCAAGTGAAGACAGGGGCAGGCCACCAGAGCTCTTGCCCAGTGACAGCTCCTACACCCCTTGAGGAAGCACAGAGGAGTTCTGCTCCAAGGGTTTTAAGGATGATGAATGAGCTGGCTTTACCTGGCATTGGATGACATCAGGTAATGAATGAGTATGAAACTGACGAACCACTATAAAAGCATGCTGCAAATCTAACATGATGATTAACGCTACTGCTCAGGTGAGTAATTTCATTTCAGCTGCTATTACCACCTGTGCTATTTAAGAGCAAGTCTCTTGTAAAACCACCTTCATCCTGAATTATTCCCAGGTAGACTTGGCATTTTAAATAAGTTAACATAATGGCTGGGCGCGGTGGCTCACGCCTGTAATCCCAGCACTGTGGGAGGCTGAGGCAGGCAGATCACCTGAGGTCAGGAGTTCGAGACCAGCCTGGCCAACATGGTGAAACCCCATCTCTAATAAAAATACAAAAATTAGCCAGGAGTGGTGGTGGCGGACACCTGTAATCCCAGCTACTCAGGAGGCTGAGGCAGGAGAATCACTTGAACCCAGGTGGCAGAGACTGCAGTGAGCAGAGATCGGGCCACTGCACTCCAGCCTGGGTGACAGAGCAAGACTCCGTCTCAAAAAAAAAAAAAAAAAAAAAAGTTATAATATTATTTGACTTTGGTAAAAATCTCTAGACCACATTACTACTGGGAACTGGGGTAGCATAATCATCCCCTCCAGGTTCCACTCGGTTGCTATAAAGTCTCAAGAAACCAAGAGCAAACCAAAGTCTACCATCCTCTTTGTCAATGGCAAAGCTGCAATGCCTCGCCCTTCCCATTTCTAGTTGGCCTTGCCACCCGCCTCCAGACCTAGGGACAAAGAATGGTGCTAGCCACAAAAGGAAGGTAGGACACAGCTAAGGACAGGCTTCTCTTAAGGGTAAGCAGGGGAGAGAGTTCAAGCACAAAGCCAGGCAGTGTTCTGATGCAGTGACCTCACACTGGGTAGATGTGGACCAATGGAGTGAGGCTCTCCCTGGTGTACCAATCAGATAAATCACTCCTATGGAAAGGAAGAAATGAGAGGGTGGAGACAGGACCAGAAGAATGTGCCCCAATACTGCTCCCACCTGGTGTGCAGTCAAAACCCCCCTGAATGTAGGCTAAAGCAAGAATGAGGGGACACAGGAAGGTTACCCTCTACATAAGCAATGAGAAAACTAACAGGTTTGTTTTCTCTAATGGGAAACAGTGCTGCCACTGAGGGGTACAGGGCCAAGCATGGCAGGCAGAGAAAGTACCAGATTAGAGCCAGTCCTGGCTCTACTGAGTCTAGTCTGTGGCACTGTGGGCAAACCCCGCAAGCTCCTGGAGCATTCTTCATCTGTATTGGCTGATACAGTCATCTCTCCCTCACTGTAAGTTCTTCTTACGTAAACTCCATGTGTGGGTCTCCTTTTATAAAGGCAAAGTCCCCCTAAGTTGCCACCAGCTTGTCCCTCTGAATACACCTAGTGCCACCTTTATACTTTTTTAAAATTCATGTTCAGTCACGTTCCTCAAAGGCTCTCAAAATATCACTGCCAATTGCCAAAGGGTCCTTAAGTATCCCTGCAAATATAGATAATGTTGCCGGGGTGGCAGCTGCTGGGGGATCTCTGAGGGCACTGCATTACGCAGGAAGTGTGGGGGCGCTGCACAAGCAGAGATCTGTGTCGGGAGGAAGTGACTCTTCATGGCCAATAGGTTCTCAATGCTCCTCCCATCCCCGCAGATCATTACTAGCCACAAAGGGAGAAGACGCTGCAAAGCAACTCTCTAACCAGGGACTTTCATGTGCCCGGGTTCCACTAATAAACTAAAACTTGTACAATATAAAAAACTATATTGTAATACTGGAACTATACACAGTTCCATCCCTCCACCCCACTGGCGAGGCACTGGATTAGAAAGGCAAAACAGTGGTAGTGGTGACTGTGGTGGCAGTGAGCAGCAAGAAAGCAGATGGCGCCTTTCTGGAGGGAGTCGGTGCACAGGTGAAATGAAACAGGTACTCGGCCAATAACCTTGGCCTTGCTCACATCCCTGGAGAGAGAAGATGATAACTCTACATGGGGTTTTCCATGAGCCTTCAATCCCCGCACAGCAAGCACGCATCACCCGTCCCACGATTCTCAACCAATTTTGCTAGAAGTGACTCAGTCCGTCTCTCAGCTCTGCCCCTTCTACAGGCACCAGCCCAAAGCCAAGACTGACCAGAAATCCAACACCCTTCTTCTTCCTGGGCCCTTCCACCCCCAACAGGTGGCTGGGTACGCTTGTCCTGGGAAGGCCTTAGCATGAACTGAAGGGTGTGGGCTGTGGAATCAGGGCAGGTCGCATCTAATGATGACTTCCTGATTACTTATCTGCTTGCCCCTGAGCAAATTACCTAACCTCTCGGAGCTCAAGTTTCTTCACTTGCAAAATGAACTTTCAACAGTACTCCCCCTCACCAAGTAGCTATGGGAATGACATCAATGGATGTAAATCCCTTAGCACCCTCATCCATAAATGAGCAAAACTATTTCACTAGATATTTCACTGGTGAGTCAATGAGCTTAAAAAAAAAGGAACAAAATAAAAATCCTACATAAAAAATTAGCTAAATGCTCAAAAACATCCCAAGAATGCCAAATGCCTTTTCACTTTCATTTTTATATACAAATCACCTCTCACTGCTGCAAACGAAGAATGTAAGAATGAAAACGTGTCCCACAGGCCTCCATCTGTGTTCAGGACAGTAAGAGTTTGGGACTAGACTCATGATTCTAGCAGCAAACACTTTTTTTCTTTTTAAAGAAAGAAATATTGCATAGAACCCCACCATATAAAGCAGACTAAATGAGAAACTGCTTAATTAATAAGGGTAGAGGAGGGGGTCTCAAATGCCTGTCTGTACTCCCAAACCTAGTGTCTGTGACACCTCCAAGAATCCCTATGGGCCTACAGAGCACCAGAAAAGCCCTGCACTAAAGCCCTTCCCAGCTTTGTGATTCTGGTTCTAACAAGTCTAGAAAGTTTTTCGGGGGTAAAAAAAGATTGCTAAAAAGACTGGTCGTACATTCTCTCTCAAGTATCTTTCACCTGCAAGCCCCATCACCACTGCCGCCCAGGGTCTTTGCTACCTGACCACCAGGGGTGATTAAACCATTTCATCACCTGGCCCTAACCTAGCTGACTTACTGTCCCCACCTCACCATCCACAGCCACCCACCCACCCTCTGCCTCAGCCAAACCCAAACTCACCCTTTTCTCTCCACATAACAGTTCCATGTCTTCACACACACCATTTCCTCTATCTAGAATGCTCCTGACTCCTCGAAAAGGTCCCCAACTCTGTGAAGCCTAATGCAGTTCCCCCTTCCCCACCCTCAGAGCTCCTCACTCCTTGTGGGCTTCAACATGACACCGACCATAATGAACTGAAATTACATCTTTCACTCTCATACAGGGATGGCAAGACAACTGGTGCCACCTCAGTGGGGGCCAAGACAAGTCAGCAATATTTATCAAATTTCAAACACAAAGACAACCTCACCCAGCAATACACTTTTGGTGATTTTTCCTCCAAAGCTTAGGTGTAAAGGATCTTCATGTCAATGCCGTTTGTAAAACAAAAGAATGGGGACAACTTAAATTTCCATCAAGGCAGGATTGGTTAAATAAGGTACATCCACACTGTAGAACACCTACTAACTATGAAAAATAGTGAATAAGCTCTATACATATATGTATATGGAACCATGAAAACTACTCACCTAAAAACACATTTCCCCACACCCAAGGATCCCAGTCAAACATGGCCAGGCGTGGTGGCTCACACCTGTAATCCCAGCACTTTGAGAGGCTGAGGCGGGCGGACCACTTGAGGTCAGGAGTTAGAGACCAGCCTGGTCAACATGGTGAAACCTCGTCTTTACTAAAAATACAAAAATTAGCCAGGTGTGGTGGCGTGAGCCTGTAGTACCAGCTACTCGGGAGGTTGAGGCAGAAGAATTGCTTGAATCCAGGAGGCGGAGGTTGCAGTGAGCAGAGATCACGCCACTGCACTCCATCCTGGGTGACAGAGAGAGACTCGTCTCAAAAAGAAAAAGAAAGAGAGAAAATGTCAAACACTGAGAAAGAGATGCCTGGGGATCCTCTCTGCTTGTCCTTGTCATCCCAAATACCACTCTTGCTCTTAAGCAAAACTCCGCACATTTACTAAGGTCTTATGTACTAGACACTGTCACAAACATTCATTCTTTAGGCTGGTTATTTTTTTGATCACGGAAGAACTTGCACTTACCTGCAAGTTCTCCAATTTGCACTCCAAATCAAGGTAAATGCCTAGAAGTTTTCTGTTTATTCCACCATGGAATGTGCTGCCTGCCATTCACTGGCTTTCACTCTCTAAGCCCCATACTTTTCCTGTCTTTGTCTCTATTTTAGGTTCCATCCTACCCCAAGGTCTATAACCCTCTGTCCACTGGCAGTAACTATTGGTATAAACTATTTCTTCCTAGTGGCTGGGGCATGGGACATCCTGGCCAATTAAATATGCTGAATTTAAGACTGCTGCCACAGATGGATTTCTATTTTCAAAATACAGATTCAATTCAACTTTTACTTAATCTATGTCATCTTTTTATGCATTCGGAGATAAGGAAGGACCATATAGTGTATGATAATTTATATAAAATATCCAGAATAAGCAAATTCATGAGACAGGAATTAGATTTGTGGTCACCAGGGGCTGGGGCAAGGGAGAAAGGGGAATGACTGCTTAATGGGTACAGGTTTCCTCTGGAGTGATGAAAAAGTGTGAAACTAGAGTGGTGATTCTTACACAACATGGTGAATGCACTTAATGTCACCGAACTGCATACTTTAAAATGGTGACGTTTTATGTTATGTGTTGCCATAGTCTGGATGTGGTTTGTCTCCACCTAATCTCATGCCTAAATTTGATCCCCAATGTTGGAAGCAGGGCCTAATGAGAGGTGTTTGAGTCATGGGGGTAGATATCTGATAAAAAGATTAATGCCCTCCCTGGCAAGGAGTTCGGGGGGTGAGGGTAAGTAAATTCTCATTCTCCTAGTTCCTGAGAGCTGGCTGTTTGAAAGGGCCTGGCGCCTCTCCTCTCACTCTCATCCTTCCTCTCTTGCCCTGTGATCTCTGCACACAGATTCCCCTTCACCGTCCACCAGGAGTGGAAGTAGCCTGAGTCCCTTACCACATGCCCAATCTTGAACTTTTCAGCCACCAAAATTGGGAGCCAAATACACCTTTTCCCTTTACAAATTACCCAGCTTCAAATACTCCTTCAGCAACACAAAACAGACTAAAACATGTAGTATTTTAAGGCCAAGGCGGGCAGATCACTTCAGGTCAGGAGTTCAAGACCAGCCTAGCCAAAATGGTGAAACCCCGTCTCTACTAAAAATACAAAAATTAGCCGGGTGTGATGGCTAACACCTGTAATCCCAGCTACTCGGGAGGCTGAGGCAGGAGAATCACTTAAATCCGGGAGACAGAGGTTGCAGTGAGCTGAGATCACGCCACTGCACTTTAGCCTGGGTGACAGAGAGAGACTCTGACTCAAAAAAAAATAATGTGTATTTTACTACAGCTTTTTGAAAAGTAACTAACTTACGACTGGAAAAAATTAAAATATGTTAAGCCACTATTTCTAATACATTAATGTAAATATAAGGGATACCTAAATAAAGCTTAAGGGATCTGTCTCCTATAAACAGACAAAAAATAAAATCTAACTTGTTGATAAGTTTCCTACATAGACACACAGAAAAAGATACTGAGGAACAATAATGAGAAGCCATTATTTAACCTATTAAATTAGCGACAATTTTCTTAAGATTACCCAACGCTGATGAGGATATTTATCTACAGCTGATGGGAAGAATAAACTCGTGTAACCTTTCTGGAAAACATGTGATGAAGTGCCTTAAAAATATTCAGACTAGGCCGGGCGCGGTGGCTCACGCCTGTAATCCCAGCACTTTGCGAGGCCCGGGCAGGCAGATCACGAGGTCAGGAGTTCAAGACCAGCCTGGCCAACATAGTGAAACCCCGTCTCTACTAAAAATACAAAAAAAAATTAGCCAGGCGTGGTGGCGGGCGCCTGCAGTACCAGCTACTTGGGAGGCTGAGGCAGGAAAACTGCTTGAACCCGGGAGGCGGAGGTTACAGTGAGCCAAGATCACGCCACCGCACTCCAGCCTGAGCAACACAGAGAGACTCTTAAAAAAAAAAAAAAAAAAAAAAAATTGTTCAGACTACATCTAAGTTTATTAAAAAAAAAAAAAAAAAAAAAAAAACCCTCATACCCTTGGGCCCTTCTGGGAATCTATCCTAAGGCAATTTTCTAAAATACATACAAAGGTTTTCGCAAAGACATTAATCACATTATTATTTACCATGGCAAAAAACAGAACAATGAACTGCTTAAAAATCCATGCAATTCGGTATTATAAAGCCACTGCAAATATTTATAAAATATTTAATGATTTGAAAAGCCACTTATGCTATAAAGCGGAAAAGGCAGAAGAAAAAAGTGCATTTACAGTGTAATCTCAACCATATTGAAAAAGTAAATAGGAAAAAAGACTAGAAGGAAGCAAATCAAAATGTTATTAGAGATTGAATCCAATGGTGGTAATTTTTTTTTTTAATTATCAAATATTCTAGAGTTCAAAATACTTTTTACAATCAGGATAATAACAACTAAGCAAAATCAAGAAGTGGCAGAGAAGATTTTGTGTTTCTACAGTAGCATCAGCACCTACTTTAATTGTCTAGCAGTACTAGAATAAAGAAGGCACAGAAACTGAGCTAAATTATTGGTCACAAGGCCAGGAACAACGGCTCACACCTATAATCCCAGCACTTTGGGAGGCCAAAGCAGGAGGACTGCTCGAGCCCAGGATTTTAAAACCAGCCTGGGCAACACAGCGAGATCCTATCCTGATACAAGAAAAAAAATAATAATTTTAAAATTTAAAAAAAAAAGAAAATTTTTAAAAAATAAATTGTTGGTCACAAATGTTGGAGGGCTTGGCTGCTGCAGTTTTGTTGTTTGTTAGTAAGTACCTATGGGAGAAGAGCTTACAAAAACTCCCTATACTATTTCTGCAACTCTTCCGTAAGTCTTACATTATCTCAAAATTACATATTTAAAATAAATAAATCTGGCCAGGCGCAGTGGCTCACACATGTAATCCCAGCACTTTGGGAGGCCGAGGTGGGTGGATCACCTGAGGTTGAGAGTTTGAGACCAGCCTGGCCAACCTGGTGAAACCCCATCTCTATTAAAAATATAAAAATTAGCCGGGCGTGGTGTCACATGTAATCCCAGCTACTTGGGAGGCTAAGGCAGGAGAATCGCTTGAACCCAGAAGGTGGAGGTTGCAGTGAGCTGAGATCGTGCCATTGCACTACAGCCTGGGCAACAAGAGTGAAACTCCGTCTCAAAAAAATGAAATTAAATTAAATAAACAAACCCTTTTTATAAAAATGTTTTTATTTAAAAGGACATGAGTCCGTGACACAGCCTCAGGAGGTCCTGATGACATGTGCCCCTAAAATTAAAAAATCCTTGATAGATCACTCAATTTATCTTTCTCTAAAAACAAAATGCAGATGAATAATTTCCTGGACAATAACAAAGCACTTGGCTCACTACAACCTCCACCTCCCGGGTTCAAGCAATTCTCCCACCTCAGCCTCCTGAGTTGCTGGGATTACAGGTGCCCACCACCATGTCCAGCTAATTTTTGTATTTTTTTAAGTAGAGACAGGTTTCGCCATGTTGGTCAGGCTGGTCTCAAACTCCTGACCTCAGGTGATCCGCCTGCCTCGGCCTCCCAAAGTGCTGGGATTACAGGAGTGAGCCACCATGCCCGGCCTTTTTATTTTGAGACAGTCTTGCTCTGTCACCCAGGATAAAGTGCAATGGTGCAATCTCAGCCCACTACAACCTCCACGTCCTGGGTTCAAGTGATTCTCCTGCCTCAGCCTCCCAAGTAGCTGGGATTACAGGCACCCACCACCACACCTGGCTAATGGGTTTCACTTATGTTGGCCAGGCTGGTCTCGAACGCCTGACCTTGTGATCTGCCCACCTTGGCCTCCCAAAGTGCTAGGATTACAGGCATGAGCCACTGCACCTGGCCTCCTCATGAATTTTTTAAAAGGCCTTCCCTGGGCCGGGCACGGTGGCTCACTCCTGTAATCCCAGCACTTTGGGAGGCCAAGGCGGTGGATTACCTGAGGTCAGGAGTTCAAGACCAGCCTGCCCAACATGGTGAAAACCTGTCTCTACTGAAAATACAAAAACTAGTCAGACATGGTGGTGGGCACCTGTAATCCCATCTACTCGGGAGGCTGAGGCAGGAGAATCGCTTGAATCCAGAGGCAGAGGTTGCAGTGAGCCAAGATCACGCCACTACACCCCAGCCTGGGCGAAACAGAGGGAGACTCTATCTCAAAAAAAGAAAAGGGAAAGGAAAGGACAGAACTTCTCAGGTCTGATTATTAATGAGTTTAGAAACCAACGATTTTCCTTCCAGCTCCATTTGGCTTATAAAATACCCTTAACTTTTCAGGGAGCCCTAGACCAGAGATCTTTTTCATTATAACCTTCATATAAAACAGCAGCAGGCTCCTCTAATGGAAATGAACCTATTGCATATGCTAAGCCTAATGGGCTTACCTGAATTAAAACTCAAAGAAATCAAGCAATCTTCCTTTTTGTTGATGTCCTGTAATATGGACCAGCTACCACTGTGCCCTCAAGTCATACTACTTTTTCTTTCTTTCTTTTTTTTTTTGAGACGGAGTTTCGTCTGTCACCCAGGCTGGGGTGCAGTGAGCCAAGATTGCACCATTGCACTCCAGCCTGAGCAACAGGTAAAGATTCCGTCTCATAAAAAAGAAACCTAGTGATCTAGAAAAAAACATGGGCCTTGGAGTTGGAACCTTAGAACTGAATCCTGGCTCTGTCAACTCACTAGGTAATTCTGATTTCTGTTTTTTTGGTTTTTTATTTTCTTAGCCCAGATGAAGAGAACACTAGGTAACTTTGGAGAAGTTACTTAGCATTACCCACCCTGGGCCTCAGCGTCCTTATCTTCCTCAACTATAAAATGGGAACATAATACCTACCTGGCAGGGTGGCTATGAGAGATTAAATCAAATACCCTACGCGGTATGCATGAGGGCCCCTTAACGACGACTAGCACAGAGTGCAATTATGAAACACAGACCTTTTCTCTCTCTATGCCCATTTCCTTCCCTTCCCATTAGCCTCTTTCACCCCCTCACTTCTCTGCCCTGTGTCTTTCCTTGGTTAAGATCCACAAAGACCTCACCTCACCCACTCCCACTCCTCATTGTTCCTCAGCGGTTCTCCCAGTAGCAATTAGCTTTGGGGCTCCCCAGTAAGCACACCACCCCCCACAGCACTTGTTCTGACAACTTCCCTTGCTCACCTGCTGCCCATCTCCACCCACCGGGGGAAAAAATACAGTTATCTGAGCTTGCTGGTTGCATGGATTTTGGAAATACAAGGTGTTACTGCATTCATACTCTATTTCACTCTTACCACCCTCTCCAAATACTATTACTATCATTTACTAACCTCAAGGGCCCACCTTGACCTGCTTGGGTTTATTTTTACACCTGACTCTTAATTACTCATGTATCTGCTGAATGCTTACTAGGCACTAAAGAGGCGAAGCAGAGTAAGACGCACTCTGCTATGGGCTCTTAAAGAGAAAGAACTAATCCTCCTCACCCCCAGGCTTGGAGTGGGAAGGAGGAGGAGTGGGGAAGGAGGCAAGAGATCCACATTTTGCTCTTGAAACTTCTGAACTGTCTGACACTCACTGTAAGAATGTAGTCTTGGCCGGGCGTGGTGGCTCATGCCTGTAATCCCAGCAATTGGGGAGGCTGAGGCGGGTGGATCACGAGGTCAGGAGATCGAGACCATCCTGGCTAACACGGTGAAACCCCATCTCTACTAAAAATACAAAAAATTAGCCAGGCGTGGCAGCATGCACCTGTAGTCCCAGCTACTCGGGAGGCTGAGGCAGGAGAATGCTTGAACCCAGGAGGCGGAACTTGTAGTGAGTCGAGATCACACCACTGCACTCCAGCCTGGGCGACAAAGCGAGACTCCGTCTCAAAAAATAATAATAATAATAATAATGTAGTCTTGTCATTCTTATATTAACAAAAACAAACATATCAAAATAATAAAAGCCAAAAAATACCAAACTATAATCGAAGATGACCTATGATAAACTAGCAGCTGGAAAGCCTCAGAGAGGTAATGTTTATGGTAACCTTGAGATGTCACATAAGTTTCATTTGCAAGAAAGAAAAGGGCGCTAGAGCAGAGGGAACAGCATCAGCAAAGGCAGACAAGTATTAAAGTGCACTGAGTGTTCTGGGAATGACAAATGGTTTGCTGTGGCTGGAAAACAAGGTGTACTTTGGGAAGTCTTTCATAGATACTCCAAATAAATCACTTTAAGTATTTAATGAACCATCTTCATCCTTACTGAGGGACCTCAAAGTAAGTAAGAAACTTAAAATTCAGGGCCCATGTTACTCTACCATGATGAAAACTTGGTCTCAGACAACAGTGGGAACCCTCTGCTCTGAATGACTGGGGTTCACGTGGCATGATCACATCTGAGCTCTATGAGGCAGCTCAGCAGTACGGAAGATGGACAGAGGGACGCAGAACCTGGAAGAGAGGACCGGTCATGACAGCAACAACCAAAGCAAGAGACAATGACAGCTTGATCAAAGCAGAGGGAATGGAGGGAAAGGTCAGGGTCAGGACACAGATACGTTAGCAGCAGCATCAACAGGTCTGGAAGCAGGGGGGCGCTATAGAAGAGGAAGTTAAAGATGACTCAGGTTCATCATTTGACTAGCTAGAAAATGAGGTCATTAACAGAACCAGGGCAAGACAGAGGAGGCACTAACCTGAGAGGAAGATGATGGATTTGGTTTAACACACATTTAATTTGATGTTGTCAGAACACTGGATATCTACAGCTGGTGAGGGTTTAGTTTTCATTGGTACACGGGTCATAGCTGAAGCCATGGGAGGCTAAACCAAGAGACTAATACCATGGATGCCACGGGAGCCAAGAAGAAAAGTGTTTCAAGAAAAGAAAAGGAGATCAGTGGCTGCCAAAGGCCACACTGAGAGGTCAAATGACCTAAGGATTGAAAATACGCATTAAACTGAACTCAGCACACAGATGTTACACATAATCTTGAAAAGTGGTAAAGACAAAAAGTCTGCTGGCTGGGCGTGGTGGCTTACGCCTGTAATCCTAGCACTTTGGGAGGCTGAGGCCGGAGGATCACTTGAGCCCAGCAGCTCAAGGCCAGCAGGGGCAACATGGTGAAACCTCGTATCTACAAAGAATACAAAATTACCCAGGCATGGTGATGCATACGTATAGTTCCAGCTACTCAGGAGGCTGAGGTGGGAGGATCGCGTGAGCCCCAGGAGATAGAGGCTGCAGTAAGACATGATTGCTCCACTGCACACCAGCCTGGGCGACGGAGTAAGACCCCATCTCAAAAAAAAAAAAAAAAAGTCAGTCAGCAATGGGTTGTAGAATGAATGACAGGGGGAAAGGAGAGGTGGGAGGTTGAAAAAGTAGAGGTAGAGTGGCAACCACACTTTCAGGAATTCCTACCCTTTCAACACAGCCTGTGCTATCACATCTTCCTTGGCTTAGACAGATACATTTGACAATGCAACTACTTAAGATCTTCAACATCCTTCTCGTGCCCAGGGCCAACTACCTTCATGTCAACAGCGCCACAACTGCTCACCTACCTACAGAGATAGCCACATCCCATATTTCATCAGCACATGGCCCATCTCCTGTCATCTCTTCCTATCAGTTTACATGTTATCGCTTCCATTCCTACCAAATCCAAATCACCAACTGATTAAAACTTTCTACTACTCTCAATCGCCAGGTTACAGGCTTCCAAAATCAGCTTGTGCTTTTCCTTCTTCCTCATCTCTTAACTCTGGAATCAGTTTTAAGTGACAACTCCCTTACCAGGTCTTCCTCTCAACCACTAATTACACATGCAAGAACAGGCAGGCCCTTGTCACATCCACACAGGCATGGTGTAACATCTGGTTTCCCACATCTAACCTATACACAGCAGATTAAGTTTCCTTTAAGGAAAAACCATCCAACAAGAGAAAGCCAAACTCCCTAGGGTAGTACTGGAGACCCTCCATCATCTAGCCACAAACTACCTTGATAGCCTTCTCTCCAACTACTTCTTCACATCCTTCTCTTCTGAAACTTCCAAACTTCTGAAACTGCTAGGGAGCCTAGTTTACTCCTTCCCTAAAGCTCCCTTTGAACACCCAAGACCTCAACAACATCCCTACCACAATTTAATTGCCCACTATGCCAAGAATTGCTCTAGACTCTTGGGATACATGAACAAAAGAGAGATTCCCTAGCTTTATGGAGCTAACATTTTAGCAGGAGACAACAAAAGACCAACCTCATTAATAATATTGAGTATATAAAATGTTAAAAAATTGTACAAAAAGAGAAGTAAAGCAGGATGTCAGGGACTGGAAGTGCTGAAGTGGCATTACCATTTTAAACAGGGTGGTGAGGGAAGGCCCCACTGGAAAAGTGACTCGAGGCTTAAAGGTTTAGTCAAGCAGATTCTCAGGGAGAGCACGGTCCAAGCAGAGGCAGGGAGCCAGGCCAAAGGCCTGGAGCAGGAACATGCCCAGAAGGTCTGAAGAGCAGTAAGAAGACCGAGGGAGCTGCAGCACAGCCAGTGAGAGCTAAAGGAGGTGAGCTAGAGGGGAGATGTGACCCGTCTCACAAACCAGCTTGGATGTCAAGCAGACAGCTGGAGACTCGAGAACTGGAGCTGAGGAGAGAGATGTTGGGTTATAGGTGTCCTGGATGAAGGCACTAAGTTCGAGGCCTAGAGTGTTCCGGCTATGAGATGAGGAAGAAACAACCTGTGCGACAGGAGGAAAACCAAGAACACACCTTAGTGTCCCAGCGGCCAAGTGACGAAAGGCTGAACTGCAGAAGGGGTACTCCACTTGTCTGACACTACTGACAGATCCAGTAAGATAGGGACTGAGAGCTAACCACTGGATTTAGCAACACTGGATAAGCAACACTTATCACCTTGATAAGTGAGATTAAGAGAGAATAATGCCAGGCGTGGGGACTCACATCTATAATCCCAGCATTTTGGGAGGCCTAGGCAGGGGGATCCCTTGAGCCCAGGAGTTCAAGGCTGCTGTGAACTATGGTCACTCCACTGCACTCCAGCCTGGGCGACAGAGCGAGATCCTATGTCTAAAATTAATGAGCAAAGGGAAAGTGAGGAATTAGAGACCAAGTACAGGCCACTCCTTCCTGGGGTTTTGTTGCAAAGGGGAAAAAAGAAATAGGGCAATAACTGGCCAGGAAAGTAGGAGTAAAGGTTTCAGATAAAAAAAATACCATGTTTGTGTACTACATGTATATGTGTACATAGGTATGCATATAAAGCCCTAGAAAGTCCTACGCACCCAACAAATGTTTATTTCCTTCACTCTCACTTCACACCTATCATTTTCTATTATCTTTGTTGCTATATATGTGACCTTTGTAACTGTCTGCAAGAAACTTTCACTTGGAAGGCCCTTTCTTTGTCCCAGTGTCAAACTCTTCCTCATCCTTCAAGACTCAAATATACCTTCCTGGGAAGCCTTCCCTGACTCTTCTCAGCCAATCTCTCTCAGGTCAGTACCTATGCAATCTTTGTACCAATGCCCCTTTGCACCAACACATTCTTCTACTATCACCTGTATCACAGTCTCTTGTATTTTCAGAGTATGTTGACTTATCTTCCCCACTAAACTGACTCCCAGAGGGCAGGGGCAGTATTAAATATTACCCTGGAAGTGTAACGGTTATGAGCAGTGACTCGCTGTGTGACCTTGGGAAGTTGCCTAACCTCTCAGTGCACTGAATGTCAGCTATAAAACATGAAATGAAAGCTGCCTTTAAGCCAGGCATGGTGGTTCACGCCTGTAATCCCAGCACTTCGGGAGGCCCAGACGGGTGGATCATGTGAGGTCAGGAGTTCAAGACCAGCCTGGCCAACATAGTGAAACCCCATCTCTACTAAAAATACAAAAATTATTCAGGCATGGTGGTGCGCACCTGTAGTCCCAGCTACTCGGGAGGCTGAGGCAGGAGAATCGCTTGAACCCAGGAGGTAGAGACTGCAGTGAGCTGAGATCACGCCACTGCACTCCAGCCTAGGCGACAGAGCAAGACTGTCTCAAAAAAAAAAAAAAAAAAACTGCCTCTACCTCCTAGAGTTGTTTGGGACAGTAAATGGGTTCATAGGTTCATAGATGTAAGATGCCTGGCATATAGAAAGCAATACACACACACACACACACACACACACACATATTAACTATTATATTGTTAGATTGTAACCACAGTACCTAGGGTTGTAAACTTCATAGCAGGAAGTCAATACATTATTTCATGATTATTTGGCCTGGTGTGGTGGCTCGCGCCTGTGATCCTAGCACTTTGGGAGGCTGAGGCAAGAGGACTGCTTGAGATCAGAAGTTCAAGACCAGGCTGGACAACATAGCAATCCCCACTCTCTACAAAAAATAAAAATAAAAAAATTAGCTGGGCATGGTGGCATGGGCCTGTAGTCTCAGCTACTGAGGAGGCTGAGGTGGGAGGATTGCCTTGAGACCAGGAGATCGAGGTCACTATGAGCTGTGACTGTGCTGCTGCGCCCCAGCCTGGACAACAGAGCAAGACCCTGTCTCAAAAAATAAATAAATATATAATAAATATAAAAACCAATAACAAAAACTCTGGCTTAATCTACCTATTTCTTTATACTACATTAATTTTGCTGACCACATTTTGGTTTTATCAGGTGATTTGAACCATATCATATACTAATTTTTTCAGAAGCTATTCAAGTCATTTCTTGACAGGTAACTTTTTCTCCAGACTTTCTCTAATGCTGTGACTGACATACAAAACCTCTGGGTACTGCTGAACCTTTCCCTGCCATCTCCCTGCACCCCCATGTCTTCTTTGTACCTCTGAGAGCATGGGGTACAATGCAATGCTGTGGATGAACAAGTGGATGACATGCCATGTGAGTGGCTAAATTTCAGTTCTGATTCTGCCTCCATTACAGGGGCCACTCACGGTAACTGATATTAAAAAAATAAGGCTAGGTGTGGTGGCTCCCACCTGTAATCCTAGCACTTTGGGAGGCCAAGGTGGGCAGATCATCTGAGGTCTGGAGTTCGAGACCAGCCTGACCAACGTGGTGAAACCCCATCTCTACTAAAAAACACAAAAATTAGCCGGGTATGGTGGTGGGTGCCTGTAATCTCAGCTACTCAGGAGGCTGAGGCAGGAGAATTGCTTGAACCTGGGAGGCAGAGGTTGCAGTAAGCCAAGATCGTACCACTGCACTCCAGCCTGGGTGCAAAAGCAAGATGCCATCTCAAAAAAAAAAAAGGAAAGAAAGAAAGAAAGAAAACAAACCTTAGCAGGCAATTCAATTTCTAAGCAACTAAAAAAGAAATGCTAATATAAGCAAAAACTCAATTTTGCACACAATTTTCATATTAAGCAACAGCTCGCTCAATACTAAGTAATAATTTCTCAGCAAAGTAGTGGGAACCTCTAACATGTCACACCACTTAAGAATCCATGGGAATGCAACAAAAAATGATTTAATCAAATACAGTTATAGTATGCTAGCTCTTCCTGTAATTCTATACTGCAACTATAAATCTTTTTAAACTGGTTCTAAATGTGAAGGTCAACAGGGATAGTGTAAACAAAATTCCCCATACTCCCTATGCTCCACCACTATCTATCTCTAAGCCAAACAACATACAGGTGGAAGACTCTCCTGATCTTCCTTCCCATGAGGCAGCACCCAAAGAGCACAGGCTCCGGAGTACAGCACTTTGGGTCTAAATGCCAACTCCACCACTTGTCAACTAGGAATCACAGAGCAGGTCTGTCCATCTCCCGCTCTGGCAGGAACAGCCATAGTGGAACCTAGCAGAGTTGGTGGGGTTTACTGATACTGAATGACTAAGAGAAAAACTTGGCCAGGCGCAGTGGCTCACGCCTATAATACCAGAACTTTGGGAGGCCAAGGCGAGTGGATCACCTGAGGTCAGGAGTTCGAGACCAGCCTGGCCAACCTGGTGAAACCCCATTTCTACTAAAAATACAAAACAAAAAAAAAAACTAGCTGGGCGTGCCTGTAATCCCAGCTACTCAGGAGGCTGAGGCTGGAGAATCATTTGAATCCAGGAGGCAGAGGTTGCAGTGATCCAAGATCATGCCACTACACTCCAGCCTGGGTGACAGAGCGAGACTCCGTCTCAAAAAAAAGAAAGAAAAAACAAGTAATGAGTGAAGAATAGCTAGCACATCAAAGATGCTTAATAAGTGGTAGTTTTTATCACATTACGCCACTTTCAAGTCTTATTAGAGTTGAAGATTTAAAAAGAAGATGTTAAAAGGGCTCAAACTTATGCCAACTAATACCCTTAAAAGTAAAAATGTTAAGTCAGCAAGAAATGGAGAGGAAATAATTTCCTGGAATAAAGAGCTGGGATCCCAGGGAAAAGACCCTCCGCCTGTAAGACACCAGCCAGGCAACAGTTTCCTTACCTTTGGGGGACAGGGCCTACCCTACCCAAGCCCCTGACCCTGGGATACCTACAGATGAACCACTGTGTCAGTGACACAAAAAGGACAATCCTATTCACATCAACTATGGCCACCCCCTGTGTACTTAAATAACTGAGGTCTAGGTGACAAAAACTTTGACTTGCAACGTACCTCAGAAAAAATGCACATGGAGTTCATGAAGCCAACTACTTTACAATTCATTACTCAAAGGTGGTCATTCCCATGATGCTCTACTGACTGCCAATTAAAATGAAACCTCAATACAAGGGTGCTGGGCTAGCTCAGTCAATAACAAAATTCTGTCCAAGGGTCCTAAAGCAATGCTGTAAGTTTCCCAAGGGGAGGAATGTGTGTCTTGTTCATCTGTACATGCCCTAGGCCCTGGTATATGGTGGTGGCTACTGAAAATTCACTTGTAAGATTTGTACACCCATATTCACAGCAGTATTATTCACAATAGCCAAAGGGTGGAAGCAACCCAGGTATCCACCGAAGGATGAAAGGATATATGAAATGCAGCACATACTCACAATGGAATTCAGCTTTCAAAAGGAAGGAAGCTCTGACACACGCCACCACACGGATGAAGCTTGAGAACACTGTGCCATGTGAAATAAGGCAGTCACAACAGGCCAAATACTTCATGACTCCACTTACATGAGCTACCTAAAGTAGTCAAATTCATAGAAATAGAAACTAAAGTAGGGCAGGGGAGAGACTGAAAAAAGACGGGTACAGGTTGTTTTGGGAAAAAACCTTTGGAGATATATGGTGGTGATCGTTGCACAACAATGTGAATGTTCTTAATTTCACTAAACTGTACACTTAAAAATGGTTAAAATGGCTAATTTTAATTATGTATATTTTACTACAATTAAAAAACAAAACTTAAGTATATTGAGGCCGGGCGCGATGGCTCATGCATGTAATCTCAGCACTTTGGGAGGCCGAGGCGGGTGGATCACCTGAGGTCAGGAATTCAAGACCAGCCTGACCAACATGGTGAAACCCCATCTCTACTAAAAATACAAAATTTAGCCGGGCATGGTGGCGCATGCCTATAATCCCAGCTACTCGGGAGGCTGAGGCAGGAGAATCACTTGAACCCGGGAGGCAGAAGTTGCCGTGAGCTGAGACTGCACCACTGCACTCCAGCCTGGGCAACAACAGCTGAACTCCATCTCAAAAAAAAAAAAAAAAAAAGCATTACTGAAAGAATAAATGAAGGAAGGAATGAGTGCTACTTTCATTAGCCACTAAATGTTATACCTCATACCTCTAGATTACTCTTTAGAGAAATCCTATCCCCAAATTTCATAGTTGAGGAAATTGGAACTGAGAGCTTAACTGATTTGCCACAATTCATACTGTGTAATATATATGTTAAAATACATAGACTCAGCTGTGCACGGTGGCTCACGCCTGTAATCCCAGCACTTTGGGAGGCTGAGGAGGACGGATCACTTGAGCTCAGGTTCAAGACCAGCCTGGGGAACGTGGTGAGACCTCATCTCCACAAAAAATTAGCCAGGCATGGTGGCACTTGCCTGCAGCCCCAGCTACTTGGGAGGCTAAGGTGGGAGGACTGCTTGAGCCCAGGAGGTCGAGGCTGCAGTGAGCCATGAACGTGCCACTGCACTCCAGCCTAGGAAACAAAGCAAGACCCTGTCTCAAAACAAATAAAAATAAAACACATACACTATACGTATAGCATATACTGTACGGTGCTGCTCAGCATTAATGGTGTACTTTACCCAGCTGGTTGTAAGCTCCATATCTCAGGACCTACACACTACCCACAGGCCCCTTGAATGTTTCGAAAATTCCACAGGCCTTAAGGTCTGTATCACAAAAGATGCAGCTATGTCCCTTTCTCTATTATACCACTAACTTGGCAGGGGTAAAATGGGTGAAACTGAGGAGAACAGCTCCACTCCTCGAGGTGCTCAACCACAGGCTAGGTGATCCAGTACTTACCAAGGGCTTACTATGTGCCAGGAGCTGGAGCAGATAAGGGTTCAAACAATTTGGTCTTTGAAGGAGCTGTGTATACCGCAATAGACAGATAAGGCTCAGAAATAATTACAAGAGCAAAAAGGCAAATGCTTAACAAAGAGATGTGGGTACACACATTTAGGGGAGTATTGAAAGTATCGGTCTAGAAAACGTGGAGATGTGGATACACAAAGAGATGTGAGTACACACATTTAGGGGAGTATTGAAAGTATCGGTCTAGAAAACGTGGAAGGTAGCTTCAGCAGAGATCAGAGCATGTAGAATAGCAGCCTCAGTGTCAAAAGATCACGACCATTCCTGACTTTGCCATCACCTGTGCAAGTGACCTCTGTAAATCGCTCTGTTTCCTCATATATAAACCTACAGCTAGATGAGATGTTTCTCCTACAATCACCCAGCTCTCTAAGTGTATTAGAGATGCCTAGGTTCAAAGTCAGATGCCTAGGTTCAAATCTTAACACTGTTAAAAAGTCGCTTGACCTTGAGCTGGGGAATTAATTGCTCCGTGCCTCAGTCTCCCCACTTCCGAACAGAGGGCTGGTGTGATCATTAAATACTACTGCACTGTCAATCACTTCGCGCAGGGCCTTGGCAAGTAGTAAGCCCTCAATAAACGATAGTTATTATCCGGAGGAGCTGCAGGAGGCAAACACCAGATGCAAGGGTTGTGCCTGCTGCGCTCCCAGGGCCCTCCCAGGCCTGAGCCATCATCCCTGGGGGGATGGGAGCGCAGGGCCGGGGCTGCACACTCTGCACGCATGTGTCACCGGCCAGGCTCCGCACGCGCCTCTCCCCGCCATGGGGAGAGCAGCGATGGCTCAGCAGCCCCGGGGCCCATTCCCACCCTTCCGGTAGGGCACCCCAGGAGGGAAGGGGGCTCCAATTCCACTTACCATGCTGGCCGGGGAGGGGGCGGCTCAGATGAGCTGGTTCTTGGGCTTCGGACACGTCCCGCTCGCACAGTTCAGGTCATGGTCCCGGCAGACTCGGGAAGTCCCCCACCCATGCAAAGACAACCCCTTCCCCACCGGGCCCCGAGGGGACCCTCTAAAAAGGGCAGGGCCGCCCGGGTCGCCTCATCGGGGGACCCCGAGACAATTCATCCAGACCCACCCGCCCCTCCCCAAGGAAACTGAAAAAGCAGGAAATGAGGCTCGGATGCCGGCGAGGAGGGCAGCTGCTCGGGACCCCCGCCCGGGCCCGACCCCCGCGGGGGAGGCTGCGGGCCCAGGCAGGGGCTCCCCGGCCTCCGCGGGCAGAGGTGGCGGCGGCCCCGGCCCCGAGGCTGAACGGGCGGAGGCTGACAGGCCTCGACCGCGCGGCCCAGGCGGCCGGCTCAGGGGAGAGGCCCGGGGGCCCGCGCTGTCCTCGCAGCCTCAACCCACACGGCCACTGCCGCCGCCCCCTAGAGCATCCTTGCGCGCGCCCGCCCTGGAGCCGCCCGCTAGTACCGCGCGGCCGCCCCCGACCAACAGCCCCAACGCGCCGGAAGTGGCGAGCGCCGGGCGGCCCCACAGCGCGGCCGCCGGGCTGCGGCGCTGGAACCGGACCAATCCGGAATCGAGCGGGGCGAGCGGGGGGAGCGGGCGGAGGGCGGAGGGCGGGGCTGCACCTGACGGCTCCCACTGGCCCCGCCTTCTTACCACGCCCTCTCTTGCCCCGCCCCCTGCGCCCACCGCCCGTGCGTCCACGCGGGCCGGCAGCCATCTTGGTAAAGGGAGCCCGGGCTGCCATTTTAGTAAAGGCGTGGTTTCCCTTTCGCTTTTTTCGCCCATTCATTCCGCTAAAATTTTAGTGAGTGCCTTTTACGGGCGGAGCATCGAGCTGGCAGCGTGACGACACGCGGCCCTATGGAGCTTACATTCATGCAGTCCACACACTCTTGCCCGACTATATTCCAGGCCCTGCTGTGGATGCTAGGACAGGGGAGATAAACGTAACTTCGATAGCCAAGGTGCTGAGAGAGGCAGAGAATGTGTTGGATTCCTGTTCCCATCCTCCAATCCACTTTACTCGTGAAAGTGCTCATCTTTATTTTGTTTTATTTTTGGGGACAGGTTCTTGCTCTGTTGCCCAGGCTGGAGTGCGGTAACACAATCATGGCTCACTGCAGCCTCAACCTCCTGGTGCGCCACCATGCCCAGCTAAATTTTTTTATTTTTTGCAGAGGTGAGGCCTCCTTTTGATGCTTGGGCTGGTCTGGAACTCCTGGGCTCAAGCAGCTTTCCTGCCTCAGCCTTCCAAAGTGCTGGGATTACAGGTATGAGTCATCCAGCCAGGCTGAAAGTGCTAATTTTAAGAAACAGTCAGGAAACTATCCCAAACAGCTGAGGTTGAGCCCGCGGGTGTGCCTACTACATAGATTGGAGCAAATCTATGTAACCCAATGGCCCTTGTCAACCTTAAATAACGAGATTGAGAAAATAGTATTTAAGTATAGGGTTTATTCAAGCCCGAAGCTTGAAGATGGCCCACCAGAAGTATAGTCCAATTAGTGGCAGTTACAAATGGGGTTTCCTTGTTTGTTTGTTTGTTTTTAAGACAGGGTCTTGCTCTGTCGCCCAGACTAGAGTGTAGTTTGTTGTTGTTGTTGTTTGAGACGGAGTCTCGCTTTGTCGCCCAGGCTGGAGTGCAATGGTGCAATCTCAGCTCACTGCAACTTCCGCCTCCCGGGTTCAAACGATTATCCTGCCTCAGCCTCTCGAGTAGCTGGGACTACAGGCACCCACCATGATGCCCGGCTATTTTTTTTATTTTTAGTAGAAACGGAGTTTCACCATAGTGGCCAGGCTGGTCTTGAACTCCCGACCTCAGGTGATCCGCCAGCCTCGGCCTCCCAAAGTGCTGGGATTACAGGCGTGAGCCCTCCCGCCTGGCTTCAAGTGGGTTTCTAAGGAAAAAAGAGGCATAACATAAGGTTGAATAGGAATGATGAGAAAGGGGGAAAAAATAACATAAGCTATTGCCTATACATTGTTCTTTGTATCACAAATTTCAGGAACCTGAAGGAAATGGGGGAGGCAGCTAGTCTGGAACAAAATATCTTTAAACAATTGTCCCCGAGCATGTGGAGGTGGGAGTGTGCCCGAACTCCCATACACAAGTCTCAGTGGACCTGACAAATTTTGCATACTTCACATAACTCAGACTTCCCTGAGCTATTTTTCTTTCCTGTCAAACCTCAGTGTGATCTGAATCAATTCACCCAGAAGGACTGTTAAAACAAAGATTACTCGCTCCACTCATAGACTTTCCCATCCAGTAGGTTTGAGATGGGGCTGAATAATTTGCATTTCTAACAAGCTCCCAAATGAAGCTGATGCTGCAGGTCTAGATACCACATTTGGAGAACCACTGATACAACACTTTACCACTGAAAGCAATAGCTTTCAGGGGTTTTTTAGTTTTTTGTTTGTTTGTTTGTTTGTTTGTTTTTGGAGAAAGGGTCTCACTCTGTTGCAGTGACATGATCATGGCTCACTGCAGCCTCAAACTCCCAGCCTCAAGCACTTTTTTTTTTTTTTTAATGAGACAGAGTTTCGGTCTTGTTGCCCAGGCTGGAGTGCAATGGCATGATCTCGGCTCACCGCAACGTCCGCCTCCTGGGTTCAAGCAATTCTCCTGCCTCAGCCTCCCAAGTAGCTGGGATTACAGGAGCCCACCACCGCACCCAACTAATTTTTTGTATTTTCAGTAGAGACGGGGTTTCACCATGTTGGTCAGGCTGGTCTCAAACTCCCGACCTCAGGTGATCCACCCGCCTCGTCCTCCCAAAGTGCTGAGATTACAGGCATGAGCCACCGCGCCAGGCCATCAAGCACTATTTTTTTTTCTCTTGAGAGGGAGTTTCGCTCTTGTTGCCCAGGCTGGAGTACAATGGTGCAATCTCGGCTCACTGCAACCTCTGCCTCCCAGGTTCAAGCAATTCTCCTGCCTCAGCCTCCCAAGTAGCTGGGATTACAGGCACCTGCCACCACACCCAGCTAAATTTATTTTTGTATTTTTAGTAGAGACGGGGTTTCGCCATGTTGGCCAGGATGGTCTCACCTCCTGACCTCAAGTGATGCGCCCACCTCGACCTCCCAAAGTTCTGGGATTACAGGCATGAGCCACCATGCCCAGCCTCAAGCACATTTATTTTATCAAATCTTTATTGTTGTCCACTAAGTGACAGTCACTATTTCAAGGATTCAATGCTGAGCAAAACAAATATATGTGTGCCCTTATGGAATTTAAAGACAAATTATTTGTAAAATATTGTACAATAATGGATCAGTTATTGTGATAAGAGCAATGAAGGAAAAATTGAAACTAACATGATATAACTTTAATATAGTTTACACGCTAATAAGGCCAAGGGATCTAAAATAATCTGGCAGATTAGGATGGGGAGGAAGTCAGGAAGTGACATTTCTTTAAGCTTTGGCCTTAAAGAAGCAGGAGTTTGCTAGGCAAAGAGAGGGGGCATAGAACATTCCAGGCAGTAGAAACAGCATGTACAAGAGAAGCCATCTCAGTAGGTAAGCTGATGAATCGGAATGGAGGCCAAGTCACTTACTTGGCTTAGTTTAGTAGGATGAGTGAAAGCTTTGGGTTGAGACTCATTTGGAGTGGAATCCAGCTCTTAACTTCACTAGCTAAGGTATCTTGAGTTATTGACTCTCGAAGTCTTGGTTTCCTTACTGTAAAATTGAATGAGATAACAGAAATGCAACTGACTCACTTAAGGGTATGCCTTTGGGTTACATAACTGGACTTCCAGAGATTCATTAGCTTTTGGCTGGGTGTGATGGGAGGCCTAGATCCATTCCTCTAGGATTTTCTTTTTTTTCTGTGTGTGGTTTTGTGTGTGTTTGTTTGTTTGTTTGTTTGTTTTGTTTTGTTTTATTTTTTTGAGACAGGGTCTCAGTCTGTTCTCCATGCTAGAGTGCAGTGGCGCAATCACAGCTCACTGCAGTCTCGACCTCCCAAGCTCAAGCAAGCCTCTCACCTTAAACTCCCAGTTAGCTGGGACTACAGGTGTGCGCCACTATGCCCAGCTGATTTTTTTTTTTTCAGCAAAGACAATGTCTCACTGTGTTGCCCAGGCTAGTCTCCAACTTCTGAGCTCAAGTGATCTGCCCACCCCGGCCTCCCAAAGTGCTGGGATTACAGGCATGAGCCACCACGCCCGGCCATTCCTCTAGGACTTCCTTGCTCTGCTCTTCTCCATTATCAGACTTGTTGTCAAGGTGGTTGCCAGGAACAGCCAGGGCCACAAAATTCCCTGTTCAAATCCAGCAAAAGAGAGCACCTTTTGGCCGGGCACAGTGGCTCACACCTGTAATCCCCAACACTTTGGGAGGCCAAGGTGGATGGATCGCTTGAGGTCAGCAGTTTGAGACCAGCCTGGCCAACTGGTGAAACCCCATCTCTACTTAAAAATACAAAAATGAGGCTGGGCATGGTGGCTCATGCCTGTAATCCCAGCACTTTGGGAGGCCGAGGTGGGTGGATCACCTAAGGTCGAGAGTTTGAGACCAGCCTAGCCAATATGGAGAAACCCCGTCTCTACTAAAAATACAAAAAATTAGCCAGGTGTGGTGGCGCATACCTGTAATCCTAGCTACTTGGGAAGCTGAGGCAGGAGAATCGCTTGAACCCGGGAGGCGGATGTTGTGGTGAGCCGAGATTGCACCATTGCACTCCAGCCTGGGCAACCAGAGCAAAACTCCATCTCAAAAAAAAAAAAAAAAAAAATTAGCTGGGCATGGTGGCAGGCGCCTGTAGTCCCAGCTACTCAGGAGGCTGAGGCAGGAGAATTGCTTGAACCCAGGAGGCAGAGGTTGCAGTGAGCCGAGATTGCACCACTGCACTCCAGCCTGGGTGACAGAGTGAGACTCCATCTCAAAATAAAGAAAAAAGAGAGAGCACCTTTCTCACATCCTTTCTCAAGCCAAGAAGCTTTCCCTACTGATCCTAATTGGCCTAGGCCTAGTCCCCCGGATCTAGCCGTAGTGAAGGAGGGTGGAACTGCTATGAGTGGCTTATAGAATCCCCTGGAGTTGCTTTCAATTCCTCAGAATAAACTGGATGTGTGGAGTCACCACATCATAGCTCCATTGCCAGGCTGGGGTGAAGATTTAATTTAATGTACATAAAACACCTGGCACATGAGGCATGAGATAAGTCACAGCTATTATAAATTTGACTCCAGGGATTTTGTTCAAGTAAACTAAATAACATTTTGTTATTAATATTAATCTGAAGCCTGTCTTATTCCAAAAAAAGATTTAAGGCTGCTATTACTTTTAGTTGGCACTGCAGGGATGGCCCCCAGCCATCTCTGCCTGCCTATTTCTATTGCTACTGCCTTGATCGCCTGCATTTAGTTATTCATTCAACAAACTTTCAGTGAGTTAGTATTAGCTTTGTGCCAGGCCTTTTGCTAAAAATGAAGTATTTAAAGTGAATAAGAATCAGGCAAATTGTCCACTGTCTGGGTCAGCAACAGCCACCCAAATAATTACAGCACATTGTGAGGTGTGTATGAACTTCCTAAGCGTACGAGGAAATGGGGAGGAAGCAACAAAGATGGTAACCTTTGGGTTGGGTCTTGATGGACGAATAGAAGTTCACCTGGCTGCTGCAGTCTTCAGTCCTTTTCCTACTCCAAGCTGTCTTCCACTGTGTCCGTTTCATTGCAAGTAACAAGGTGGGGACCCTAAAGTTTGGACTCTTAACAGTTGAAGAAGAAAAAAAGAATGTATTGTCTCGTAAAACGCCATCCAAAGGTTTGGATGAATTTCAGATATGGTGGATTCAGGGTGTGAATATCACAGAATTCAGTTTCTCTCTGTTCGTTGGTTCTGCTTCCTTGACTGGGGGTCATTTATCCTCATGGGCCCTGGCATATCTAGGCTTTCCCTTCTTCCAGGTTGAAGCCTGGTGGAGAGAAGGGCATATGCATCTCCTACAAATGTCGTAGAAAAATAAACCCTTTGTCTTTGATTGGGTCACATGCCCACTCCTGAACCAGTCACCATGGCCTGGGGAGTGTGATGCCCTGATTGGCTAATCTTGGGTCACATGTGCCACCAAGCTCCAGAGTAGCTCTTTCAATGGCCAACATCTCTCTCTCTCTCGAGCTCTCATTTTTTTTTTCATTTGTTTGTTGGTTTTGAGACAGGGTCTTGCTCTGTTGCCCAGGCTGGAGTGCAGTGGCTCAATCATAACTGACGTAGCTTCAAACTCCTGGGCTCGAGTGATCCTCCCACCTCAGCCTCCCGAGTAGCTGGGACTACAGTCACTGTGCCCAGCTAATTTTTTTTTTTTTAATGACTAGGGAGACGAGGGTCTCCCTAGGGTGGTCTCAAACTCCTAGGCTCAACCGGGCATGGTAGCTCACGCCTGTAATCCCAGCACTTTGGGAGGCCAAGGTGGGCAGATCACCTGAGGTCAGGAGTTCGAGACCAGCCTGGCCAACATGGTGAAACCCCGTCTTTACTAAAAATACAAAAATTAGCTGTGCGTGGTGGCAGGCACCTGTAATCCCAGCTACTTGGGAGGCTGAGGCAGGAGAATTGCTTGAACCTGGGAGGTGGAGGTTGCAGTGAGCCAAGATCACGCCATTGCACTCCACCCTGGGGACAGGAGCAGGACTTCGTCTCAAAAAAAAAAAAAAAAAAAACTAGGCTCAAGCAATCCTCCTGCCTCAGCCTCCCAAAATGCTGGGATTACAAGGGTGAGCCACTGTGCCTGGCCTCCATAGCCAAGATCTGTCTGAGCCCCACGACAGCTCTGTGAGGATCTCAGAAGGAAGAAAGGGTGAGAGTCTGGCACCCTCTGTAGGTGATGGGAACACACTGTCTGCATAGCCTGGCATTCAAGGCCTTTGAAGGCCTTCGCAGCTCTAGAGCCAGACTCTCTGGGTTTTTACTCAGCCTGTTACGTAGCTGTGTGGCCTTGAGCAAGTCATTTAAACTCTTTGTAACCTCAGTTTCCTCATCCATAAAATAGGAATAGTACTAGTACCTAGTTGGCTGGGCAGGTACCTGTTTCAGCTAAATTCTATCAGGAAAACCAAATTAGGATTCAAAATATTGACAAGGGAACCGGGCACGGTGGCTCACGCCTGTAATCCCAGCACTTTGGGAGGCCAAAGCGGGTGGATCACTTGAGGTTAGGAGTTCGAGGCCAGCCTGGCCAACATGGCGAAACCCTGTCTCTACTAAAAACACAAAAATTATCCAGGCGTGGTGGCACGAGCCTGTAGTCCCAGCTACTCAGATGGCTGAGGCAGGAGAATCACTTGAACCTGGGAGGTAGAGGTTGCAGTGAGCCAAGATCGCACCACTGCACTCCAGCCTGAAAGAGAGAGGAAGATTCTGTCTCAAAAAAAAAACAAAAGAAATGTTGACAAGGGGACTTTTTTTTTTTTTTTTTTTGAGACGGAGTCTCGCTCTGTCACCCAGGCTGGAGTACAGTGGCATGATCTCAGCTCACTGCAACCTCTGCCTCCTGGGTGCAAGCGATTCTCCTGCCTTAGCCTTTTGAGTAGCTAGGATTATAGGCATGCACCACCATGACTGGCTAATTTTTGTATTTTTAGTAGAGACGAGGTTTCACTGTGTTGGCCAGGCTAGTCGTGAACTCCTGACCTCAGGTGATCCCCCCACCTTGGCCTCCCAAAATGTTGGGATTACAGGTGTGAGCCACCATGCCCAGCTGACAAGGGGACTATTTTTAAAGGGTGGGATGTAAGGAAACCCTGCAAAGGAAAACACAACACAAGAGGTCTAGTAACAGCATGATTATTAGTACTTCTAAGCCTGCAGGGACAAGAGGAGGAATGGAGGCCAGAATCTGGAAAGGAAGAATTGTGTGAGAGCAGCTGAAGGAAGCAGCCAGCTAAGGTGATGCTGTGGGGAGAATGCCAGTGAAATAAACATGCTGACCTCACTGTCTGCTCTCTTGCTAATCTCCTGCTGGGGGATCCACATTGGATAAGTCCAGCTGTAAGCCAGGGAGCAAGGGAGCCTGCTGATGTAATCCGTACAGGTCGAACTTCTGGGCACAGGGCAGGCAGCACAGGGAAAGTGTGACAGCAGGGGAGCACATGGAAAAGATCCGGCAGCCCACCATGACCACGGCAAAGCATGAGAAGTGTTTAGAACTGTGTGGGTGGATCACCTGGGTCAGGAGTTTGAGACCGGCCTGGGTAACATGGTAGAACCCTGTCTCTACTAAAAATACAAAACTGAGCCAGTTGTGGTGGTGCATGCCTGTAGTCCCAGCTACTTGGGAGGCTGAGGCAGGAGAACTGTTTGAACCCAGGAGGCAGAGGTTGCGGTGAGCCGAGACCGCACCACTGCACTCCAGCCTGGGCAACAGAGTGAGACTCTATCTCAAAAAAAAAAAAAAAAAAAAGAACTGTGCTTGTACGTTACAAGACTTTCTTTCTTTCTTTTTTAAAGAGAGGCAGGATCTCACTCCATTGCCCAGGCGGGAGTGCAGTGGTGCAATCATGGCTCACTGCAGCCTCAACATTCCAGGCTCCAGTGATCCTTCCACCTCAGCCTCCTGAGTAGCTGAAACTACAGGCACGTGTCACCACACCCAACTATTTTTTATTTATTCTTTTGTAGAGACCAGTCTCACTATGTTGCCCAGGCTGGTTTCAAACTCCTGGGCTCAAGCAATCCTCCCACCTCAGCCTCTCAAAGTGCTGCGATCACAGGCATAAGCCACCACACCTGACAAAGATTTTCAATAAATTTTAGTTATTAATCACTATATCCATCCCAGCTTTCTTTTTTTTTTTTTTTTTTTGAGATGAAGTCTTGCTCTTGTTGCCCAGGCTAGAGTGCAATGGCACGATCTTGGCTCACTGCAACTTCTGCTTCCCGGGTTCAAGCAATTCTCCTGCCTCAGCCTCCCAAGTAGCTAGGATTACAGGGTCCTGCCACCATGCCCGGCTAATTTTTGTAATTTTAGTAGAGACGGGGTTTCAAAATGTTATCAGGCTGGTCTCAAACTCCCAACCTCAGGCGATCCACCCACCTCGGCCTCCCAAAGTGCTGGGATTACAGGTGTGAGCTACTGCATCCGGCCTGCATCCCACCTTTCTAACTCCTCTCCATATACAAACCCAGCAAGCTAGAGTCCTCTTGGCTCCTGGAAACAGCAGACTCTTTTTTTTTTTTTTTTTTTTTTTTTTTTTTTGAGACGGAGTCTCACTCTATCGCCCAGGCTGGAGTGTAATGGTGCGTTCTCTGCTTACCGCAACCTCTGCGTCCCTGGTTCAAGTGATTCTTGTGCCTCAGCCTCCTGAGTAGCTGCAATTACAGGCAGGCATGTGCCACCACGCCCAGCTAATTTTTGTGTTTTTGTTTTTTTTTTTTTCAGTAGAGATGGGTTTTCATCATGTTGGCCAGGCCAGTCTCGGACTCCTGACCTCAGGTGATTTACCTGCCTCAGGCTCCCAAAGTGCTGGGATTCCAGGCACGAGCCACCACACCCAGCGGACTCTTTCATGTCTCAGAGCCAAGGCTCATGTTGTTCTGCTATTTGGGGTGTCCTTTTCCTCATCCCTTTCCCTTCCTTTTAAATTCCTACTCACCCTAAAGACCCAACTCAAATGTATCCTACTCAGTGATTTCCTGGCATAGAGTAAATGAATGTTTGCAAACATCCATTACCATGATTAATGGAGAAATTTTGCCTGAATGAAGCCATCCTCACAGGATTAACAAGAATTCTGCACAGAAATACAGTTACAATTAAGCATCAACCAGGCTGCACTTTGACCCACTTCCTTGTACCCAAAAGTCACATGGCACTAGATACTGACCACTTGCATCCCCAGTGCTCTTTTAGATAGCATTTCTGATATTAGAATCATAAGGCTTTTTTTTAAAAGAATAGCTTAAGCAGATTTTTTTTGAGACAGGTCTTGCTCTGTTGCCCAGGCTGGAGTGCAGTGGCGAGAATATGGCTCACTGCTGCCTTGACCTCCTGGGCTCAAGCAATTCTCCATCTTGGCCTCCCAAGTAGCTGGGACTACAGGGACCGTGCCTGGCTTTATTCCACCTGTTTCACTGATCAACAGGGAATCTGACCAGGCACAGTGGCTCATGTCTGTAACCCCAGCACTTTGGGAGGCCAAAGTGGGAGGATCACATGAGCCTAGAGGTTTGACACCAGCCTGGGCAACATAGTGAGACCCAGTCTCTACAAAGGTGGAAGCTGCAGTGAGCCAAGATTGCGCCATTGCACTCCAGCCTGAGCGACAGAGTGAAACTGTCTCAAAATAAAAAAATAAAAAAAAAAAGAAAGGTGGTGTCTGAGACTCATGTTCATTAAGACCACTCCCGGCCTGGCGCGGTGGCTCACGCCTGTAATCCCAACACTTTGGGAGGCCAAGGCAGGTGGATCATGAGGTCAGGAGTTCAAGACCAGCCTGGCCAAGATGGTGAAACCCCGTCTCTACTAAAAATACAAAAATTGTCTGGGCATGGTGGCACTTGCCTATAATCCCAGCTACTCAGGAGGCTGAGGCAGAGAATTGCTTGAACCTGGGAGGTAGAGGTTGCAGTGAGCCAAGATAGCACCACTGCACTCCAGCCTGGGCGATAAAGCGAGACCATCTCAAAAACAAAACAACCAAAAAAAAAACACTCCCATCCAACCCCAAGACATACTCACATCTTCCAAGAACGTCAGGCAACTTTCAGATTATGAGACCCCTCAGAGCTTGAACCCAACCTCCCACCTTCACTTTTAGCTGGTTGTTGGAACAATATATTTCTTTTTTTTTGAGACAGAGTCTCGCTCTGTTGCATAGGCTAGAATGCAGTGGTGTGATCTCGGCTCACTGCAACCTCCGCCTACCAGGTTCAAGAAATTCTCCTGTCTCAGCCTCCCGAGTAGCTGGGACTACACACATACACCACCACACTTGGATAATTTTTTAATTTTTTGTAGAGATGGGCTCTCACTGCGTTGCCCAAGCTGTTCTCAAACAATCCTAGGCTCAAGCAATCCTCCCACCTCAGCCTCTCAAAGTGTTGGGATTACAGGCGTGAGCCACCATGCCTTTTGTTTTTTTTTTTTTTTAAGGGAGTTGGGGTCTGGCTGTGTATCCCAGGCTGGAGTGCAGTGGTGCAATCTCAACTTACTGCAGCCTTGAACTCCTGGGCTCAAGAGATCTTCCCACATCAGCCTCCTGTGTAGCTGGGGCTACAGACACAAGCTGCTGCATCGGCCTATGCATCTTTACTAAGAGTTCATGAGGATACAGAGGAGAGGACTTACATCACTGACCCCATAGCAAATAACCTAACCTTTCAGCTTTTTTTTTGTTTTTTTTTGAGACTCGGTCTGTCGCCCAGGCTGGTGTACAGTGGCACGATCTCTGCTCACCTCAACCTCCACCTCCCGGGTTCAAGCAATTCTTCTGCCTCAGCCTCCTGAGTAGCTGGGACTACGGGCGTGTGCCACCACACCCAGATAATTTTTGTATGTTTAGTAGAGACGAGGTTTCACCATGTTGGCCAGGCTGGTCTCTAACTCCTGACCTCATGATCTGCCTGCCTCAGCCTCCCAAAGTGCTAGGATTACAGGTGTGAGCCACCACGCCTGGCCCACCTTTCAGTTTTGTTTGTTTTTTTTTTTTTTTTTTTTGATGGAGTCTCGCTCCTCTCGCCCAAGCTGGAGTGCAGTAGCACGATCTCGGCTCACTGCAACCTCTGATTTCAGCTCACTGCAACCTCCATCTCCCGGATTCCAGCGATTCTTCTGCCTCAGCCTCCCAGATAGCTGGGACTACAGGCGCAGGCCACCACACCGGGCTAATTTTTGTATTTTTAGTAGAGACGGGGTTTCACCATGTTGGCCAGTCTGGTCTTGAACTCCTGACCCTCGTGATCCACCCGCCTTGGCCTCCCAAAGTGCTGGGATTACAGGGGTGAGCCACAGCGCCCGGCCATCAGCTTTTTATTCCCCCATATTTTCTGCCTGTTTTCACAATTTTTCATCAGCTGGTCTGCTGCTAGCTCACTTTTTTCCTGAGCCCCTCGTCTCCCATAATGCCTGGCTGTCCAGGGCATGTTCCCTGCCTTCAGAATTTCACTCCAAATCTCACGTTTCTCTCCCACTTTTTTTTTTTTTTTTTTTGAGACGGAGTCTCACTCTGTTGACCAGGCTTGAGGGCAGTGGCGCAATCTCGGCTCACTGCAACTTCTGCCTCCCGGGTTTAAGCAATTCTCTGCCTCAGCCTCCTGAGTAGCTGGGATTACAGGCGCCCACCACCGTGCCCAGCTAATTTTTATATTTTTAGTAGAGATGGGGTTTCACCATGTTGGCCAGGCTGGTCTTGAACTCCTGACCTCATGATCCACCCGCCTCTGCCTCCCAAAGTGCTGGGATTATAGGCATGAGCCACCACGCCCAGCTCACTCTCCCCACTATTATGCAGAAATGGGAGTCAGCATTGCCCCAGATGCTGCCCCCCATTTGCATATCCATACTCTAGGTGCTCAGCAAAGCAAAGGACCTTTACATTAACAGAACGCATTATCCTGGCCAGGCATGGTGGCTCATGTCTGTCATTGCAGCACTTTGGGAGACCAAGGCGGGAGGATCACTTCAGCCCAGGAGTTTGAGACCAGCCTGGACAACATAGCAAGACTCCCTCTCTACCAAAAAATTTCTAATATTGGCCAGCCATGGTGGCATCTGCCTGTAGTATCAGCTACTTGGGAGGCTGAAGCAGGAGGATCCCTTGAGCCCAGGAGTTTGAGGCTGCAGTGAACTATAATTGTGCCACTGCACTCCAGCCTGGGTGCCAGAGCGAGACTCTTTCTAAAAAAAGAAAGAGGTAGGGCACAGTCGCTCATACCTGTAATCCCAGCACTTTGGGAGTCCAAGGTGTGTGTATCACGAGGTCAGGAGTTCGAGACCAGCCTGGCCAATATGGTGAAATCCTGCCCCTACTAATAATACAAAAATTAGCTGGGCATGGCGGCATGCCTGTAGTCCCAGCTACTCGGGAGGTTGTGGCAGGAGAATCACTTGAACCCTGGAGGCAGAGGTTGCAGTGAGCCGAGATCATGCCATTGCACTCCAGCCTGGGCAGCAGAGCAAGACTCCATCTCAAAAAAAAGAAAAGGAGATTTCCATGCCAATGTTATAAAGGAAATTGTCCATGCTTTCTTCCACTGCTTTTCTAGTTTTTTCTTTTTAGCAGGTAAATCTTTCATCTACTTGGAGTCTATCTTGGTGTCCAGTATGAGGTATGAATCCAGGTTGCTTTGTTTGTTTGTTTGTTTGTTTGTTTGTTTGTTTTGAGACAGAGTTTCACTCTTATCGCCCAGGCTGGAATGCAATGGCATGATCTCGGCTCACTGCAACCTCCATCTCCCGGGTTCAAGCAATTCTCCTGCCTCAGCCTCCTGAGTAGCTGGGACTACAGGCGCCCGCCACCACGCCCAGTTAATTTTTGTATTTTTAGTAAATATGAGGTTTTACCATGTTGGCCAGGTTGGTCTCGAACTCCTGACCTCAGGTGATCCACCCACCTCGGCCTCCTAAAATGCTGGGATTACAGGTGTGAGCCACTGTGCCCAGTCCAGACTGTTGTTTTGAGACCAGAGAAGTCAAACCCAAACCAGGGACAGGTAACTTCGTTCCCAGGAAGAGGCCAGGCCAGTTGGCAGGACTTGCATGGAGCAAAGGAATTGCCTGGGACTGGCCAAGTTTAGGCTCCAAGACAACAGGAGGCAACACCATGTCCCAGTAGGGGTGATGGCAAGAAGCAGAATCAGGTGGCAAGCCCAGGGTCCCAGCCATCAGAGGGACAAGGAGGGCAGGAGAAGGGACAGGGATGCTACTTCTGCACTTCAGACAAAGCCTGCCTGTGGCCTGACCTTTGGGACTCCGGGCCTCCTGAGCCTCAGGGTCACTCTCCCTGAGCCCTACTTTCCTGATACACAGAGAAAAGTGAGAGAGCGTCCTTACCTTCAAAAAGTTCTTATTGTCTGGGCGTGGTGGCTCACACCTGTAGTCCCAGCTACTCGGGAACTTTAGGTGGGAGGATCGCTTGAGCCCAGGAGTTAGCGAGGCTGTAGTGAGCTATGATTACACTACTGCACTCCACCCTGGGTGACAAAGCAAAACCTTGTCTCTTAAAAAAAATAAATAAATAAGGCCAGGCACGGTGGCTCACGCCTGTAATCCCAGCACTTTGGGAAGCCGAGGTGGGCAGATCTCTTGAGCCCAGGAGTTGGAGACTAGCCTGGGCAACGTAGGGAAACCCCGTCTCTACTACAATTAAAAAATATATAGGAATTAAATACACACATAAGATTCTAATTCTTTTCTTTTTTTCTTTTTTTTTTTTTTTTTCAGACTGAGTCTCGCTCTGTTACCAGGCTGGAGTGCAGTGACTCAATCTTGGCTCACTGCAACCTCTGCCTCCTGGGTTCCAGCAATTCTCCAGCCTCAGCCTCCCGAGTAGCTGGGACTACAGGCGCACACCACCACGCCCAGCTAATTTTTGTATTTTTAGTAGAGATGAGGTTTCCTCATGTTGGCCAGGATAGTCTTGATCTCTTGACCTCGTGATCTGCCTACCTCGGCTTCCCAAAGTGCTGGGATTACAGGCGTGAGCCACTGCGCCCGACCTAAGGTTCTAATTCTTAAAGAAGAGTCACATGTATCAGTCAAGGATTCTAAGACCAAAGGCAGAATAAAATAAAGGTCAAGAGACTATGAACAGCCAGGTACAGTGGCTCACGCCTGTAATCCCAGCACTTTGGGAGGCCAAAGTGTGTGGATCACCTGAGGTCAGGAGTTTGAAATCAGCCTGTGCAACATGGTGAAATCCTGTCTCTATCAAAAATACAAAAATCAGCCAGGCATGGTGGCACGCATCTGTAGTCCGAACTACTCAGGAGGCTGAGGCAGGAGAATCACTTGAACCCGGGAGGCAGAGGTCACAGTGAGCCGATATCGTGCCACTGCACTCCAGCCTCAGCAATAGAGTGAGACCCCATGTCAAAAAATAAAATAAATAAAAACCAAGAGACTGTGAATAATATATCCTAACTTTCAGGAGGGCTTTATGTAGGAGGTGATGGCATTTGAGCTGAGCTTTAAAAAATTATTGGGCTGAGCGTGGTGGCTCATGCCTGTAATCCCAGCACTTTGGGAGGCTGAGGCAGGTGGATCACGAGGTCAGGAGATCGAGACCATCCTGACTAACACGGTAAAACCCCATCTCTACTAAAAATACAAAAAAATTAGCTGAGCGTGGTGGTGGGCACCTGTAGTCCCAGCTACTTGGGAGGCTGAGTCAGGAGAATGGCATGAACCTGAGAGGCGGAGCTTGCAGTGAGCCGAGATCAAGCCATCGCACTCCAGCCTGGGTGACAGAGCGAGACTCTGTCTCAAAAAAAAAAAAAAAAATTGTTGAGTTTTCAACAGGTCGAAAATTAGTTTGTTTTTGTTTTTGTTTTTTTTGTCTGAGACAGTGTCTCGCTCTGTTGCCCAGGGTGGAGTGCAGTGGCACAGTCTCGGCTCACTGCAACCTCCACCTCCTGTGTTCAAGTGATTCCCCTGCCTTAGCTTCCTGAGTAGCTGGGATTACAGGAGCCTGCCACCATGCCCGGCTAATTTTTTTTGTATTTTTAGTAGAGACAGGGCTTCACTCTGCTGGCCAGGCTGATCTCGAACTCCTGACCTCAGTGATCTACCTGCCTTGGCCTGCCAAAGTGCTGAGATTACAGGCATGAGCCACCACACCCAGCCTAAGAATTACTTTTAATTGTAATAGCATTAATTGTATACGTCATCTTAGGGAGAAGTGATGTCTTTATGCTGTTGACTTTGCTCTTTCAAGAATAAGTCTGTCATTCCGTGAGTTCTGGTCTTCTTTTGCCTTCATCAGCAGCATTTTAAAGTTTCCTTCATATATATTTTATACATTTCTTGTTAAATCTATTCTTAGGTCTTTCATCTTTTGTGTTGCTATTGTAAATGCGGTCACCCCTTCCATTACACCCTCTAAGTGGTTGGTGTTGGTATTAATAGGGAAGCAATTGATTTCCTCTTTTTAATCTTGGACCCAGCTAACTAACTGAATATTTTATCTTTTTTTTCTTTTTGGCAACAAATTCACTCAGGTTTTCCAGGTATAAGGCTGTATCATCTGTAAATCATGTTAATTTTATCTCCCTTTTTCCATTTTCTTTTTTTAATTTTTAAAAAATGTATAAAATAGAGACGGGGTCTTGCTCTGTTGCCCAGGCTGGTCTCAAACTTCTGACCTCAAAGGGTCCTTCCACCTCAGCCTCCCAAATTGCTAAGATTATAGGCCTGAGCCACCACACCTAGCCACTTTTTCCATTTTCCAGAAGTGACTAAAAATAAAATGTTTCAGGCCAGGCGCGGTGGCTCACTCCTGTAATCCCAGCACTTTGGGAGGCCAAGGCAGGCAGATCACCACAGATCGGGAGTTTGAGACCAGCCTGACCAGCATGGAGAAACCCCGTCTCTACTGAATATACAAAATTAGCTGAGCGTGGTGGTGCATGCCTGTAATCCCAGCTACTCGGGAGGCTGAGGCAGGAGACTCGCTTGAACCTGGGAGGTGGAGGGTGCGATGAGCTGAGATTGTGCCATTGCACTCCAGCCTGGAAAACGAGTGAAACTCCATCTCATAAATAAATAAATAAATAAAATGCTTCAGCCCTGCACATTTAGTGAGGAAGAAGGGGAGAGAAATTTGCATTTATTGTAGTACTTCATAGCTGTTACATATGTCCTTCCCCTTTGCTATCCCCCTTTATTGATTGATTGATTGATTGGTGGGTTGATTGATTTGATTGAGACAACCTCTTGCTCTGTCACCCAGGCTGGAGGACAGTGGCAAAATTATAACTCACTGCAACCTCTGGCTCTTGGGCTCAAGTGATCCTCCCACCTCAGCTTCCCAAATAGCTAGGACTGCAGGCATGTGCCACCACGCCCAACTAATTTTAGTATGTATATATACTAAATTGAGACTCCGTCGCCAATAAATAAATAAATAAATAAATAAATAAATACAGTTAGTAGGGATTGAAATAAAAGGTCTGCTATCCTCTAGCCAAGGGGCAGGGCGTATAATCAAAACCAGGCCAGATAAATCCTCCCTTCTGGAAATTTTTTTTTCTTTTGAGGTGGAGTCTCTCTCTGTCACCCAGGCTGGAATGCAGTGGCACAATCTCGGCTCACTGCAACCTCCACCTCCAGGGTTCAAGTGCGTCTCTTCCCTCAGCCTCCAGAGTAGCTGGGATTACAGGCACGTGCCACCACACCCGGCTAATTTTTGTATTTTTAGTAGAGATAGGATTTCACCATGTTGGTCAGGCTGGTCTCGAACTCCTGACCTCGTGATCTGCCTGCCTTGGTTTCCCAAAGTGCTGAGATTACAAGCATAAGCCACCACGCCTGGCCTGGAAATTTTAATATTGAGACAAAGAGATTGAAATGGCTAGATGACTGTTCCAAAACGAGTGCACGCTCTCCATGACCAGTCCTCCCTTCTAACCTCCAGAGCTGCTCATTTCCAACCTTGCTGTCAACTTTATGAGCATTCTATTTCCTTCCGAGAAATCCATTTTTGCTCGAGTTGGCCAGAGTTGATGTCAGGGTAGGCTGTGCTGCTGTAACAGATAATCTAAAATCCCAGGAGTTTGGCTAGGCACAGTGGTTCACACTTGTAATCTCAGCACTTTGGGAGGCTGAGGCAGGAGGGTCACTGGAGCTCAGGAGTTTGAGGCCAGCCTGGGCAACATAGCAAGACCTCATCTCTACCAAAAATTTAAAAATCAGCTGCATGTGGTGGCACAAACCTGTAATCCCAGGTACTCAGGAGGCTGAGGTGGGAGGATCACTTGAGCCCTGGAGGTGGAGGTTTCAATGAGCCATGATCGCACAACTACACTCCAGCTAGGTGACAGAGCAAGACCCTGTCTCGGAAGCAATCAATCAATCAATCAATCAAATTAAAAAATAAAATCCCAGTAGTTTAACAAAGGAAAAGCCTATTTCTGGTTCATGTCACAGTCACAGTGAGTTGGCAGTGGGGCTCTGCTCCACAGTTGTTCAGGGACCCAGGCCCTTTCCATCTTGGGGCTCAACATTCCTGTAGGTCTTTGGACCTACATCAGATCTTCTCCTGGAAGTGTTTTAGGAGAAAGGCCTAGAAGCAACATATATCACTTCTGCCCACATTCCATTGACCAAAACTTACTCATATGGCCCCATCCAGCTGCAGGAGGGGCTAAGAAATGTAGTCTAGCCATGTGCCAGAAGAAAAAAAGAAACCAGGCTTGTCGCTATTGCTTGCAAGCAACCAAAGTGTGTCTTTTTGGTTTTTTTTTTTTTTTGAGACAGAGTCTCACTCTGTTACCCAGGCTGGAGTGCAGTGGCGCAGTCTCAGCTCACTGCAACCTCTGCCTCCCAAGTTCAAACGATTCTCCTGCCTCAGCCTCCCAAGTAGCTGGGACTACAGGTGCCTGCCACCACGTCTGGCTAATTTTTGTATTTTTAGTGGAGACGGGGTTACACCATGTTGGCCAGGATGGTTTCGATCTCCTGACCTCATGATCCGCCCGCCTCGGCCTCCCAAAGTGCTGGAATTACAGGCATGAGCCACCGTGCCCAGCCTGTATCTTTAAAAAAGTGTATCTTTTAAAAAGTGTATCTTTAAAAAAGTGTATCTTTAACAAAGTGTATCTTTAAAAATTTTTTTTTAATAAAAAAAATAGAGACAGGGTCTAGCTGTGTTGCCCAGGCTGGTCTTAAACTTCTAGCCTCAAACAATCCTTTGACCTCAGCCCCCTAAAGTGCTGGGGTTACAGGCATGAACCACCATGCCCGGCCAACTGAAGTGTTTTTGTTGTTTTATTGTTGTTGTTTTCTTTTTTTTGAGATGGAGTCTCACTCTGTCGCCCAGGCTGGAAATGCAGTGGTACGATGTCGGCTCACTGCAACCTCCACCTCCCGGGTTCAAGCAATTCTCTTGCCTCAGCATCCCGAGTAGCTGGGATTACAGGCACCCGCCACCATGCCCGGCTAATTTTTGTATTTTTAGTAGAGACAGGGTTTCACCATATTGACCAGGCTGGTCTTGAACTTCTAACCTTGTGATCTGCCTGCCTCAGCCTACCAAAGTGCTGGGATTACAGGTGTGAGCCACCACGCCCAGCCAGTGTATCTTAACTTATATACTCACCATCTTATTTTCAGTCTGTAGCCCCATGCCTGACATAGAATGTGTACTCAATAAATATTTACTGATTGAACAAACAATTCAATGACATATCGCTATGGTCTGAATGTTTGCATCTCCCCCAAATTCATCTTTTGAAATCCTAATCCCCAATGCAATGATATTAGGAGGTGCAGGCTTTGGGAGGTGACCAGGTCATGGAAGTGGAGTCCTCATGATTGGAATTAGTCCCCTTATAAAAGAGGTCCCAGAGAGCTGCCTTGCCTTTTTCTCCATGTGGGGACACAGCTGGAAGGTGCCATGTAAGAACCAGAAAGCAGGCCCTCACCAGCCTGAACCTTCCAGCACCTTGATCTTGGACTTGCCAGTCTCCAGAGCTGTGAGCAATAAATTTCTGTTGTTTGTAAGCCACCCAGTTTACGATTTTTTTTTTTTTTTTTGAGATGGAGTCTCGCTTCATCACCCAGGCTGGAGTGCAGTGGCGCAATCTCGGCTCACTGCAACCTCTGCCTCCCAGGCTCAAGCGATTCTTGTGCTTCAGCCTCCTGAGTAGCTGGGATTACAGGCCCCCATCACCAAGCTGGCTAATTTTTTGTATTTTTAGTAGAGACGGGGTTTTGTCATATTGGCCAGGCTGGTCTTGAACTCCTGACCTCAGGTGATCCGCATGCCTCAGCCTCCCAAAGTGCTGGGATTACAGGAGTGAGCCACCTCGCCCAGCCAGTTTATGATCTTTTATTGTTGAAACCTGAATGGAATAAGGCACACGTTATGTTGTTTAGTCTTCACAGCAATTCTCACAGGGCCCAGAATACTTCAGTAACTTGCCGAAGGTCATCCAGCTCGTTAAGTGGCAGAGCCGGGATGCAAGGCCAGCATTCCTTCCACCATCCCATGCTGCCACCCGAAAGTCCATCAATGTGCTAAGCCCTGTGCTAAAAGCTATGTGGAAAAATTAAATCAATAAGAGCTAGCCACTGTCCAGGAGGAGTTAACTTCAAAAGAGAAAAGTTGAAGAACAGCCCAAGTTTGCCAAGATTTAAAGACCATCTCAGGACAATAACAGATGAGATGGCACATACTTCACTGCCAAATGCACTGTGCTGGCAAATGTGGAGAAGAGAGAGATGCACTTTGGGCTGAACCCAATGGTCTGGGAAAGCCTCAGAGACAAGGCAGAGTACAAATATCAGGAAAAGCTATGGGCACATAAATTCTCCCAGGGAGACTTTGGATTCAGACTCTGGTCAATCAGTGCATGGCAATGGATCTGACCACAGGCAATTTGGGCTTTAGATCTCAGTCTAGCTCCCTGCATACCACAATGTTTTCATCATGGGCTGAAATTTTCGAGACTTTTTTTTTTTAGAGAGAAAAGTAATTCCAGTTGGCTGTAACAAAAGAGGGATCCACACTTGAGGCCAGGAGTTCGAGACCAGCCTGGCGAACATGGGGAAACCACATCTCTACTAAAAATAAAAAATAAAAAAATTAGCCTGGCATCGTGGCACATGCCTGTAATCCCAGCTGCTTGGGAGGCTGAGGCACGAGAATTGCTTGAACCTGGGAGGCAGATGTTGCAGTGAGCCAAAATCATGCCACCACACTCCAGGCTGGGCAACAGAGTGAGATTCTGCCACACACACACACACACACACACACACACACACACACACACACACGGATCTATTCTAATTCGCATATATTAAAAGTCTAGGTGTAGGTGGCCTTCAGGCATAGCCTGATCCAGGGGTTCTACCATGTCCTAGGGACTTGGTCTCTCTGTCTCCTAGCTTTCTTTTTTTGTTGTTTGTTTTTTGTTTTTTGATTTTTGAGATGGAGTTTTGCTCTTGTTGCCCAGGCTGGAGTGCAAAGGCGAAGTCTCGGCCCACTGCAACCTCTGCCTCCTGAGTTCAAGCAATTCTCCTGCCTCAGCCTCCCAAGTAGCTGGGATTACAGGCGCCTGCCACCATGCCCAGCTAATTTTTGTATTTTTAGTTGAGACAGGGTTTTACCATGTTGGCCAGGCTGGTCTCAAACTCCTTACCTTGGGTGATCCCCCTGCCTCAGCCTCCTAAACTGCTGGGACTACAGGCATAAGCCACCATGCCCACCCTCCTAGCTTTCACTTTACTCTAGGGCATACTTTCCCCTAGTGATGGATCCTAGCTATTCTAGACTATTATTCTCTCAGGATTCAGTCTAAAGGAAAGAAAGTTTCTCCTCCTGAATTGTTCTGAAAAGAGTCCTAGGGCTTACTCTGGTTGATTTGGCTTGGGTCATGACGTTTTAGCTGGCTGGAATCAGATTTGAAGTCCACGGGACACATGTTCCATGCACCAACCATATCTGTATTCTGTCACCCCTCCATTTCCAGGCCCTGGTGAGTTCAGCTGAGGAAGAGTGTACAAGTGAGGGACTAGCAAAGGGACTTCTCAAAGAAGAGGAGCTGGCCGGGCGTGGTGGCTCACGCCTATAATCCCTGCACTTTGGGAGGCCAAGGTGGATGGATCACCTGAGATCAGGAGTTCGAGACCAGCCTGGCCAACATGGCTAAACCCCATCTCTACTAAAAATACAAAAATTAGCCAGGCATGGTGGCAGATGCCTGTAATCCCAGCTACAGGGTGGGCAGGAGAAACACTTGAACCCGGGAGGCAGAGGTTGCAGTGAGCCAAGATGGCGCCACTTCACTCCAGCCTGAGCAACAGAGTAAGACCCCGTCTCAAAAAAAAAGAAGAGGGGCCCTGAGCCTGGCACCACCCGTTGGAGCAGTCAGGAACCTTCCCAGTACATCACGACTGTCTTAGTCCATTCAGGCTGCTATAACAACATATACTGGGTAATTTACCAACAACAGATATATATTGCTCACAGTTTTGGAGGCTGTGAAGACAAGATCAAGGTACTGACCGATTTGGTGAGGGCCTGTTCCTTATAGATGCCACCTTGTTAACCTTGTTACTGTGTCCTCACGCTGAAGAAGTGTCAGACAGACTCTCTCAAACCTGTTTTTTTTTTTTTGTTTTTTTTTTTTTGAGACAATCTCACTCTGTCGCCCAGGTTGGAGTGCAGTGGTGCAATCTCAACTCACTGCAACCTCCGCCTCCCGGGTTCAAGCAATTCTCCTGCCTCAGCCTCCCACGTAGTTGGGACCACAGGTGTGTGCCACCATGCCCCGCTAATTTTTTTGTATTTTTAGTAGAGATGGGGTTTCACTGTGTTAGCCAGAATGGTCTCGATCTCCTGACCTTGTAGTCTGCCTGCCTCAGCCTCCCAAAGTGCTGGGATAACAGGCTTGAGCCACAGCGCCCAGCCACCTTTTTTTTTTTTTTTTTTTTGAGATGGAGCTTTGCTCTTATTGCCCAGGCTGGAGTGCGATGGCATGATCTCGGCTCACCACAACCTCCGCCTCCCGGGTTCAAGTGATTCTCCTGCCTCAGCCTCCTGAGTAGCTGGGATTACAGGCATGTGCCACCGCACCTAGCTAATTTTGTATTTTTAGTAGAGATGGGGTTTCTCTATGTTGGTCAGGCTGGTCTCGAACTCCTGACCTCAAATGATCAACCCGCCTCAGCCTCCCAAAGTGCTGGGATTACAGGCCTGAGCCACCGTGCTGGCTTTTTTTTTTTTTTTTTTTTTTTGACAAGGTCTTACTCTGTCACCCAGGCTGGAGTGCAGTGGCTCAATCTGGGCTCACTGCAGCCTCTACCTCCTAGGCTCAAATGATTCTCCTGCCTCGGCCTCCTGAGTAGCTGGGATTACAGGTGCGTGCCATTACTGCCCTGCTAATTTCTTGTATTTTTAGTAGAGATGGGGTTTCACCATGTTGGCCAGGCTGGTCTTGAACTCTTGACCTCAAATGATCCACCCGCATCAGCCTCCCAAAGTGCTGAGATTACAGGTGTGAGCCACTGCACCCGGCCACACTGCAGTCTTGACCTTCCAGGCTCAGGTGATCCTCCCACCTCAGCCTCCTGAGTCACTGGGACTACAGGCATGCACCACCACATCCCACTAATTTTTGTATTTTTTGTAGGGTTTTGCTATGTTGCCCAGGCTGACCTTGAACTCCTGGGCTCAAGCAGTCCACTACCTCAGCCTCCCAAAGTGCTGTGATTACAGGTGTGAGCCACCACACCGGCCCAAACCTCTTTTATAAGGACATAAATTCCATTCACTAGGTCAGAACCCTCACGACCTAATGACCTCCCAAAGGCTCCAGCCTCTCAATGCCATCATGGTAGGGGTTAGGTTTTAACATGTGAATTTTGGAGGGACACAAACATTCAGACCGTAGCAATGACATATCCTGTAGAAGACTTCCAGTAGACGGGTCTGGACTTCCTCCAAACACTCAGTTTATGAGCTCTGCTGCTGAGAAAGGGGGACCAAGGTAAGGTGGTGCGTCCTAAGGTTGACAATAATGGAGGACTATCTCCATTCTACAGCCTGTCTATCTCCATCAAGAGTTTCCACTCAGTATGCCCTGAACATTACCTTACATACCTGACTCACTCTGAAAATTAGAGTCTGGCATGGGAACCCTCAGGACAGAATTGGTGGCAGGACCTGGGCTGAGCATGATAGAAGGATGGTTAGAAATGGTCTTGCATCCGTGTGGTTCAGAGTTCAAGATGGGAGGCTGAGGCAGAAGAATAGCTTGAACCCAGAAGGCAGAGGTTGCAGTGAGCCAAGATCGTGCCATTGCACTCCAGCCTGGGTAACAGAGTGAGACTCCATCTAAAAAAAAAAAAAAATTCAAGATGCCTGTCACTCTGTTACTATCTGGGCATAGTCTGTGACAATAAAGAGAAAAGCATTTGTGTTAATTTAATAACATATATACATTAGGAATGCTTTCAGCAGCAAGTAACAAAAGTCTAAAAGTCTAGATGTAGGTGGCTTTCAGGCATAGCCTGATCCAGGGGCTCCTACCATGTCCTGGGGATTATGTTTACTTAAAAACGGGGTTTATTTTTCTTTCTTAATAGTAAATAAATGATACTATATAGATACAGCTGCTTATGATGCCATGGCATCTGTATGATTTTCTTAGCCTTTTCCTCATGGTTGCAAGATGACTGCTGCAGCTCCAGGCATTGTGTTCACGTTCACCTTTTTTTTTTTTGTTTTTTTTTTTGAGATGGAGTTTCACTCTTATTGCCCAAGCTGGAGTGCAATGGCATGATCTCAGCTCACTGTAACCTCCACCTCCCAGGTTCAAGCAATTCTCCTGCCTCAGCCTCCCAAGTAGCTGGGATTACAGATATGCACCACCACCTCCAGCTAATTTTTTGTATTTTTAGTAGAAACAGAGTTTCACCATGTTAGCCAGGCTGATCTCGAACTCCTGACCTCAGGTGATTCACCCACCTCGGCCTCCCAAAGTGCTGGGATTAAAGGTGTGAGCCATTGCACCCAGCCATGTTCACATTATAAGTAGGAAGCAGAGGGAAAGAAATGATGTCAGCCACACCTGGACCCTCTTTTTTCAAAGCTTTCCTGTAAACCTTGAACAGCCTTCTGTCCCTATCTTATTGACCAGGACTGGGAAATACCACCTCCCTAAGCTTCAAGAGAGGCTGAGAAAATGTAGCTTTTCTAGACTGTAAATAGTGGCAGTAGCAAGAGAGAGGGAAGTGAGGAATGCCAAAAAGTGCCAACCACAGGACACTTTATTGTAAATATGGCAGGAGAATATTTTTTGAGACACAGATTGATGTTTTATTTAATTTCTTGATTTTAAAAAACCTTTACTATTATTATTATTATTATTATCTGTAGAGACGGAGTCTTACTATGTTCCCCAGACTGGTCTCAAACTTCTGGGCTCAAGCAATCCTCCCGTCTCAGCCTCCCAAAGTGCTGAGATTACAGGTGTGAGCCACCATGTCTAGCCTGATATTTTATTTTCTTCTTTCTTCCCTAATGTTAATCCAAAACCTGTCTTTGTCTCATATTCAGTAGAGAAATGGGAGAGGGTGGAAAGCAGGTAAAATCCATGAGTTTCGGGCTTTTATATCCCAATAGCTTAAGTCCTTATTGGAGAAAGATAAAGGCCAAAAATAGGACTTGTCACTTTCAGATGCCCCTGGGGTAGGGAGAAAAGAGAAAGGCAGAGGGGAAGTAATGGAAAAAAAGAGAGAGTTTGGGAAATCTCAGAGGGAAAAGCTCTGAACTCCACTTCTTTGGGGAAAAGCGATGAGACTCCAGAGAGATGCTTGAGAAAGCCCAGAGCAGATGGGACCAGGCATGGTGGCTCACGTCAGTAATCCCAACACTTTGGGAGGCCAAGACAGGGGATCACTTGAGTGCAGGAGTTGGAGACCAGCCTGGGCAACATGGCGAAACCCCATCTCTGCAAAAAAATACAAAGGTAAGCTAGACATGGTGGTGCACACCTGTAGTCCCAGCTACTCAGGAGGCTGAGATAAGAGGATTGCTGGAGTCCAGGAGGTTGAGGCTGCAGTGAACCATGATACACCACTGCACTCCAGCTTGAGGGATAGAGCAAGATCCTGTCTCAAAAAGAAAAAAAAAGAGCAGAGGGGAGAATGCTTCACACAATGCCCTAGTTCTCAGTGGGCATGAGAGTAGTGGAACATTCTCTGAGCCTTGAGCATGGTCCTGAGAGGCAGAAGGAGCTGCACAGACAGAAACAAGCAGCCTGTGTAAGCTGAAAGCCAGGGGGTCAATGGCTGAGGGGTGATGTCTCAGGCACACCTGCATGGACAGAGGACTTCAGTACAGACACTGCCCACCATAGTTTGGCACTTCAAAAGTTACCAAGAAATATACACATTCACATAGGTGAAAATGCCATCTTAGCTTGCAATAGAAATTATGCTGAGTGGCCAAGCATGGTGGCTCATGCCTATAATCCCAGCACTTTGGGAGGCCAAGGCAGGTGCATCGCCTGAGTCAGGAGTTTGAGACCAGCCTGGCCAACATGGTGAAACCTCATCTCTACTAAAAATATAAAAATTAGCCAGGCATGGTGGTGTGCACCTGTAATCGCAGCTACTCAGGAGGCTGAGGTGGGAGAATCGCTTGAACCAGGGAGGCAGAGGCTGCAGTGAGCTGAGATTATATCACTGCACTCCAGCCTGGGCAACAGAGTGAGACTCTGTCTCAAAAAAAAAAAAAGAAAAAAAAAAGAAAAAGGAATGGAAAGGAAAGGAAGAGAAAGTATGCTGATTTATGGAAAAAGTAAGAAAGTTCTTCATGCCTTCTTCAGTATGTGGTCTGAGATCATAGTTTGTGGCAGAGACCACTGGGTACCTCTCCCAGCATCCATTCTCCCCCTTCTCCTTAGGAATAAACTTTTACTTCTAGCTGGGTACATTTCCCAGCCTCCCTTGCAGCTAGGTGTCATCATGTGACTAAGCGGTGGCCAATAAGATGTAAGCAAAATGGCTCTATGGGACTTGTAGGAAGTTGCCTTAAAAGGAAGGAACACAAGCTTTCTCCCCACTTCCTTGTTGCTTGGAGTAAGGCAGTTCCAGCAGCCATGTTGGCCCAAGAAGTGACCTTGCAAATAGAAGGTGGATGAGAAAGTGGAGCGTGAGACTCTGTGTTGTGGCCATAGCATCTTGGACCACTTGCCTTCAGATGTATTTGACATGAATGGGAAATGCACTGCATTAGTATGTGAGGGCTGCCATGGCAAAAAACAGCCAGCTCTCCACATCCTCAGGTTCTGCAACCACAGATTCAACCAACCACAGGTCAAAAATATCTGGAAAAAAAAAAAACTGTAATAGGCTGGGTGCAGTGGCTCATGCCTGTAATCCCAGCACTTTGGGAGGCCGAGGCTGGAGATGGCCTGAGGTCAGGAGTTTGAAGCCAGCCTGGCCAATATGGTGAAACCCCATCTCTACTAAAAATACAAAAATTAGTTGGGTATGGTGGCGTGTGCCTGTAATCCCAGCTGCTCGGGAAGCTGGGGCACGAGAATCACTTGAACCCAGATGGCAGAGGTTGCAGTGAGCCAAGATTGTCCTGCAGCACTCCAGCCTGGGCGACAGAGTGAGACTCCATCTCAAAAAAAGAAACAAAAGAGCAATACTAGGCTGAGTTCAGTAGCTCACACCTATAATCCCAGCACTTTGGGAGGCCAAGGCAGGCAAATCACTTGAGGCCAGGAGTTTGAGACCAGCTTGAGCAACGAAATGAGACCACCATCTCTTCAGAAAAATTTATAAAAATTGGCTGGGCATGGTAGCACATACCTGTACTCCCAGCTACTCTGGAGGCAGAGGTGGGACGATCAACTGAGCCCAGGAGTTCAAGTCTGCAGTGAGCTCTGGTTGCCCCACTGCACTCCAGCTTGGGCAACAGAGAGAGACCCTGTCTCTAAAAAAAGTGAAATACAATACAATAAAATACAATAAAAAATACAGTATAACCACTATTTACATAGCATTTGCATTGTATTAAGTATTCTAAGTAACCTAGAGATGTTTTAAAGTATACTGCATAGATTATTTTCAAATAATACAACATTTTATATGAAGACTTGAACATCTGCCAATTTTGATATGTGGGAAGTCCTGGAACCAATCCCCAGGGACACCAAGGGACAACTGTGCCTCAGACTAGGAGGTTTAAACAAGAAAAATTTATTTTCTCACAATTGTGGAGACTTGGAGATTGTCCAAGATCAAGGTGTCGGCCGGGTTGGTTTCTTCTGAGGCCTCTCTCCTTGGCTTGTAGATGATCATCTTTTTAAAACTGATTGATTGATTGATTGGCTGAGTGCTGGGGACTTTATTAATGGTACACAACAAGGCGGGGCTCCCTAGGCCCCTCCCTCTTCAGGGGGTCTGCATGGAAACTGTGAGGAAGGGAGATTCTCAGTGTGGTGGGTGGGGGACTGAGTGTGGCAGGGATTCCCCAGCAGTGAGGGCCTCTCTCTTCTTCTCATGCTCTTGCTGGGGCTGGTGGTCCGGGGGTCTTACTCCTTGGAGGCCATGTGGGCCATGAGGTCCGCCACCCTGTTGCTGTAGCCAAATTCATTCTCATACCAGGAAACGAGCTTGACAAAGTGGTCGTTGAGGGCAATGCCAGCCCCAGCGTCGAAGGTGGAAGAATGAGTGTCACGGTTGAAGTCGGAGGAGACAACCTGGTGTTCAGTGTAGCCCCAGATGCCCTTGAGGGGGCGTCAGATGCCCACTTCACCACCTTCTTGATGTCGTCATATTCGACAGGTTTTTCCAGGCGGCAGGTCAGGTCCACGACCGACACGTTGGCAGCGGGGACACTGAAGGCCATGCAAGTGAGCTTCCCATTCAGCTCAGGGATGACCTTACCCGCAGCCTTGGCAGCACCAGTAGAGGCAGGGATGATGTTCTGGAGAGCCCCGTGGCTGTCACATCACAGTTTCCTGGAGGGGCCATCCACAGTCTTCTGGGTGGCAGTGATGGCATGGACTGTGGTCGTGAGTCCTTCTACAATACCAGAGTTGTCATGGATGACCTTGGACGGGGTGCTAAGCAGTTGGTGGTGCAGGAGGCATTGCTGACGATCTTGAGGCCGTTGTCATACTTCTCATGGCTCACGCCCATCACGAACATGGGGCGTCAGCAGAGGGGGCAGAGATGATGACCCTTTTGGCTCCCCGCTGCAAGTGCGTCCCAGCCTTCTCCATGGTGGTGAAGATGCTGGTGGACTCTACGACGTATTCAGCACCAGCATCTCCTCATTTGATTTTGGAGGGATCTTGCTTCTGGAAGATGATGATGGGATTTCCCCGTTCTCAGCCTTGACAGTGCCATGGAATTTGCTACGGATGCAATCATACCGGAACATGTAGACCATGTAGTCGAGGTCAATGAAGGGTCATTGATGGCGACAATATCCACTTTACCAGAGTTAAAAGCAGCCCTGGAGACCAGGCGCCCAATACGACCAAATCCATTTGTTCCGACCTTCACCATGCTCTCAGGGATGTGAGAAAAGATGCGGCTGTCTGTCGAATGGGAGGAGCAGAGAGCCAATTTTGTTTAAGAAACAGGCTCCGCCAGGCGTGATGGCTCACACCTATAATCCCAGCACTTTGGGAGACCGAGGCGGGCGGATCACCTGAGGTCAGGAGTTCAAGGCCAGCCTGGACAACATGGTGAAACCCTGTCTCTACTAAAAATACAAAAAATTAGCCGAGCATGGTGGCTCACGCCTGTAGTCCCAGCTAGCCGGGAGGCTGATGCAGAAGAATCGCTTGAACCCGGGAGGTGGAGGTTGCAGTGAGCTGAGATCGCACCACTGCACTCCAGCCTGGGCAACAGAGTGAGAAAAAAAAAAAAAGACAGATGGGCTCTCACTGTGTTGCTCAGGCTGGCCTCAAACTCCTGGCCTCAAGCAATCCTCCTGCCTTGGTCTCCCAAAGTGTTGGGATTATAGGTTTAAGCCACCAGAGTGGGCCTTAAATGGTCATCTTCTTCCTGTATCTTCACATGGTCTTCCCTCTGTATGTCTGTGTCCTAATCTCCTCTTCTTTTTTTTCTTTTTTTTGAGACTGAGCCTTGCTCTGTCACCCAGGCTGGAGTGCAGTGGCACGATCTCAGCTCACTGCAACCTCCACCTCCTGGATTCAAGCAATTCTCCTGCCTCAGCCTCCCAAGTAGCTGGGATTACAGGCACTCACCACCATGCCCAGCTAATTTTTTTCTTGAGACAGTGTCTCGCTCTGTCATCCAGGCTGGAGTGCAGGTGTGTGATCTCAGCTCACTGAAACTACCACCTCCCCGGTTCAAGCAATTGTCCTGTCTCAGCCTCCTGAGTAGCTGGGACTACAGGCACAGGCCACCATGCCCAGCTAATTTTTGTATTTTTAGTAGAGACAGGGTTTCACCATATTGATCAGGCTGGTCTTGAACTCCTGACCTCAGGTAATCCACCCACCTCAGCCTCCCAAAGTGCTGGGATTATAGGCATGAGCCACTGTACCCAGCCCTAATCTCCTCTTCTTATAGGGACACCAGTCACATTGGATTCGGACCCCCCCCCCCCCACCCACCGCAATGACTTCATTTTCACTTAATTACCTCTTTAAAGTTGCTATCTCCAGATACGGTCACATTCTGAGGCACTGGGAGTCAGGACTTCAACATATGCATTTGGAGGGGGACACATTCCAGCCCATAATACACACTTGTTAGCAGGAGTCAGGCCTATCCTGCAGTGTAGCTCTGGAAATAGCCCCCTGCCCTTTCTCGCCTGTTTCCTCTTTTGTAAACCAGGGGCTTCCACTGACAGTGCTCATGACTGTTGTTGTGCACTGTGCTTCTTAAAAGCTCCATCTGGGCCTGATGTTTAGCTAAATTTAGGGCCAATCTGTCCCCATCGTGGGCTTGGTGGAGCTTTGAAGAAGGCTGTGGGTGGACTCACAAAGAGATGGCTCCAGGCCCGCAGGTTTCCCTCCTCCGGCTTTGCTAAAGGTCTCCCTTCCTCTCCTATGGTGAGGCTCCAGGAGTGGCTCAGGCCCTCCACTGAACACCGACCATCCTCCAGGCTGCACTCGGAGGACCTGTGCACAAGGCCTGTTCCCAGGGCTGGCCTCTGCCCAGTGGTCCCAAGCCCAGTCTGCCCTGGATCTCAGCAAAGGGATGAGTTACATTTAGCAAAGAACAGTGCTAGGTGCCTTTCATGGTTAGCTCGAGAACCCCCATTTTATGAATGGAGAAACTGAGGCAGGGTCGGGCACGGTGGCTCACACATGTAATTCCAGCAGTTTTGGAGGCCGAGGCAGGCAAATCACTCGAGGTCAGGAGTTTGAGACCAGCCTGGCCAATATGGCGAAACCCCGTCTCTACTAAAAATACAAAAATTAGCTGGGTGTGGTGGTGGACACTTGTAATCCCAGCTACTCAGGAGGCTGAGGCAGGAGAATCGCTTGAACCTGGGAGGCGGAGGTTGCAGTGAACTGAGATCATGTCAATGCACTCCAGCCTGGGAGACAGAGTGAGACTCTATCTCAAAAAAACAAAAACACAACAAAAACAAAAGAAACTGGGGGCCAGACGCGGTGGCTCACGCCTGTAATCCCAGCACTTTGGGAGGCCGAAGTGGGAGGATCATGAGGTCAGGAGATCGAGACCATCCTGGCCAACATGCTGAAATCCCATCTCTACTTAAAAATGCAAAAATTAGCTGGGCGTGGTGGCGCATGCCTTTAATCCTAGCTACTCGGGAGGCTGAGGCAGGAGAATCACCTGAACCAGGGAGTCGAAGGTTGCAGTGAGCTGAGATCCTGCCACTGTACTCCAGCCTGGCGACAGAGCGAGACTCTGTCTCAAAAAAAAAAAAGAAAGAAAGAAAGCAAGAAAAGAGACTGGGGCAAACACCTACACTTACACCTGGCCTTGAATCTCACCCACTTCCACCTTCTCAGGAACTTCTCACTTCTGTATTTCAATCACTTTCAATTGAATCCATCTCATTAATATTTTATTTATTTACTTACTTGTAGAGATGGGGGTCTGCCTATGTTCCTATGTTGCCCAGGCTGGTCTCAAACTCCTGGACTCAAGCGATCTGCCCACTTCCGCCTCCCAAAGTGCTGGGATTATAGGGGTGAGCCACTGCGCCCAGCCAATAATTCTTATATTAGACAGAATAGCCATTCATTTGTGATATGAGTTGCAAATATTTTGTCCTAGTTTGTCATTTTCCTTTTGACTCTATTGAGGTGAAGGAGACATAAGCTCTTGAGTACATTTCTAATGGCTTGTGCAGATTGCTACCACTCCTGTGATTGACAATTTGGCATTATCTAGCAAAATTGCAAATGCATTTATCCTTTGACTCAGCAGTCTCATTTCTGGGGATGTTTTTTCCTGATCAGATAGCTCAGATTTTCTTTTTTCTTTCCTTTATTTATTTTTTCTGAACACTCCTGGGAATTTATGCTATAGAGCTACTTGACATGAATGAAAATTGTGTGTGTGTGTGTGTATGTGTGTCTGTGTGTGTCTGTGTGTGTGTGTGTGGCTTGGTACTGTTGACTTTCTTTTTAGAAGACTGGAAACAGCCTAGGGAATCATCAGAATCATCAATAGGGAAGTGATGAAATAAGCTATGGTAAATCCACAAAACAGAATATTTTGTTGCCATAAAATAATGAAGAAGGCTTCTATGTATTGTAATGAAAAGAGCTCTAGGATATACCGTTAAGTGAAAAAAGCAAGGAGAAGCTGGGCATGGTGACTCTCCCCTGTAATCCCAGCACTTCGGGAGGCCGAAGTAGGCAAATCGCTTGAGCCCAGGAGTTTCAGACCAGCCTGGGTAACATGGTAAAACCTCGTCTCTGCAAAAAATATAAAAATACAAAAAATTAGTCCCAGCTAATCAGGAGGCTTCAGGTGAGAGGATCACTTGAGCCCAGGAAGTTGAGGCTGCAGTGAGCCATGATTGCACCACTGCACTCCAGCCTGGGTGCAGCAAGACCCTGCCTCAGAAAAAGAAAGAACTATGTAATGCCACATTTGGATGCCGACCCAAGACACAATGCCAAAGCAGGGGTTCACAACCAGGGCGATTTTCCCAACAAGAGATGTTAGGCAACATCTGGAAGCAATGTTTACAATTAGGGATGGGGCCAGGTGCAGTGGCTCATGCCCGTAATCCCAACAGTTTGGGAAGCCAAGGGGAGCGGATCACCAAAGGTCAGCAGTTTGAGACCAGCCTGACCAACATGGAGAAAACCTGTCTCTACTAAAAATACAAAAATTAGCTGGGTATGGTGGCATGTGCCCGTAATCCCAACTACTCAGGAGGCTGAGGCAGGAGAATCGCTTGAACCCAGGAGGCAGAGGTTGCAGTGAGCCAAGACTGTACCACTGAACTGCACTGCACTCCAGCCTGGGTGACAAAGTGAGACTCTGTCAAAGAAAAAAAAACAACCTAGGGATGGGGTGCTACTAGCATCTAGTGTATAAAATCCAGGAAGGCTGCTAACACACTGGACAGCCGCCTATGACCCAGAATCATCCAGCCCAAATGTCAACAGTGACAAAGTAAAGAAACAAAGAAACCCTGGATTAGCATTTTCTCTGACATCAAAGTTAAATCCAGTGGACTTTTGTTTTTAAGTCTTTATCTATCTTGGCCTCCGAAGGAGTGTTCAGGATCATTGACTCTTCCTCCTTCATGCAAAGCTGAATCCTGTGACTTCTGCGATGATTCTGGCTTCCCTTCCTCCATCCCCTTTACAGGCTCATCCTCCTACATGGCAATTAGATATCAGGGTTCCTGGAGGCGAGTCCTAGGCCCTCTTTTTGTCTCACCCCACACTGACCCTCATTGATCCCACTCACTTTGACTTTGTTTTTGGTTTGTTTCAATAGAGATGGGGTTTCACCATCTTGCCCAGGCTGGTCTCAAACTCCTGGCCTCAAGCAATCCTCCAGCCTCGGCCTCCCAAAGTACTGGGATTACAAGTGTGAGGCACTGACCCAGCTACACCTTGGACTTTGGTTACCATCTTTTCTTTTTTTTTTGAGACAGAGTCTAGCTCTGTACCCCAGGCTGAAGTACAGTGGTGCAATCTCGGCTCACTGCAACCTCTGCCTCTCGGGGTCAAGCAATTCTCCTGCCTCAGCCTCGCGGGTAGCTGGGACTACAGGCGCGTGCCACCACACCTGGCTAATTTTTTGTATTTTTAGTAGAGACGGGGTTTCACCGTGTTAGCCAGGATGGTCTCAATCTCCTGACCTCATGATCCGCCCGCCTAGGCCTCCCAAAGTGCTGGGATTACATGCGTGAGCCACTGCGCCCAGCCTTGGTTACCATCTCTACACCAATGAGTCCCGCAATTATACACAGCCCAAACCTCACCTTGGAGTCAATTCCATACATCTAACTTCCTGCTCCACAACCTCGCCTAGATGTTTCCAAGGCCCCTGGGGCTCATCAGGAGGACAAGCTTGCCTTCAGGGTCCTCCATACCCAATCCTCTTTTGGTGTCCCTATTTCAGTGACTAGCAAAACCATCAATCTAGATCCACAAGCAAGAAGCCTAGAAGTCCACTGGGCACCATGGCTCACGCCTGTAATCCCAGCACGTTGGGAGGCCGAGGCAGGTGGATTACTTGAGGCCAGGGGTTCGTGACCAGCCTGACCAACATGGTGAAACCCCGTCTCTACTAAAAATACAAAAAAATCAGCCAGGCGTGGTAGCGGGCACCTGTAATCCCAGCTACTCCGGAGGCTGAGGAAGGAGAGTCACTTGAACTCAGGAGGCAGAGGTTGCAGTGAGTCAAGATCACGCCAGTGCACTCCTGCACTCCAGCCTGGGCAACAGGGTGAGACTCCATCTCAAACACACACACACACCCAGACACACACACACACAAAGTTTGATTTTCGTGAGCCACCACTCCCGGCCGTAATAGCCCTTAGATTTTTGAGTGACACAGAACTGAAGGAATTGAATGCAAGCTACTGTTGCTACCTGGGAAAGGAGGGTCACAGGCAAAGGCACAGAAAGTGCAAAGACCCTTCAGTAATGAGAAGATGAGTATCGTTCCCCACATACTTACTGGCTATTTATATTTCTTTATTTCCATTTACCAGTTTACATTCTCTGCTTTTTCCTTTTTTTCTCTTTTCTTTTGTTGTTGTTGTTGTTTGTTTTCTTTTCTTTTCTTTCTTTCTTTTTTTTTTTTTTAAGATACAGTCCTCCTCTGTTGCCCAGGCTGGAGCGCAGTGGCAGGATCTCGGCACACTGCAGCCTCTGGCTCCCAGGTTCAAGCAATTCTCCTGTCTCAGCCTCCCGAGTTGCTGAGACTACAGGCGCATGCCACCACACCTGGCTAGTTTTTTTGGATTTTTAGTAGAGACGGGGTTTCACCGTATTGGTCAGGCTGGTCTCAAACACCTGACCTCAGGTGATCCACCCACCTTGGCCTCCCAAAATGTTGGGATTACAGGCATGATGTTTGTTTTCATTTTTGTTTTTGTTTTTTGAAACAGGCTGGAGTGCAGTGGCGCGATCACAGCTCACTGCAGCCTCAAACTCTTGGGCTCAAGTGATCCTCCCACTTCAGCCTCTGAAGTAGCTGGAACTGTAGGCAACCACCACCAGGCCCAGCTAATTTCTTTTGTATTTTTTGTAGAGATGGAGTCTCACCATGTTGCCAGGATGGTCTCGAACTCCTGGGCTCAAGCAATCCTCCCACCTCAGCCTCTCAAAGTGCTGGGACTAACGACATGAAGATGTGAGCCCAGGCTGCTCTTTTTCCTATTTGATTCACAGTCCTTTTCTTTCTGATTTATGAGAGCTAATTTTGGTTTATGGATATTACCCCTTATCTGTCCTTTGCATTACGCAGTTTTAAAATCATTTGCTATTTGTGTTTATTTTGCATATGGTAGTTTTTGCTGCATAGACAATTTTCCTTTTTTTTTTTTTGAGATGGAGTCTCTGTTGCCCAGGCTGGAGTGCAATGGTGTGATCTCAGCTCACTGCAATGTCTGCTCCCAGGTTCAAACGATTCTCCTCCCTCAGCCTCCCAAGTAGCTGGGATTACAGGTGCCTGCCACCACGCCCGGCTAATTTTTGTATTTTAGTAGAGATGGGGTTTCCCCATGTTGGCCAAGCTGGTCTCGAACTCCTGACCTCAAGTGATCTGCCCGCCTTGGCCTCCCAAAGTGCTGGGATTACAGGCGTGAGCCACAGCGCTCGGCCTTTTCTAGTCAAATTTTTGATTTCTGAACTTGATTTCTCACCTGGAAAAGCCTTTTGCATCGAGACTTTTTTTAATCATTACATTTTATTCTAATTCTTTTATAGCTTTATTTTTAACTTTGAAATCTCTGATCCATCTGTTGTTTCCTAGGGTTTAAAGAGTAAGGTGTCTAGTAACTGTGAATATAGATTTATATTTCTCCAAAGACCATCAAGTAGCCCATCTTTTCCTCACTAATTTGCTTTGTTTTTGTCTTGTTTTAGAGACAGGGTCTTGCTCTGTCATCCAGGCTGGAGTGCACTGATACTGGAAGCTCACTGCAGCCTCAAACTCCTGGGCTCAGGCGATCCTCCGGCCTCAGCCTCCGGAATAGCTGGGACTACAAGTATGTGCCACCACGCCCAGCTAATTTTTTAATTTTTTTAGAGACCAGATTTTACCATGTTACCCAGGCTGGTCTCAAACTCCTGGGCTCAATTGATCCTCTCGTCTTGGCTCCTGAAAGTGCTGGGATTACAGGCGTGAGCACCACACCTGGCCCTTCCTCATGACCTGAAACGCCCCTGTGTCGGATGTTAAGTTCAAATCTACCCCTTTCGTAGTCATCTTTGCAATGCTGAGGCTGCAACTGTGCAAACCACCTTAGCCATTCTCTGCTAGACTCCCTGCTGGAGGCGGACTGCGAGGCTGGGGGAGTGAGGACACCAGAGTCCTTCCTGTTCCCATGACCCTGGGGCAATGGTGATGCTACTGGGTGGCTTGGGGGACTTTAGCCCTCCCACCACTTGCTCTTCTGTTCCCCCACCAAGTCCTCCCAAATAAACATACTCTAAGCCAGGCACGGTGGCTCACGCCTGTAATCCCAGCACTTTGGGAAGCCAAGGCTGGTGGATCACCTGAGGTCAGGAGTTTAAGACCAGCCTGGCCAACATGGTGAAACCCCGTCTCTACTAAAAATACAAAAATTAGCCGGGCGTGGTGACAGGTGCCTGTAGTCCCAGTTACTGGGGAGGCTGAGGTAGGAGAATCACTTGAACCAGGGAGGCGGAGGTTGCAGTGAGCTGAGATCGCACCACTGCACTCCAGCCTGGGCGACAGAGCAAGACTCCATCTCAAGAAAATAATAATAATAATAATAATAATAAAATAAACATACTATGAGTTAAACAGCACATCTGTCTTCCAGTGCTGCCTTGAAACAAACTCCCCAGCACTTCTTCTTCCAACCAGACTGCCGTCCTAAAGATGTCTGCAGAGAAATTCTGAAACGGATCTTACTCTCTGAAGTGAGAGCGAAGCCAGGCACAGGGGCTCACGCCTTTAATCTCAGCACTCTGGGAGGCTGAGGCAGGAAGATCGCTTGAGCCTAGGAGTTCGAGACCAGCCTGGGCAACATAGGGAGACGCCCATCTCTATTTAAAAAAGTAAAATAAAATAAAAGATAAAAAAATAAAGAAGGAGGCCGGGCGTGGTGGTTCATGCCTGTAATCCCAGCACTTTGGGAGGCCGAGGCGGGTGGATCACAAGGTCAGGAGATCGAGACCATCCTGGCCAACATGGTGAAACCCCGTCTCTACTAAAGATACAAAAATTAGCCAAGCCTGGTGGCATACGCCTGTAATCCCAGCTACTCAGGAGGCTGAGGCAGGAGAATCGGTTGAACTCAGGAGGTGGAGTTGCAGTGAAGCGAGATGCTGCCACTGCACTCCAGTCTGGCGACACAGAGAGACTCCATCATAAATAAATAATAAATAAATAATTTATATTTATAAATTAATAAATAAATAATTTATATTTATAAATGAATAAATTATATTTATAAATAAATAATAAATAATTTATATTTATAAATAAATAAATAATAAAATTATTTACAAATAAATAAATAAATTGAAGCAGAGCTGACAACTGCCTAAGAGGGCTGTTCTCACATATCCCACCTTGCTGAGGTCTGCACACAGCTTGCCCACGCTGCCAACCTTCTCTGTGAGCCAAGTGTGCTCACCCTAAGATGGCACTCCCAGCCCCCACTCTCTCCTGGTTCCTCCTCCCCACCACACAACTGTCCGGAAGAAGGATCCAGACCAGGGGGCAGAGTCCCCTGTGGCTAGGGACTGACCCCGCTGGGCTGGGCATCTGAGGCCACCAGGGAGCCACCATAGTTCTTTGGGCAGCTCCATCTCAACACAGGACCATGTGGCAGGGGCAGCTCTCTTGCTGGCATTTGATGGAACAGCTGCAGCATGCAGGGGAGGGATTCTTCTTATTGTGTATGGATCCCCAAGGACAGACTAAGGGCCAGGAGGTGGAAGGTACAGGGAGGGAGCCTGTGATGGTTAATATTGAGTGTCAACTTCATTGGATTGAAGGATGCAAAGTATTGATCCTGGGTGTGTCTGTGAGGGTGTTGCCAAAGGAGATTAACATTTGAGTCAGTGGACTGAGAGAGGCAGACCCACCCTCCATCTGGGTGGGCACCATCTAATCAGCTGCAAGTGTGGCTAGAATAAAAGCAGGCAGCAGAATGTCGAAGCACTAGGCTGGCTGAGTCTTCTGGCCTCCATCTTTCTCCCGTGCTGGATGCTTCCTGCGCTCAACCATCAGACTCCAAGTTTTTCAGCTTTTGGACTCTTGGACTTACACCAGTAGTTTGCCAGGGGCTCTCGGGCCTTCAGCCACAGACTAAAGGCTGCACTGTCAGCTTCTCTAATTTTGAGGTTTTGGGACTTGGACTGGCTTCCCGGCTCATCAGCTTGCAGACGGCCTATTGTGGGACTTCATTTGTTATCGTGTGAGTCAATTCTCCTAATAAACTCCCCTTCAAATATTCATCTATCCTATCAGTTCTGTCCCTTTAGAGAACTCTGACTAATAGAGAGCCCTTTTAATTGCCTGCAGCTCTATGGGAGGTAGTGAGTTTCCCATCCGTGTTCCTTTCCCTGGAATGCTCTTCCCACAAGGATTTGCAGAGCTCTCTACTCAGCCCCTTGAGGTCCATGCCACTCAAGTGTCACTTTATCAGTAAGGCCATCTGCAGCCACCTACCTAACACTGCAGACCTCCCACTCCATCCTCTTCTTGCTCCACTTTCTTCATCACTTATTATCATCATCCATTTTTATTAATTTATTTTTCTTTTGTTTTTTTAGATGGAATCTCACTCTGTCGCCCAGGCTGGAGTGCAGTGGTGCGATCCCAGCTCACTGCAACCTCTGTCTCCCGGGTTCAAGTGATTCTCCTGCCTCAGCCTCCCGAGTAGCTGGGATTACAGATGCGTGCTACCACACCCGGCTAATTTTTTGTATTAATAGATACGGAGTTTCACCACGTTGGCCAGGCTGGTCTCGAACTCCCAACCTCAAGTGATCCTCCCGCCTCGGCCTCCCAAAGGGCTGGAGTTAGTGGCATGAGCCACTGCACCTGGCCTATTTTTATTAATTTATCTTATTTAATATCTATCTCCTGCCACGAGAATATAACTCCACAAAGGCAGGGACTTATATCGGTTTTGTTCATTCCCGAATCCCCTGTGTCTAGAATATAAGTGCACATAGTAGGCACTGTAAATATCATTTTCATTCTCATTTCACAGCTATAGAAACTGAGGTTCATAGAGGACAAATAACTGGCTTTCACAGCACCCCTAGGTTTCCAACCCCAGATACTCTGTCCCCTTAACCCTACACTACATTGTGGTTAGAAAATGCTTATTGTAGCACTGTGTGTAATAGAAGAAGGCTGTAAACAACCTGATTTCCCATCAGTAGGGGAGCAGTTAAACAAATTACAATACCATGCATCCTGTAATAGCCTATAAAAGCAATCTGTAAATGAATTAAGCAGATCAATATGCACATATATGGAACAATCTTCAAGCTATTGTTAAGTGAAGATAGCACGAAGCCCAACGGTGCATTGCATGTGCTCTCATGTTTGAAATAATAATAGTAATGATAATGATAATAAACCGGGCCAGCCACGGTGGCTCATGCCTGTAATCTCAGCATTTTGTGAGGCCAAGGTGGGAGGACCACTTGAGCCCACAGGTTCGAGGCCAGTCTGGGCAACACAGTGAGACCTTGTCTCTACAAAAAATTAAAAAATTACGTGGTGGTAATGCCTGTAGTCCCAGGCTGAGCCTGGGAAGTTGAGGATTGCTTGAGCCTGGGAAGTTGAGGCTGCAGTGAGCTATGATTACACCAGTGCACTCCAGCCTGGGTGACAGAGTGAGACCCCATCTCAAAAAATAAAATAAAGATAAATGACAAACAGGATAGTCACACACACAAAGGCTGGATGTGCAGAGAAATGTTCTGGAAGGATGCTCTAGAAACTGTTGACAAGGCATAGGACAGCCTGGGGGCCTCTAGTAGGAGGAAGCCTTTGTATTTCTTTTTGTAGCACTGAGATTGGTTTTTTTGTTTGTTTGTTTGTGTGTGTGTGTGTTTGTTTGTTTGTTTATGGAATCTTGCTGTGTCACCGAGGTTCGAGTGCAGTGGCACGACCTTGGCTCACTGCAACCTCTGCCTCCCAGGTTCAAGCGATTCTCCTGCCTCAGCCTTCTGAGTAGCTGGGGTTACAGGTGCCCACTACCACACCTGGCTAATTTTTTTGTATTTTCAGTAGAGACGGGGTTTCACCATGTTGGCCAGGCTAGTCTTGAACTCCTAGCCTCAAGTGATCCTCCCACCTCGGCCCCCCAAAGTGCTGGGATTACAAGCATGAGCCACCACACCCAGCCAGCATTGGGATTTGAATTCATGCACACGATTTACTTTTTTTCAGCAACATAAATCCTCCACATAGTTTAAAACTCAAAGCTACAGGCGGTATCTCAAAAATTAGCAGCCCCTTATCCTGCTGCTCTGCACTCCAACTCTTCTCTTTCTAAATTAGGCAATGCATTCAACACTTTTAGCTGATCCTGCTGTTTGCTGTTGTCTTTGGAAGTCAAGGTCATTCAAACTCCAAGCAACATGAAATTCACCCAGGGATCTTGTTAAAATACAGGTTCTGATTCAGCAGGTCTGGGGCAGGTTCCAAGATTGTGCATTTCTAATAAGCTCCCAGGTGATGCTGATGCTACTGGTCCATGGATTATTCTCTGAATGGCAAGATTCTAAAGAATCTGTGAACACAGCTATTTCTTGATTTTTCTGGTTTTGATCTTACTTCCTACTATAGAAAATGAAAATGTAGTTCTCTAATATCCTATCCCTCCTCTTCCACACACATGCATACTGTCTTCATCCTCCCAATATGGTTATATAACCTTTTTGGTTAAATATGGTTACATAACCTTTTTGGTTAAATATGGTTATATAACCTTTTTGGTTAAAATAAGTTTTGGTATTTATATTATTATACCTTTGTAGATAATATTAACAGCTCAGCCACATAGTATACCATGATGGCATTTCCATTTTTGTGCAACCTTTTGTTTTCCCTGGAGTTAATCATTGCTTAATGTTTTCATTTCAGCTTTATCAGTGCATTCACAAACCCTCCTGACAAAACTGAAAGGCTCTTCTTAGTATATTCAAACACATTGCATAATCTAGGTCTTGGAGCCCCTGTCCCCCGATTCAATATAGGTTGGTTGCTCCACGTATTTCCTCTGACAGAGCGAGACTCCAAAAAAAAAAAAAAAAGCACAAGAAATGGGTTACCAAACAGAGTTTGAGGCAGAGAGGAGGATTTGGAACCTCTGCTATGAATTAGATCATGACTGCTAATTGTATCCTATTCTCCCTTCCTCTTTTCAATAGTAATCCACCTTTGCACCTTTAGCAATGCATATGGCCATGCAGCTAGAGACTGAATTTCCCAGTCTCCCAGTCTCCCTTGCAGTGAGGAACCAACTATTCACTAACAGAAAATGAGTAGGAGTAAGGAGTGTCATTTAGGCATCACTCCATCTTTCTTCCTTCTTGAGGACCAAAATGTGAGCGTGATGCTTATAAGCCATTTTCGACTGAGAAGACTACCAACCCCTGGACTGCTACCTGAGAAACAAAATTCTACCTTGTGATAAAGAAAACTTGGCCCAAACCTGGCTCAGGATATAACTTTTTTCCATGTGATGCAATTCACAACCTCCTTCTGGGAAGACATTGGCATCCTTGACAAAATGAAGAAGCAACCTTTTTTTTTTTTTTTTTTGAGACCGAGTTTCACTCTTGTTGCCCAGGCTGGAGTGCAATGGCACAATCTCGGCTCACTACAACCTCCACCTCCCAGGTTCAAGTGATTCTCCTGCCTCAGCTTCCCAAGTAGCTGGGATTACAAGCATGCGCCACCATGCCTGGCTAATTTTTTGTATTTAGTAGAGACAGGGTTTCACCACATTGGTTGGGCTGGTCTTGAACTTCTGACCTCAGGTGATCCACCTGCCTTCGCCTCCCAAAATGCTGGGATTACAGGCATAAGCCACCTTCCCCGGCCGCAACATTCTGATAAACTTTAATTCAAGTAAGACTTCTTCTAGGAAACCAGGGGCCCAGCGAGGTGGCTCATGCTTTGTAATCCTAGCACTTTGGGAAGCTGAGGTGGGAAAATTGCTTGAGGCCAGGAGTACAAGACTAGCCTGGGTAATATAATGAGACCCCCATCTTTACAAAAATTAAAAATTAAAAAAATTAGTTGGGAATGGTGACACATGCTTGCAGTCCCAGCTACTCAAGAGGCTGAGGTGGAAGGATTGCTTGAGCCCAGATCAAGGCTGCAGTGAGCTATGATCATGCCTAGGTTGGGCCTGGGCGGACAGAGCAGATGAAACTTGGCAGACGCCATTCTCCGAGCCCTGGGTCCTGGGTTCCAGACAGCTACAGTGATAGGTGAGGGCCCCAGCGGACAGATCCTCTAAATGGCCCGAGCATTTCCAGCCAGCCAAGGGTGGGCCTCAGCTCCATCAGGAAGGGCCTGGCTCCACCAGGAAGCAGGCAGGGCCTCCCCAAGGCCTAGCTATCTCAGGCCTCTTCCTCTCTTGGAGGCTCATTGTGTTTTGGAAACATTAAAAAATACCAAAAACAGCATTATGAAAACCACGGTGTATCTTAAATGTTTACATCTGCCTAATGAACACTCCTGTTTTGTCTTGGTTTTGTTTGTTTGTTTGTTTGTTTGTTTGAGATGGAGTCTTGCTCTGTCACCCAGGCTGGAGTGCAGTGGCACGACCTTGGCTCACTGCAACCTCCGCCTCCCGGGTTCAAGTGATTCTCCTGCCTCAGCCTCCCGAGTAGCTGGGATTATAGGTGCCTGCCACCACGCCCAGCTAATTTTTGTATTTTTAGTAAAGACGGGGTTTCACCATGTTGGTCAGGCTGGTCTTGATTTCCTGACCTCAGGTGATCCACCAGCCTCAGCCTCCCAAAGTGCTGGGATTACAGGAGTGAGCCACCACACCCAGCTGTAATGAACACTCTTAATACAAACACACAAATACAGTGCCATATAGCTGTTCCATTCACAAGATAATTACAGGACTCATATAGGACATTGACCACCACGGGGTAGCGGAGGAGGGTATGGTCTGAGAAGGGAGGTTTCCCGGATGACGTCCCATGAATGTCTTAGCTTTCAATCCCATCAGAGAAACTGTCATGCCTGAGTGTATGACGGCATGCAAAGATAATACCACAGGTCTACGTTTTGTTTTTCTTTTTTTCTTTTTCTTTTTTTGAGGTGAAGTATCGCTTTGTCACCCAGGATGGAGTACAGCGGCTTGATCTAGGCTCACTGTAAACCGGCCAAGTAAGTCTAAGTTTAAGGTTCTTAATGTGGGGCCCAGGCCAGATTCCTTCAACTCCTCAAGACAGGTCTGTAAGCCAGGCCTGCACCCAGGAGGATGACCAGGGCTGACCCTGAGTGGTGAGAGGAAAACTCCCCCACATCCCAAAGCAACAGAGCCAAGGGCTACAGGCCTGGCTCTGGCGCCAGAAATTTGTGACATGGCCCCTGCTGTCCCAATGGTATGGCCCATAGGTCTGGCTCAGGGGCCAGGAGGGCCTTGGGGGAGGCAGAGGGAACCACCATCCCTCTAGGAGGGGTGGCAAATGGCCGAGATTGAAGGGGTCAGACCCTCCAAGATGTTCAGGGCAGAGTTTGGAGCTGCATGGTGACTCTAATCCTCCTTCCCTAGGCTGTCATCAGAAGAGGGTCAGGGGTGGGAGAGGGAAAGGTGGAGTCTTAGGCTCTTGTGAACTGTGTCTGAGCCTCTACCCGCTACCTCCAGCCGAAGAGCCAGGCCCAGCCACCCAAACAGGAGACAGACAGAGCTTCACAGCCACTAAGAATTAAGACCTATTGATTTTCCCCATTAGCTAGAGAACGCCATCAAAGTGCATTAAAACCAGGCAAAGCGGCAGCATCGTGAATAATTAACATCTGCAAATGACAACCCCATGGGGCTGGGGGGAGGCGGGAAGGGGCTTCTAGAGGCCTGGGGCACCCTGACCCCTTCTGACCCCCACCCCAGGGAGCTATAGTCTAGGCTGCCCTCCCCTCCCTGTCTCTTGTCCCCTCTCATTCCCTGTCCTCTCCTTAAAGAAACACCAAGTCCACGGCGCAGCCAGCGACCTAAGCCGATGCAGGGAGGATAGAGCACGGAGGCAAGAGTCGAGTGGCAGCTCTGCTGTGTGTCACTGTGTAACCTCAGCAAAGTTGCTGCCCCTTTCTGGGCTCATTCTCCGCCTCTGCACAGTGCAGCGATTGGCCCAGCTGTCCTCTTGCTCAGTCTGTGGTTCTAGGGAGGAACAGTGACTCCCAAAGTCACATAGCAGGTCCGTAGCAGAGCCTGGGCCACTGCGGCCTCCCCCGCAGCCCAGTCTATGGGACCCCTTTGTGCCAATCGGAAAAAAGCACCCCCTTTGGGTAAAGCAATTGGAAGAGGCCACCCCTTTGAGGGGACCAATTTGAAAATGAATGCATGCCCTCTGAATAGATCAATTAGAAAAAGGCACCCTTCTAGGGGGACTAATTTTTTCTTTTTTTTTTTTTTTTGAGGCAGGGTCTCTCTCTGTCTCCCAAGCTGGACTGCAATGGCGCAACCTTGGCTCACTGCAACCTCTGCCTCCTGGGTTCAAACGATTCTCATGCCTCAGCCTCCTGAGTAGCTGGGATTACAGGTGTGCGCCACCATGACTGGCTAATTTTTGCATGTTTAGTAGAGATGGGGTTTCACCATGTTGGCCAGGCTGATCTCGAACTCCTGACCTCAGGCAATCCACCCTCCTCGGCCTCTCAAAGTGCTGGGATTACAGGCCTGAGCCACTGCGTTCAGCCTAGGGGGACTAATTTTTTAAAGGCACCCTTCAGACTAACCAATAAGAAAGAAGCACCATTTTGGGTGGGCCAATAAGAAAAAGGCAACTCCCCATGCTGTCACAGTTGAAAAGTGCAAGTCTTGGCAGAGCAGAGGTAGGGCTGGATACCACCCCCCAACCATCCTCCCCTCCCCTCCCCTCTCCCCTCTCCCTGACCCCTGACGGGCTGCTATCTGCCAGGGTGTCCTTGTGCATTGTGCACAGCCTAAACAACTGTACATGGCTGCTCTGTTCCAAGCCTCCACCTTCTCTGGGCCAAGGAGGCCCAGACCTATTCTTCCAGCCAGTGGAACTCAGTTCCACATATATCGATGGTCCCTTCCAAGCCTCTCTGCTTCCCCACCTCCAAACTCCTCAGCCCCTTAGCTGACCCGAGTTCCCACTTCCATCTTCCTCCCACCCACCCTTCCTCCTCAAAGCCCTGGATGGGCAGCTCTGGAACCAATCCCTCATGCATATCCTACTGCATCACCTCTGCTTCTTGCTGCCTTGCAGTGCACCGTCCCTGCCTTCCATGCCTCTGAGCCTTCGCATACTCTATTCTCTCTGCTGGCGATACCTCCTCTCTTGAGCCCCCTGGAAAACTCTACTCACTCTTCAAGGCCCAGCTTAAAGATCTCTGCCTCTCACTCTCCTCCTCAAATGCCAGCCAGTTCTTGCCTCTGGGGTTTTGCACCTCTTCCTAGAATGTTCTGCCTCCAGATCTGGCTGGTTCCTCCTCCTTCCTCCTCCTCCTCCTCCTCCTGCAGGTTTCAGCTCCAGTGTTCCCTTCTTGGGAGGTGTTCCCTGAACACCCCATCTAACTACCTCCCCATCAGCCTGTCACATGTCCCTGTTTTATTTTTTTCGTAGCACTTTGGACAATCTGAATTTATTTTTCCTTGGTTTACGGGTGTTTCCAGAGCCATTGTGAATGGTGGTGCATGTTGTCAACTGCAGAGGAGGTGAGTGGGGCCGAAACCCAGCCTGGGCCCACACTACAAGCTGGTGCTGGGGCTGTACCTGCTTGGCGGGAGGCACCTTTTCCTAACTCACATGATGGCACTATGCAGGCAAGCTGCAGCTCCACTGGTGTCACCTCCTGCAGTGACACCCAAACCCACCAAAGAGGAACGGCACCTGCCCACTTCACTGCTGTGTGTCCATGTCCAGCATGGTGCCTGGCACCAAGCAGGTGCTCAATAAACATTTCCAAGCCTGGTGCAGTAGCTATAATCCCAGCTACTTGGGAGGCTGACATGGGAAGATCGCTTGAGCCCAGGAGTTTGAGACCAGCCTGGGCAGCATAGCAAAACCCTGTCTCAAATAAGTAAATAAATAAATAAATAAATAAATAGATTCAGGCAAACAAATTCTGTTATGATTCCCCCACTCCCACCCTCTTCCCATACTCCTCAATAAAATACGCTAGGCACTGTGGCTGCTTCGTCACTGGGTCTCACTGAAGCCAGCCCCAGACCTGGGTCCAGGGTTGGCAAAGGTGACTGTTAAGGGAACATAGGAGGACCCAGGAAGTTGAGGGGTGATTGTGTGAGTTTGGGAGCCCTGGGGATGCTCCCTGAAGCCCTGAGCCCCTTCTATCCCAGAGGAGCTGCCCTGAGCTCCCAGTGCCCCTTCCCAGGGCCCCCCAACTTCCTGGGGGTACATGTGGAGGGGTCAGGTGGCCCACACACTCCCAAGCCCCGGGAGCCCAGTGCAGCACAGAGACTCATGGGCAGGAGGTGGCACTGAGGGTCCTGCTGCAGCAGCCAGGCTCAGAGCGGGGGCAGGATCAAGGCACCACCCTTCCCTCTGCTCCCCGAGGCCACTTCGCCACGCTGCCTGGCCGCACCCGCCCGCCCTGCCAGCCTCCCCAGCTCTGGCAGAGAAGGAGTTAACCTCCAGGCTTCTCAGCGTGAATGTGGAGCTATTAATACCCACAGCCCAGCCAGTCTGCCAGAGAAGCCACTGGAGCTGGGGAGAGCAGGGAGCCGGGAGAGCCGCCAGTCGCAGCCGAGCCGGGACCGGGACTCCAGGGGTCAGAACTTTTCTCGAGGACAGCGTGGGCACCGTGCCAGCCTCACCTGGCCCTTGCCCGTCTTTCAGCTGCAGGTCCCAACCCTCTCTCCTGGAGGCCACCCATGCCACTCACCCCAGCCGAGGAGAACAAACTTTCTTAGGGAAGGCACCTCTGCGGCCGTGCTGGCTGGACCAGGAGGAGCAGACGGCTGGACAGACAGGGGGACTGGGGCACGGGACACCTGCAAGCCTGCCCTCCTAGTCCTGCCTCTGACAGACAGCCACAGAGTGGGCAGCCGGAGGGCCTAGGGCTCCACAGGGGCAGTTGGGGGGGCACTCCCAGACCTCCGTCTGCCCACCAGCCACCTCGGAATCCAGGTGGCTGGACACCGCTTCGCACGGCCCAGCCCCGTGGCTGGAACCCCCACGGGTCAAGACAGGAGCCCCCGCCAGACAGAGCCCCCGGCTCCTCCACCCACCGAGGCGACGGGCAACCTGAGTGAGAAGGCACAGGTGGCGGGCGGGCAAGTGCAGAGCCCTGAAGCCGACGGGCTGCTGACCCTGGAGCGCCCTGGCTCGGGGACTCCTGCCCAGGCTGGCGATGATGCTGCGGAGGCCACCCCTGGCCACCCCTGCCCTGTCCTGGAGCTGCCTCCGGCCTGGCCCATGGGCTGCGGAGTCGATGATGTGCCGGCCTTCTGCTTCGTCTGCTTCCACAGGGAGGAGGAAGAGGAGCTGCTGGAAGAAGTCCCATTGCGGAGGTCAGTGCTCGTGGGTGGCCAGTGGGTGGGCAGCAGGTGGGCACAGCGCTCGACCCAGGGTGCCTGTGGGCCTGGCAGTCTTGCTTCAAGTCAATCTCTCTCTGTCCACTGCTTACCACCCACTGCCACTTCCTGCTTCAGATCTCAGATCTCTCACCTGGTTGTTGCCACAGCCTCCTTCCTATCTCCCCCACCCTAGCCCCAGAGTGGCTTTCACGTCCTCTCCCACAGTGAGCATGTCCCTCCCCTGCTCAGAGCCCTCCATGGCTCCCAGCTCCCGTGGGATAAAGTTAACACTCGGCTGAGCATTCAAGGCCTGCGTGATTGGGGCCGACACTCCCCACCTCATCTCACTCTGTTCCCCTATATTAACCTCCAGTGAAACTCTGCCCAGACTTCTCTTCCCCCATTCTCCTCCATCCAGGCCCAGCTGCAACGCTTCCTCCTTCAGGAAGCCCTCCTGGATGTCCCTGTCCCACCCTAACCTGAGAGCCACCTTTCCATCCTGCACTGCAGTGGCACCTAACAGATGTTCCATCTTTGTTGAATTCATACACGAAAATGCATGCATGTGTATTTGCTTGTGTGTGTGTGTGTGTGTGTGTAAAAGAGAGAGGGAGAGAGACAGAATGGTTTGTGTGGCTGCGTGACTGGGTATTGGGGGTGACCGTGTGTGACTGTGAGCCTGTGTACATGTTTGTGGGAGCAGGTATGAGTGCTGCATACCTATGTGGAGGGAAGGGCTGTGCCTGGGGCCCAGTGGGAGTTCAAGCCCTAGAGATCATTGTTCCTTTAGCCAGCTCTCCCCACCCCCACCTGCAGGGAAACCCAGGCTCCAGCCAAGTGCATTATCCAAGCTGTGACCACAGGCTCTGGGAGTGATCTGCAAGGGAGACAGGGGTCACCTCTGCTCCAGCCCAGCCTGCCTGTGCCTCCATCACTGTCTGAGTCAGCACTACCCTGCCCTGGGTGGGGAGAAGGGTAGGCATGGGCCAAGCCAGTTTCCCCCTCCAGGATCCTTCCAGGACAAGTGGGCCAGGCGAGGGCTCCTGGAGCCTGGGCTGGGTTCCTCCCTGACTTTCTCTGTTGGACTCTGGGTGCACAGTTCCCGCTCCGTGGGCCTCTGTCTCCTCATCTGTAAAATGGGAGGATGTTCCCTGCTATGGTTGTCAGCTTAACATTCAACACAGTGACTGGCCACCCACAGACTGCCAGGGCCTGGGCTGGGGACTGGAACCTGGCTCACAGGGTCACAGCCTGCTAGGAGAGACAAAAGAGAAGACAGGTCAGTTCTGCACAGGGTAGTGGGCATCTTGATGGGCGTGGGTGCACAGTGCCTAGGAAGTCAGGAGGCAAAACAGACCACCTCTGCCCACAGGAGCCATCGGAGGCCCACCAGGTCTGTCTTAACGTGCAAGTGCCTTCCCAGGGGTGAGAGAGGCTGAGGAAAGGGCATCGCAGGCAGTGGGAACGGCAAGAGGGAAGGCTTGGTGCAAATAAGAAACAAAGTGTGGATGGTGAGGATGAGGCTGGCAGAACAGGGCCAGATCACAGAGGGCCTGGACGCTGAGCCGGGGACCTGACCCATAGGCACTGGAGCAAGCAATGGGGAAGACTCGAGGCAAAACAGGGGCAAGTGAGGAGAGGCAAGGAAATAATAGGTGCAGAAGGGCTTCTTGCCCTAAGCAAGAACTCCTAAGCAATGGTCTCATGATAGAACCCCGTGTTCATAGTGAACACTCAAAATGCTTGTTGAATGAATACATGAATGAATGAATGAACGAATATGACATTGAAAGATAGGGCATCAGGCGGGGTGTGGTGGTTCACACCTGTAACCCCAGACCTTTGGGAGGCCAAGGCGGGTAGATCGCTTGAGCTCAGGAGTTCGAGACCAGCCTAGGCAACACAGTGAGACTCCCGTCTACACACACACACACACACACACACACACACACACACACACACACACACACAATTAGCCAGGCATGGTGGCATGCACCTGTAGTCCCAGCTATTCCAGGGGCTGAAGCAAGAGGATCCCTTGAGCCCAGAAGTTCGAGGCTGCACTGAGCTATGATCACGCCCCTGCACTCCAGCCTAGGCGACAGAGTGAGACCCTGTCTCAAAAAAGAGAAAGAGAGAGGGCATGGGAATAATCTGAGTTGAATTGTTAAAAAATACTACACTCCCAGACCCTGCATCGGAGATTTTGCAGCTTCAGGTCTTAGGATGGATGTGTAATGTTGATCAGTTTCCTCCAGGTGAACAACGTAAGCAAACCAGCATTTGGGAAGCCCCAGAAAGAGACAGGAATAGGCCTTAGGGTTGGCAGCCGTGAAATCTGCCCCCTCATCCCTCATCCCTTCATCTCCCACCTCTGATTCTGGGGACTCTCTGTAGGGGATGTCTCTCTGCCTCCTGCCCTGGGAGTATGGTAGCCTATGTTTGCAGGAGCTGGTCTCCTTTCTAGCTGGCAGGTTCTGGCCCTTTAAGACCTGGGAGGGGACAGGGCCAGGCTGGGCAGAGACAGTGACCACAGGTGCCAGGTGGTGAAGCTAAAAATACTGAGTGATGTGTCCGCCCAGGCTGCAGGAGCCAGTGCTGGCTGGGGAGGGTGGGACAGAAGGCTCTGGAGTGTTTCTTTGCTGCTGGAGGAGGGGCAGTGGGGCAATGAGGCTGGGTGGGGTCACCTTGGGGGCTTAGAGAAATCTGTGGCTGCCCCCAGCCAACCCCGCCCCGCCTCTCCCAGCCTTGCTCCAGCCCCTGGTAGGCTCCAGGATTCAGTCCTAGAATAGCTGGCTGCCACGTTTAGCAGCCCTGGGCAGGCTAATTCTGGTGCATCCTGCTTCTGTGTGATCCTGGGGAAGTCACTTCTCTTTGGGTCTCTGCAAAATTAAAGAGTTGGACTTTCTCAGGCATTTGTAGGGAAAGAAAGGCAACGAAGGGGGGCAGGTGACCAGTTCACTCCTTTGTGGATTCAGTACATTTTCCCTGAGGCTCCCTGGGGACTGGATGCTGAGGCCACTGCGATGAATGTGACACAGCCATGTCCCTGGAGGGGCTCACAGCCTAGTGAAGACAAAAACAACACACGCTCGAACAGACAGCACAATGTGCTATAATAGAGGTGTGAGCACTGTGCCCTCGGCTTCTGTTGTGGGACAATGCAAGAGACAGCCCCACAGAAAACACATCTGCATTTGATGAAAATTTGTCAGCAAACGCATCACCCACAGTAATGTTCACCAGCCACCTACATCTGGTGTTTTGATGTATTAATTAAGGTGAGGCAAGCTGTTGGAATAAATAAGCTTGGCAATCGTAATGGCTTAACACAGAAGAGCCTTATATTCTGGGTGTGTGTGTGTTTTGGGGTGGGGGTGGTGATGGAGGAGACTCTGCTCCACGTGATCTTTCAGGGATCCAGGCTCCTCTCATCTTGTAACTCTGTCATCACCCACGGCCACTGCTGGATCTTCTGCATCCAGCTTGCAGATGAAGAACAAGAGTGGAAACCACACATGAGGTTTTTATGAACCAAAGCTGGAAATGGCCTCCTTTACTTCTGCCCACATGCATTGGCCAGAACAGCTCATTGCAAGAAAAGCTGGGAAATATAGTCCCGTCTACATGAAAGCATCCAGTACATAATAGATGCCCAATGTTCTCATTCATTCATTCACTCAACAAATTTCGTTGCATAGCTTTTGTGGGCTAGCACCAGAAACTGGACTGAAAATACCATCCCTGCTCTCATGGGGTTTATATCTAATGAGGGAGTCAAACAAAACACAAGTGAACAAATAAACAAATCGTCAAGGTTCAAAGCCCATTGTGAAGGAAATTACCAGGGATGGTGGAGACAGCTGCTTTGCATACGGTAAACAGGGAGGTGAGGATATTTCATCTAAGACCTAGAGAATGAGAAGTAGCCAGCAGTGGGGAGACGGGTAGTAACAGCAGCTCAGGCAAAGCAAATTGAGAGCAACAGGTAGGCAGGAGCACGGGGAGGGCTCAGTGTAGCCGAGGCAGAGCAAATGATGGGGACAGTGACAAGAGGCAGGGCAGGAGGGACAGGAACAGTCAGGCCACGCAGGCCTTGGCACCCATGGCGAGGAGATGGATTTTGTTCCAGAAGGAATTGGGAAGCCTTTGAGAGCTCTTAAATGGGGGAAGTTGTATAATCTGATTGACATTTTAAAGGATATTTCAGGCTATGCTTGGGAGAATCAGTGGTGATGGGCCAGAATGAATAGAGGACGCCAACGTGGAGGTCACAGTGGTGAGCGGCTTTGGAGATGGGGAAGTAAGAAAGTGCTTTCTGAACATATTTAGGAGGCTGGGCACAGTGGTTCATGCCTATAATCCCAGCACTTTGGGAGACCAAAACAGGAGGATTGCCTGAGCCCAGGAGCTCCAGACCAGCCTGGGCAACATAATGAGATCCTATCCCTGCAAAAGAAAAATTCTAAAATTAGCCAGGCATGGTGTCGTGGGCCTGTAGTCCCAGCTACTCAGGAGGCTGAGGTGGGAGGGTTGCTTGAACCCAGGAGTTTGAGGCTGCAGTGAGCTGTGATTGTGTCACCACACTTTAGCCTAGGTGACACAGCAAGACCCTGTCTCTAAAACTAAAAATAAAATAAAAACAAACAAACATTGGAGACAAATCCACAGAATTTTCTGATGGGTCAGAGGAGGAAGGGAATCCGGGGTGATCTGGGCTTTGGGGATTGCAGAGGTGCATGGGTGATGGGCAGATTCGAGGGAGGAAAAGACTTGGTGAGAACATCAAGAATACAGGCTCACGCCTGTAATCCCAGCACTTTGGGAGGCAGAGGCGGGCGGATCACTTGAGGTCAGGAGTTCAAGACCAGCCTGGCCAACACAGTGAAACCCCATCTCTACTAAAAATACAAAAATTGGCCAGGCATGGAGGCACACACCTGTAGTCCCAGTTACTCAGGAGGCTGAGGCAGGAAAATAGCTTGAACCCGGGAGGCGGAGGTTGCAGAGCAGAGATTACACTACTGCACTCCAGCCTGGGCAATAGAGCGAGACTCCGTCTCAAAAAAAAAAAAAAAATTCCTGCCACAGATATTTTCCACTTGAGAAGCAGGTGAGGTGTCCAAGTGAAGATGTCAAGAGAGGACATCATAATGAGAGTCTGGAGTTCAGAAGAGGAGCCTCTCGGCTGACGGTGGAACTTCAGGGTCATTGGTAAAAAGATGGTGTTGCAAGCCATGAGATCACACGGGAAAGAGGGGAGGGAAGAGGCTCCAGGACAGGGCCCTGAGGACTCCGCGGTATTGAGATCATGTGGAGGAGAAGCCAGCGAGGGAGGCAGAGAAGGAGCAGCTGGGAAAGTGGGAGGAAAACTGAGAGCCTGGGCAGTCACGGAAACCAAGGAAGTGTCGCGAGGAGAGGGGGCGTGGTCCACCTGCTTCAAAGATGTGAGCAGTCCAGGGAAACGAGATTAGATTCAGCTGCCAGGCGCATTGGAACACGCCTGCAATCCCAGCACTTTGGGAGGCCGAGGCAGGAGGATTGCTTGAACCCAGGATTCGAAACCAGCCAGGGAAACATAGGGAGACCCCCATCTCTACAACAAGTGAGAGAGAAAAAAAAAATAGGACTTGTGCGATGGCTCACAGCTGTAATCCCAGCACTTGAGGAGGCAGAGGCAGGAGGATCACTTAAGGCCAGGAGTTTGAGACTAGCCTGGGCAACATGAGACCCCCATCTCTATTAAAAAAAGAAAGAAATAAAAGCCGGGCATCATGGCGCATGTCTGTAGTTCCAGCTACTCAGGAGGTTGAGGTGGGAGGGTTGCTTGAACTTGGGAGGTCGAGGTTACACCGAGCCATGATGGCGCCGCTATAGTCCAGTCTGGGAGACAGAGCAAAACTCTCTCATAAATAAATAAATAAATACTAGCCGGGCATGGTGGCATGCACCTGTAGTCCTAGCTACTTGGGAGGAGGCTAAGGCAGGAGGATTGCTTGAGCCCAGGAGTTCAAGGTTACAGTGATTGTACCACTGCACTCCAGCCTGGGCAACAGAGGAAGACCCTATCTCTAAAAAATATAAAAATTAAAATTAAAAACATAAATAATTTTTTAAAAAAGAAAAAAGATTAGATTTAGTGATGTAGAAGTCAAGAGTGACTTTGATAAGAATGCATCATGAAGCCTGGCACGGTGGCTCACTACTGTAATCCCAGCACTTTGGGAGAGTGAAGCAGGCGGATCACTTGAGGTCAGGAGTTCGAGACCAGCCTGGCCAACATGATGAAACCCTATCTCTACTAAAAATACAAAAATTAGCCCCGCGTGGTGGTACGCACCTGTAATCTGAGCTACTCGGGAGGCTAAGGCAGGAGAATAGCTTGAACCTGGGAAGTGGAGGTTGTAGTGAGCCAATATTGTACCACTGCACAGAGTGAGACTCTGTCTCAATTAAAAAAAAAAAAAAGAATGCAAACATGAAGCAGTGGAAACAAAACCAGGTTTGATGTGGTTAAAGAAGGAAGATTGAACACACACATGTAATTTCTCTGTATCCTAAAGCCCCATTGAAAGGACAGTGAGGCTGAGTGCAGTGGCTCACAACTGTAACCCGACACCTTGGAAGGCTGAGGCAGAAGGATCACTGGAGCCCAAGAGTTCAAGACCACCCTGGGCAAGACCCTGTCTCTACAAAAAAATTTTAAAAATTACCTGGGCATAGTGGCACGTATCGGTATTCCCAGCTCCTGGAGAGGCTGAGGTGGGAGGATCGCTTGAGCCCAGGAGTTCAAGGCTGCAGTGAGCTAAGATCACACCACTGCACTCAACCCTAGGTGACAAAGGGAGACCCTGTCTCTTACAAAAAGAAAAGAAAAGAAAAGAAAAAGGATAGTGAGTGGATTTTTAAAGGTGTGTGCATCAGTGTTTTATTGCTTCCATAACAAATTGCCATAAACTGAGTTGCCTTAAACTAAACAAGTTAATTCTTACGGTTTTATATGTCAAAACTGACACAGATCTCACTGAGCTGAAATCAAAGTGTTGACAGGACGGCTCTAGGAAGCTCTTCCTGGAAGGGCTTTCTGGATGCTACAGGCAAGAACCCATTTCTTTGATTTTTCCATCTTCCAAAAGGTACCTGCATGCCTTGGCCCGTGACCACCTCCCTCCAGCAAGGTAGCATCTCTCTGATTTCTCATCACATCACTTTCTTTTTTCTTTTCTTTTTTTTTTTTTTTAAAAAAAAAACAAAACAGGATCTTGCTCTGTAGCCCAGGCAGAAGTGCAATGGCCCAATCAGGATTGCCGCAGCCTTGACCTTCTGGGCTCAAGTGGTCCTCCCTCCTTAGTCCCCCAAGTAGCTGGGACTACAGACATGCGCCACACACCACGGCTAATTTTAAATTTTTTTTTTCAGACAGAGTCTCACTCTGTCGCCCAGGCTGGAGTGCAGTGGTGCGATCTCAGCACACTTCAACCTCTGCCTCCAGGGTTCAATCGATTCTCCTGCCTCAGCCTCCTGAGTAGCTGGGATTATGGGTGTGCACCACCACACCTGGCTATTTTTTTTATTTTTAGTAGAGACACCGTTTCACCATGTTGGCCAAGCTGGTCTCAAACTCCTGACCTCAGGTGATCCACCCACCTCAGCCTCCCAAAGTGCTGGGATTCCAGGCTTGAGCCACTGCACCTAGCCTAATTTTTAATTTTTTATAAAGATGGGGTGGGGGGAGGCGGAGGCATCTCACTATGTGGGCCAGGCTGTTCTCGAACTTCCGAGCTCAAGTGATCCTCCCGCCTCAGTTTCCCAAAGTGTTGGGATTACAGGCGTGAGCCACTATTCGTGGCGTATCACTTTCTCTGACCACACCTGGGAAAGGTTTTCACAATTCATGTGATTAGATTGGGCTCACCTGAATTATCCAGACTGATCTCCCCTTCTCAAGCTTCTTAACCTTAATCACATTTGCAAAGTCCCTTTTGCCATGGAAGGTAACATGTTCATGGCTAATGGAGATTAGGACATGGATGTTTGCAGGGGGCCATTGTTCTGCCTAACACAGCATGAAGCAGTGAGAACTAATCAACTGAAAATGGAGAAAATAGCAACACCATTTTGGAATCTGGAAGATAAATGAACACGTGGTAATAACTGACTTAGCAGGCTGAGGAATTTGCACTTTAAGTGAACCCTAAACTGGGGTTAGGACAGGCCAAGGAGTATAATCTATACTGCCAAATCCCTGAAAGGTGCTGGCATTAATAGCCTAAGTACCTCTGGAAATGAGAGTAAAGCTGGGGCTGAACCCCAGGAGGACTAGGGTAAGAAGGGCTTAAATCCTCAAATGTCCTTGCGGCCAGGCGCAGTGGCTCGTGCCTGTAATCCCAGCGCTTTGGGAGGCTGAACTGGGAGGATTGCTTGAGGCCAGGAGTTCAAGACCAGCCTGAGCCACATAGCAAGACCTTGTCTCTAAAAAAAGGTAAAAATTAACCAGGCGTGGTGGTGTGCACCTGTAGTCCCAGCTACTTGGGGGGCTGAGGTGGGAGGATTGCTTGAGCCTAGGAGTTTGAGACCAGCCTGGGCAACATGGTGAGACCCCATCTTTATAAAACAGTTTTGTTCATTCCTGGAGGTCCCTCTCCCTGTCAAATAGCATCCAGTTTTTGTTTCATAGTTATAGTATATTTTCTTAAATATCTAAATATAGTAGTAACAGTTCTGGGGGTTTTTTGGTTTTTGTTTTTGTGTAGAGATAGAGTCTCACCCTGTCAACTAGGCTGGAGTGCAGTGGTGGGATCAGGGCTCACTGCAGCCTCCACTTCTGGGGTTCAAGCAATCCTCCTACCTCAGCCTCCTGAGTAGCTGAGATCATAGGTGTGCACCACCACACCTGGCTAATTTTTAAAAATGGGTTTTTTTTTTTTTTGTAAAGATGGGTCTCACTATGTTGCCCAGAAATCAAAACTATTGGCCAGGCTCGGTGGCTCATACCTGTAATCCCAGCACTTTGGGAGGCTGAGGCGGGTGGATCACCTGAGGTCAGGAGTTCGAGACCAGCCTGGCCAAAATGGCAAAACCCTGTTTCTACTAAAAATACAAAAATTAATCAGGCATGGTGGCACGTGCCTGTAGTCCCAGCTACTCAGAAGGCTGAGACACGAGAATTGCTTGAACCTGGGAGGCGGAGGTTGCAGTGAGCCGAGATCGCACCACTGCACTCCAGTCTGGGTGACAGAGCGAGACTCTGTCTCGAAAAAAAAAGAAAGAAGGAAAAAAGAGCTAGGCAGCCACTTTGGTGTTGATCCAGCAGTCTTGGCCAACCTATAGAGAAGCTCAAGAGCAAACATTGTCCAGGAGAGGAGCTCCAGTGTCCCCACTGTCCCCACTGTCCTCAGTCATTGGCTGGAGCTGCCCAACAAGACCTTAGTTTTGGCTCAACTGCTGTGGCAGATCTCAAAGACAGTGTAGTTGAAGGCTGTCAGCCAACTGCAATCCTCAAAGCCAAATAGCAAGTTCTTTCCTTTTTTTTTTTTTTTTTTTGAGATGGAGTCTTGCTCTGTCACCCAGGCTGGAGTGCAAGGGTGCAATCTTGGCTCACTGCAACCTCTGCCTCCTGGGTTCAAGCGATTCTCCTGCCTCAGCCTCCTGAGTAGCTGGGATTAAAAGCGCCCGCCACCATGCCTGGCTCACTTTTGTATTTTTTAGTAGAGGTGGGGTTTCACCATGTTAGTCAGGCTGGTCTCGAATTCCCGACCACAGGTGATTCACCAGCCTCGGCCTCCCAAAGTGCTGGGATTACAGGTGTGAGCCACCATGCCTGGCCTGCAAGTTCTTTCTTGAAAGGAGAACCAAGCAGCCACCTCCATGACTACTACAGATGGGAAATAGGAAAGAAAGGGTATGAAGATTAGAGGATCAGTGCAGGCATCCCACATCTGAACAAAGGAGCTCCAGAAAGACAGTAGAGAGGAGAGGAAATAGTCAAAAAAATGTTTCCACTATTTCTTAGAACTGAAGGGCCTGAGTTTCCTGATTAAAAGAGCCCACGGAGTGACCATCCAAAGGATAAAAATAGGCTGGGTGTGGTGGCTCATGCCTGTAATCCCAGCACTTTGGGAGGCCGAGGCAGCAGGATCAGTTGAGGTCAGGAGTTTGAGACCAGCCTGGCCTGTATGGTAAAATCCCATCTCTACTAAAAATACAAAAAAAAAAAAATTAGCTGAGAGTGGTGGCACGCACCTGTAGTCCCAGCTACTCTCAAGGCTGAGGCACGAGAATCGCTTGAACTCGGGAGGTGGGGGTTGCAGTGAGCCAAGATTGCACCACTGCACTCCAGCCTGGGTGACAGAGCAAGACTCCGTCTCAAACAAACAAACAAACAAAAACAAAGGATAAAAATAGACTCATGCCAAAGCCAATCGCCAGTAAATTTCAAGACACTGGGACAAGAAGAAAATTCTCCAAAATTGTATAGAGTATCAAGAATCATAATGGCATCGGACTTCTCAACAGCAATCCTGGAAACGAGAAGACAATGAACTATGTTTTTTCCATTTTTGTTTTTGTTTTTTTGAGACACAGTCTTGTGCTCTGTCGCCAGGCTGGAGTGCAGTGGCGTGATCTCCACTCAACCTCCGCCTCCCAGGTTCAAGCGATTCTCCTGCCTCAGCCTCAAGAGTAGCTGGGACTACAGGCGCACACCCCCACAGCCAGATAATTTTTGTATTTTTAGTAGAGATGAGGTTTCACCATGTTGGCCAGGATGGTCTCGATCTCTTGATCTCGTGATCCACCCACCTCGGCCTCCCAAAGTGCTGGAATTACAGGCGTGAGCCACCACGATCTGCCGGAACTATGTTTCCAAAAGTAGAAAAGAAAATTATTTTCAGCCTAGAATTATTATTATTATTATTATTATTATTATTATTACTAAAGACAGGGTTTTGCTCTGTCACCCAGGCTACAGTGCAGTGGCACAATCATGTCTCACTGCAGTCTCAACCTCCTGAGCCCAAATGATCCTCCTATCTGAGCCTCCTGGGTACCTGGGACCACAGGCAGTGCCACCACACCCGGCCAATTTTTTAATTTTTGTAGAAACAGGGTTTTACCATGTTGCCCAGGCTGGTCTTGAACTCCTGGCTCAAGTGATCCTCCCATTTCAGCCTCCCAAAGTGCTGGGATTACAGGCATGAGCCACTGTGCCCAGCCCTCAGCATAGAATTCAATACTTAGCCAAACTACTAATAAAGTGAGAGTAGAAAAAACAATATTTTCAGATTGGCAAGAGCTCAAAAATTTTACCTCCTATGCACCCTTTCTTATTTATTTATTTATTTATTTATTTATTTATTTATTTATTTATTTTTTGAGACGGAGTCTTGCTCTGTTGCCCAGGCTGGAGTGCAACAGCGTGCTCTCCGCTCACTGCAAGCTCCGCCTCCCGGGTACATGCCATTCTCCTGCCTCAGCCTCCCGAGTAGCTGGGACTACAGGCGCCCGCCACCACGCCTGGCTAATTTTTTGTACTTTTAGTAGAGACGGGGTTTCACCATGTTAGCCAGGATGGTCTCGATCTCCTGACCTTGTGATCCACCCGTCTCAGCCTCCCAAAGTGCTGGGATTACAGGCGTGAGCCACTGCACCCGGCCTACGCACCCTTACTTGAGAAAGCTACTGGAGGATGTACTCCACTAAAATAAGGGAGTAAACCAAGTAAAACAAGAAATAGTAAACAAGAAAAACAATAAAGAGTAAGACCTGGGCCAGGAGTAGTGGCTCACACCTGTAATCTTAGCACTTTAGGAGGCCAAAGCAGGCAGATCACCTGAGGTCGGGAGTTGAAGACCAGCCTGGCCAACATGGTGAAACCCCATTTCTACTAAAAATACAAAAATTAGCTGGGCATGGTGGCACACGCCTGTAATCTCAGCTACTTGGGAGGCTGAGACAGGAGAATCACTTGAACCTGGGAGGCGGAGGTTGCAGTGAGCCAAGATCACACCACTGCACTCCAGGCTGGGTGACAGAATGCGACTCCGTCCCCCCACCCCCAAAAAAGAGAGTAACATCTGGACTCCAGGAAACAGGAATTGAATGTAAGAGAGAGGAGAAGAGAATCTCGCAGTTCACACTCAAATAAGAGAAGAGATCTCTTCAAGGAGATGAAATTGATAGAATACCTAATGTTTTTGAATTTTGGAGACATTTACACAAGTAGGGGAGAATATGGGTTGACTGATATATAAACATGTAGGTAAACAAGTACTCCCCTCTCCAAAAAATGTTATCAAATCCAGGAAAACCGAAACTTTTGAACAGAAAAGGGAAAGAAATTTAAAATGAAAATTTCTGCCCTGCAAAAGACTCTGCCAAGAGAATGTGAAGAGAAGCCACAGAATGGCAGAAAATATCAAGTGCTCCTTGGTATTTACCCAAATAAGTTGAAAATTTATGCCCACAGAAAATCCTGCACATGAATATTTGCTAGTTTCGTTTTACTGTGGTAAGGACACTTAATGAAATTTGTCCTCCTAACATATTTTTAAATGTACAATACATGTATAATACATGGTTGTTTTTTTGAGACATGGTCTTACTCTGTTACTGAGGCTGGAGTACAATCACAGCTCACTGCAGCCTCCATCTCCTGGGCTCAAGCAATCCTCCATCCTCAGCCTCCAGAGTAGCTGGGACTACAGATGCATGCCACCATGTCCAGTTAATTTTTAAATTTTTTATAGGGACAGAGTTTCGCTATGTTGTCCAGGCTGGTTTCGAACTCCTGGGCTCAAGTGGTCCTCTAGCCTCAGCCTCCCAAAGTGCTGGGATTCCAGGTGTGAGCCCCTGGTACAGAGTTACACAGCAGCTCTTTAGAGCTTATTCATCTTGCTTTATTGAATCTTTATGCCTACTGATGAGCTATTCCCCAATTTCTTCTGCAACTCTGACAACTATAGAACCAAAATCTAGGAATTAGACTTCTTTAGATATCCCATATAAGTGGAATTATGAGATATGTGTCCTTCTGTGGCTTATTTTGCTTTGCATAATGTCCTTGAGTTTCATCTATGTTGTCACATATTTTTTTTCTTTCTTTCTTTCTTTCTTTTTTTTTTTTTTTTTTTTGAGACGGAGTCTCACTCTGTCACCCAGGCTGGAGTGCAGTGGCATGATCTTGGCTCACTGCAACCTCTGCCTCCCAGGTTCAAGCGATTCTTCTGCCTCAGCCCCCTGAGTAGCTGGGACTACAGGCATGCCCCACCACGCCTGGCTAATTTTTGTATTTTTAGTAGAGATAGGGTTTCACCATATTGGCCAGGCTGGTCTCGAACTCCTGACCTTGTGATCCACCCACTTCGGCCTCCCAAAGTGCTGGGATTACAGGCGTGAGCCACCATGCCTGGCCTGTCATCGCATATTTTTAAGGCTTAATTGTAGTAGTCCCTGTTGCATGTATAGATCACATTTTTTTCATCCATTCAACCCATTTGGGTTATTTCTACATTTGGCTATTGTGAATATTGTTGTAAAGAACACAGGAGTGCTAATACCATTTTGAGAATTATTTTTTTCTTTTTTTAGAGACAGGGTCTCATTATGTTGCCCAGGCTGGTCTCGAACTCATGGCCTCAAGCAGTCCCTTCACTTTGAACTCCCAAAGTGCTGGATTAAAGGTGTGAGCCACCGCACCTGGCCTCTCTTTCAGATTTTTTTTTTTTCTTTTGAGACAGAGTTTCTTTCTTATTGACCAAGCTAGAGTGCAATGGCGCAGTCTCGGCTCACTGCAACTTCCGCCTCCTGGGTTCAAGCAATTCTCCTGCCCCAGGCTCCCAAGTAGCTGAGATTACAGGCGTGAGCCCCCATGCCCAGCTAATTTTTGTATTTTTAGTAGAGATGGGGTTTCACCATTTTGGCCAGGCTGGTCTCAACAAACTCTTGACCTCAGGTGATCCGCCTGCCTCGGCCTCCCAAAGTGCTGGGATTACAGGCATGAGCCACCATGCCCGGCCATAGGTTGTCTTTTCACTGTGTAGATTGTTTCTTTTGCTAAGCAGAAGCTTTTTAGTTTGATGTAGTCCCACTTGTCCATTTCATTTTTTTGTAGAGATGGGGTTATGCCGTGTTACCCAGGCTGGTCTTAAACTCCTGAGCTCAAGCAGTCCACCCACCTTGGCCTCCCACAGTGCTGGGATTCCAGGCGAGAGTCCCTGCGCCCAGCCCCACTTGTCTATTCTTGTTTTTGCTGCCTGTTTTTGGTGTCTTATCTGCACATGAATATTTATAGCAGCTTTATTCATAATTGCCAAAACTTGGAAGAAACCACAATGACAATGTCCTTCTATAGGTACACCCATACAATGGAACATTCAGTGATAAAATGAGCCATCAAGCCACCCAAAAGACACAGAGGAACCTTAAATGTGTATTGCTACGTGAAAGAAGCCAGTCTGAAAAGTACTATCTGACTCCAGTGATATGACATTCTGGAAAAACCAAAACTAAAGAGAATAAAAAGATCAGTGGTTGCCAGGGGGCTGGCGGGAGAGAGGGAGGGATGAAGAGGTACAGCATGGTGGATTTTTAGGGCAGTGAAACTATTCTGTATGATACTGGGAGGGTGGACCTGTAACATACATTTGTCAAAACCCATGGAACTCTACAAAACAAAGAATGAGCCCCGATGATGTAACATATGAACTTTAGTTAGCAACTATGTATCAATCTTGGTTCATCAGTTTTAACAAGTGCACCACGCTGATACAAGATGTTAATGGTAGGAGAAATTTGTTGGGAGGAGAGGAAGTATACTACAAAACTGAAAGTCTCTTGGTCAATTCAAACGCGTTCTGCTCAGGCCAGGTGCGATGGCTCACACATGTAATCCCAGCACTTTGGGATGCCGAGGAAGGCAGAGCACCCGAGGTCTGGAGTCCAAGACCAGCCTGGCCAACATGGTGAAACCCCGTCTCTACTAAAAATACAAAAAAATTAGCCAGGCATGGTGGTGGGTGCCTGTAATCCCAGCTATTCGGGAGGCTGAGGCAGGAGAATCGCTTGAACCCAGGAGGCGGAGGTTGCAGTGAGCCGAGATCGAGCCACTGCACTCCAGCCTGGGTGAGAGAGTGAGACTCTGTCTCAAAAAATAAAAAGAAACACGTTCTGCTCAATTGTTCTGTAAGCCTAAAACTACTCTAAAATATAAAGCCTATTATTGAAAAAAAAAGAAAGGAATCATAGTGTTCCACACAGAGCTGTAAATAACGTTTCCACAATATGTAAACATTTCCAGTCTTACCAATGTTATAATGCAACTGTAATGTGAGGGGGGATAGGATGTGGGAGTGGGTGGGAGAGGGAGTGGTTGGACATAAGGAGCTAAATCCTCTTCTCCCAAAGTGGGAGGTTGGTAAGGAATGCCTAAAACTGGAAAAGAAGCAATGTAAACATGGTATGTAGGAAATGTGGAGGTAAAAATGACTAATCACGAGCTAAAAGAGTTGAGATGGTTGTCCTTATGAAGTGGGAAAAGGGGCCGGGCGTGGTGGCTCACGCTGTAACCCCAGCACTTTGGGAGGCCGAGGCAGGAGGATCTCTAGAGGGCTGAAGTTCGAAACCAGCCTGGGCAATATAGTGAGACCCTCCCCCATCTCTACAAAAAATTACAAATTAGCCAGTCACTGGGGCTTGTGCCTGTGGTCCCAGCTACACAGGAGGCTGAGGCGGGAGGATTGCTACAGTGAGCCGTGATCACACCAATGCACACCAGCCTGGGTGACAGAGCGAGACTCCATCTCTTAAAAAATAAGTGAGAAATGGGGGTGAGGCTGCCCCTGTGCGTTGATTCTAAACAATGGGCATATCTAACTTGAATACAAATTAAAAGTATATTTTCTATATGTATATAAGAAGAGAAGAAATAATAAGAACAAACAAAAGAGACTGGGAAGTTGCAGAGCAGAGAGAAGGAAGCCAGTTCCATCAAGAAGCTTTGTTCGGGGGCCCAGAAATGGCTCAAGACGTGGGTCAGGAGGAGACGCCAGAGCCTTGGTGCCCACAAGAAAGTCCTGGAAAAAGAATGAGGGGGTCCCGGTGCAGTGGCTCATGTCTGTAATTCCAGCACTTTGAGAGGCCAAGGCAGGTGGATCGTTTGAGCCCAGGAGTTCAAGACCAGCCTTGGCAACATGACGAAACCCTGAGTCTACAAAAAATAAGAAAATTAGCCAACCATGGTGCATACCTGTAGTAACAGCTACTCAGGAGGCTGAGGTGGGAGGATCGCTTAAGTCCAGGAGTTAGAGGCTGCAGTGAGCTATCACTGCACCACTGCACTCCAGCACTCTGGCCTGGGTGACAGAGGAAGACCCTGTCTCAAAAAAAAGGAAGGAAGGAAGGAAGGAACGAAGGAAGGAAGGAAAGGGTAAAGAAAAAGAAAAAGAAAGAATGAGGAGGACGGAGTGGGGAAGAAGGGAACCTCTGAAGAAACTGGGTCCCTGTAGCCCCTCAGGGGAAGGGCCCTTCTGCCACTGAAGCGGATGGAAGAAGTGGAGGAGGAGGGAGGCTGGAGGAGGGGTTGTGGTTTGATGGCGGAGGCAGTGGAAATGTATCTCATCCATCTGTTTTCTCAGCAAAGTGGGAGCCACGGTTTGTTTGAGGAGAGAGGAGGAGGTGGGAAGTCATCCCAGACCTTGCTACAGAGTGGGCTCCACGGACAGCAACGTCAGCACCCCTGGGGGCTGGCGGGATGGAATGCGGAATCTCGGGCCTCACCAAGACCCCTAGGAGACTCACAGGCGAATTACAGTTTCAGAAGCTGCTCAGAAAGGGCAGGAAAAAGCAACTGGGAGGCATAGTGAGGGCGGAGGTTGGGGGCACTCTGCTGAGTGCCTCTCCAAGACCCGCGCCCCTGAATGAGACGGGGCACTGGCAGCTGCGGGGTGACCCTCCCAGGCAGTGTTGGCTTGCTTGGTGCAGGCAGAGAGCGGATGCCTGGCTAGCGCTGTGCCAGGTTGGTCCTATAGCAGGACAGGTGGGCATGGGAGTGGGCGTGTTTTCCAGGAGGCCATCGTGGTGGTGGCAGAAGGGGGTTGCTGGGTAGTGAGAAAGTGCTGCAGGTGGTGGATTGAAGTTTTTATTTTATTTATTTATTTATGTATTTATTTATTTATTTAGGGGCGGAGTCTCACTCTGTTGCTCAGGCTGGAGTGCAGTGGTGCGATCTTGGCTCACTGCAACCTCCGCCTCCCGGGTTCAAGTGATTTTCCTGCCTCAGCCTCCCAAGTAGCTGGGACTACAGGCGCCCGCCACCACGCCCGGCTAATTTTTTGTATTTTTAGTAGAGACAAGGTTTCACCGTGTTAGCCAGGATGGTCTTGATCTCCTGACCTCATGATCTGCCTGCCTCGGCCTCCCAAAGTGCTGGGATTACAGGCGTGAGCCACAGCTCCCGGGCGGTGGATTGAAGCTGATGCCTGCAGGTACCAGGGCAAGCGATGAAGAGGATAGAAGGGCAGAGCAGAGGGGGGAGTGCCTGAAATAGAGAACTCAGAGCAGGTGAGGTGTGGGGTCGTTACGCAGGCTGGGGTGTGGGCCTGGGAGCGGTGGCCAAGGGGCTTGCAGAGGAGAGGGTCGAAGGGGACGGGAGGAGGTCAGGGAGCTGAGAGGCTGCTGGAGGCTGCTGAGAACTCCTCTGTTCTCTGAGGTTTGTACCCCACAAACTTAAAGATGGTGAGAGAGGAAACGGATTCATTTGCTCTGGGGTGTGGCTGCGTGGGGACTTTTGAAAGCTCCCCGGAGTTTGAGAACCACGGTGTAAACATAGAGACAGAGAGAGAGAGAGAGAAAAAAAAAAGACAACAGGGGAGTAACAAGAAGGCACTCTAAGGTGGGGAATGGTGGCTCACGCCTGTAATCCCAGTGCTTTGGGAGGCCCAGGCAGGAAGATCACTTGAGACCAGGAGTTTGAGACCAGCCTGAGCAATACAGTGAGACCCCCGTCTCCACAAAAAATTAAATTAGCCGAGCATGGTAGTGCTCGTCTGTAGTCCTGAGGCAAGAGGATCGCATGAGCCCAGGAGGTGGAAGCTGCAGTGAGCCATGATCACACCTCTGCACTCCAGCCTGGGCGACAGTGAGACCCTTTCTCCAAAATACAAATTTTAAAAGGTACTCTGGGGCTGGCACAGACCGGGGACCTCGAGTGGACCAGCTGGGGAGGGGATTCATGTCCTGGGTTGTGGGCGATCAGAAGATGGAAATGTCGTGGTCTTGCCCTCGAGAACCAGATAGAACAGAGACAGAGACAGAGCGCGCGCCGCGGTCCCTCAGATCGTCCTGCACTACGGCGAAACGGCCACTAGAGGGCGTGTTGTGCTCACATATGCGGACCGGCCGGCAAGCGGCGGATTCCGCGGACAAAGTCTCTTGTTTAGCCACAGAACCCTGGGCTTGGCCCCAGGCCCGCTACGTCCGGGCCGTGTGGCCTCAGCCAGGTTACACAAAAGCTCTGTGACCCTGTTTGGTCAGCCATAAAATGGGCACAGCTATAAGTCCGACCTTCTAAGGTGGTGTGAGGATGCCCGAGGCCACGCAGGCAGAGCAGCGTCCAGTGGGGAACGAATGGCCCCGCGAGAAGGGGAGGCTTCGCCATGGCCTCCGTCTCTCTCCGCTTCTCCTGCAGCTCCTCCGCCCAGCCCTCCCCAGGCCACATCCGGTCCCGGGAGAGAGACTGAGATCGACTTTGGGGCAGGGGAGAGCAGGGGGAGGTAGGCAGTGTCTAGGACAGGGAAAGAGAGGAGGCAGCCACCTCCCTCACCCCACCCCACCTCACCCACCCCGCCTTTGTTTTAGAGGCAGGATCCTGCTCTGTCACCCAGGCTGGAGTGCAGTGTCCTGATCCTGGCTCACTGCATCCTCAGCCTCCCAGGCTCAAGCGATCCTCCTGCCTCAGTCTTCTGAGTAGCTGGGACTACAGGCAGGTGTCACCACGCCTGAGAAATTTTTAATTATTATTTTATTTTATTCTATTCTATTTTATTTATTTATTTATCTTATTTTGAGACAGAGTCTTACTCCATCACCCAGGCTGAGTTCAATGGCGCGATCTCAGCCCCAGTTTGAAATTCTTAATAATTTCATCTTTGAATTTGTAAGGGGAGTCTGATGGGCCGGTGGGGCATGTGCCCAGGCCTTGGAGCCCCTGCCTCATACCAGGCATGATCACACTCCGACCACCTCCCATAGGCAGGTTCTCAGCCAACTACTCACCCCGACAACAGTCACCACTGCTGCCGTTTGTCCCCAGCCAGGGGCCTGGGTGAGGGCAGGATCGGTGTCAGGTGTACAGCGACGTGGTCCAGGCACCTGTGAGGTCTGCACTTGCCCCATCAACCTCCCTGTGCCCAAAGGAGCATGACATTAGAAAGGAAAAAAGGGCCAGCCGTGGTGGCTCATGCCTGTAATCTCAGCACTTTGGGAGGCCAAGGCGGGTGGATCACTTGAGGTCAGGAGTTCAAGACTAGCCTGACCAACATGGTCAAACCCGCTCTCTACCAGATGTGGTGGTGTGCACCTGTAATCCCAGCTATGCGGGAGGCTGAGGCAGGAGAATCACTTGAACCCAAGAGGCGGAGGTTGCAGAGCCCCAAGATGGCACCATTGCACTTCAGCCTGCTGGGTGACACAGCGAGACTCTGTCAAAAAAAAAAAAAAAAGGAAAGGAAATAAAAAACACCATCACACAGCTGGGCGCTATGGCTCATGCCTGTGGTCCCAGCACTTTGGGAGTCTGAGGTGGGAGGATCACTTGAGCCCCAAAGTTCGAGGCTGCAGTGAGGTATGATTGCACCACTGCACTCCAGCCTGGGACAACAGAGCAAGATCTGGTCTCTAAAAAACAAAACCAAAAAAAAAAAAAAAAAAAAACCACCATCACAGGCTGGGAGAAAGAGACTGAGGGAGAAAGGAAGAAGCTTTTGTTTCTGCTCTCAGAAATAAGAGGCCCCACGTTTAAATTTCTCTGGGTCCCGCATTCTGTCACGGGCACAGGTTCAACTACTTTCACCTCGAAAACTGTCAGTGCTCCATCATGGGAGCCGTGGTTATTTAGTATCCTATGGTTAGAGAGAAACAGGACAAGCAAGACAAAGCCCAGGGGCCCCAGGGACAGCTGGTGGCCTTCGAGGTGACTGGTGCCAGGCCTGGAGACCACATTCCCCTGCCCTCCCCAGGATCCTGAGTCCAGGGTCGGCACTGAGGGCAGCAGGCTGGGGATGAGCCCCTTCCTCCCCGGACCTCAGTTGTCCCACTGTGCATGGGGAGGCGGCCGGCTTCCAGCAGGGACAGCGGGTGAGGACGTCTTTGTAAACTGAAGCACGGGGGGACATGTGGGCAACAGCGATGGTTCTTCACCTGCCAGAGATTGCCATGGTTGCTCTGAAGGGTCCCAGAGTCAGGGGCTCAATTGCTAGGTTTATTTATTTATTTATTTTGAGCAGAGTCTTGCTCTATTGACCACGCTGGAATACAGTGGCACAAACATAGCTCACTGAAACCTCAAACTCCTGGCTCAATCTGGCCACCATGCCTCCCTAATTTGAAAAAAACTATATATATATATATATATATATATATATATATATGTGTGTGTGTGTGTGTGTGTGTATGTATATATACATATATATGTACATATATGTATATATACGTATACGCATATACATATATACATATATACGTATATATCTGTATATATACGTATATATGTACATACATATGTATACATATATATGCACATATATGTATATAATATATATATACGTACATATGTATATATATATATAAAATATATATATATATATTTGTTTGTTTCAGAGATGGGATCTCACTATGTTGCCCAGCCTGGTCTTGAACTCCTGGCCTCAGGCAGTCTTCCTGCCTTGGCCTCTCAAAATGCTGGAATTACAGGCATGAGCCACCACGCCCAGCCCAGGACTCAATTTCTACCCCCATTCCTTGAAATGTTCAAAGAGGGTCCAGCTTTAACCCCCTAAGGATGGCTGACAAGGGATGGGGCCTCAGTGGTGACTTCAGTCCCAGGTGTGGATATCCTCTATGGCCCTACTGTGAGACCCTGACAGTAACTTCATTTATTTTATTTTATTTTATTTTATTTCTGAGACAGGGTCTCACTCTGTCACACAGGCTGGAGTGCAGTGGCATAATCTTGGCTCACTGCAACCTCCGCCTCCCGGATTCAAGCGATTCTCCTGGCTCAGCCTCCTGAGTAACTGGGATTATAGGCGCATGCCACCACACCCAGCTAATTTTTGTATTTTTGGTAGAGATGGTGTTTTGCCATGTTGGCCAGACTGGTCTCGAACTCCTGACCTCAGGTGATCCACCTGCCTCAGCCTCCCAAAGTGCTGGGATTACAGGCATGAGCCGCCCACGCCTGGCTCCTGACAACAAGTTCAAACCAGACTCTGGGGGTAGCTACAGGTCTTGGTAGTGATCTCAGTGGCCTTAGACCCAGTGGCGACCTTGGTGACCTCAGACCTTGGTGGTGTCCTCAGACAGACCCTGGTAACAGCAGGGAGGCACCTGGCATCTCATTCCCCTCCTTCCATCCTGGCTGAGCCTCCATCTCTCCCCAGCCACTAGGATTTGAGCCATCCCCCTGGATCCACTTAATTAGCTGAGCTCATTAACTCCCACAAGACTTCTCCTCCCCTCCTAATTAACTGACTTAATTAGGGCTTGCAGGCCCAGCTCCTCCCAGCCCCCTCCTGCTCCACCCCAGCCTGCCTCCTCCGGGCCAGCTCAGCCAAGCCTCCCTCAGCCTGGGATTGGAGCCAGGTGTGAATTGGGCCCCTCCAGCACCCAGGCCTCCACCCTGTGTCCCTCCCCGAGTCCCGGGACACCAGGACAGTGCCCCTCCCAGGCAGCAACCCAGAGTCAGGATGGAAATGGGGACGGGAGGTGGATGGAGAGAGGGATGGAATCGGGATAAAATGGAATCGGGTGGGAGGAAGAGGTAAGGCTGGCAGCTGATGGACAGGCTGGGTGGCAGGGTGGTTAGGGCCTGGACTCAGGAGCCTGCGTGGGTTCAAGTCCCAGCTAGGGTGCGCACTTCAGCAAAAGCCTCAGCCTGTCTGTGTCCCTGACAGATGATGATAGCGTCCACACCCTTGGGGTGGTAGCGAGGTTTAAATGAGCTCATTTGTGTAAAAGGCTTAGAACTCAGCCTGGCACAAATCTGTGCTTGTTAAATAAGTGGGTGGGCATGAACAGAGGCCCCCTGAGGGCGAGAAGCTGGAGAAGGGGAGGGAACAGCCAGGTGGGTGTCCCAGGCAGGCTCTGGGGGGTGGCACAAATGGACCGGGCTGGGAAGAGCCATGGCCTGGGAGAGGTTAAAGGGGTAAAAAGTGGGCTGGAAGGATTCAGGCCTAGGTATCCTGTTCCTCCTCTGAGGGTGGAAGAAGCTGACCTTGTTGGTTCATTACCTAGGTCCTCTGTGCCTCAGCTTCCCCATCTGGGGGAAGACCCTAGCCTTGTGAAAGTACCTGGCATATCCCAGATGCCTAATCAAAATCTAGACTCATCCCTGAGATGGGAGGTGACCCAAAAACTATTTGGAGGGAGGGGCTTAGTGAAAGTGACCTACACCTCCCCTGGGACCCAAGCGAGGAAAGTGTGCTGTGCAGGCAGCAAGCTGGATGCAGGTTAGACATCAGGTGGGACTTACCGGAGTTGAGGAGTGCAAGATCTCGGCTGCAGAAAGGAGGAAGAGGTGTCTGAGCTGCCGGGTGGGCTCTGGGGAGAGATGAGTGGGCATTCGCACGGAGGGGAAGGGGAGAAGGAGCCTGAGCACCAGCTGGCTCTCAGCTCACTCAGCTCCCGTCACCCCTCAGATCTCAGGGCGGCCATGCCTTCCTCCGGGAAGCCCCCGAACTTTGTGTCTCCTCTGTACCCCGGTCTCAGTAGGAATTTTACATTTGTTGGCATGATTAGTGCAGTGTCTCCCTCACTAGTCTGGGAGCTCCTGAAGGCACAGACTGTGATTTTTAGCCAGCCCTTTTATCCCAGAGTCTTCACATTTTGGGGGCCTGGGAACAAGTGTGAATGAATGAATGAATGAATGGAGTGCCTTGGCCCAGAGGTTCCTGGAGCTTGGAGGGAAAGGGGCCCCATATGGCAGCCCAGGCAGCTGTGAACCCACCAAGCCCCTCACATGGCTCCAAGAATAACCATTCTTCGAGGGCAGGGGCTAAACTCCAAGGACCCAAACCCCTGCTTGGGGTAGGCTGAGCTTCCTCAGAATCCCCAGCATACCCTGGGGTGCTGAGGAAATATAGTGACTGTATGGGACAGAGGAGACGGTGTTTAATTACTCTCGCATTTTTATTTATTTATTTATTTATTTGTTTGTTTGTTTGTTTGTTTAGAGACGGAGTCTCGCTCCATTGCCAGGCTGGAGTGCAGTGGCGTGATCTCGGCTCACTGCAAACTCTGCCTCCCGGGTTCAAGCGATTCTCCTGCCTCAGCCTCCCGAGTAGCTGAGATTACAGGTGTGCACCACCACACCCTGCTAATTTTTGTATTTTTAGTAGAGACGGGGTTTCACCATGTTGGCCAGGATGGTCTTGATCTCTAGACCTCGTGATCCACCCACCTCGGCCTCCCAAAATGCTGGGATTACAAGTATGAGCCACCGCGCCCGACCATACTCCCACATTTTTAAACCCTTTATTTCTGGGGGGTTGTATGTGACAGAGACCAAAGTCCAACTGACTTAAGCACAAAAAGGACTTGAGTGGGTCATGTAACTGAAAAGTTCGGAGTTTCAGGCATAGCTGGATCAAGGGGATCAAACGATGACAAGGATTCTCTCTTTACCTCTCTTGGCTCTGCCGTCTGCTGTGTTGGCCTCCTCCTCTGAGGGGTTCTTCCTGCTTGCGGCAACTCCAGGCTTACATCCTACTGCTTTTCAGCGCCATAGAAAGACAGCTTCTATCCTACCAGCCTGGCTCAGGGAACAGACCAATCTCAGAAACAATTGCTAAGGCCATGGGGGTGTTATACACTGATCAGTGGGGGCTGGGTCACAAGTCCTCCCCTACAGTCGAACAAGTGAACCCCACCATTGGAACCCCTAATGGGTAGGGAAGGATGTATCAGGGAATGTGGGTACCCAGAGGAAACGGGGGTTCTGTTACCAGGTAGAGGACAGAGGCTGTGTAACAGAGGAATATGTGGGCATCATGCCAGACCCAGCTGGTCACTGTTCTAAGTGCTAGAAATTGGTGGCAGACATGTCATTTCCCCACCCCTTCCCCACTCCGACCTGCCAGCATCCTCATCTCTTTTTCCCAGGGTCTTCTCTGGCCTCAGCCTGCTCTGCTGGCATCCAGAGTGCTGCCTCCCCTCCTCCCCACTGCCCCAGCAGCTCTCCCCGGTGACTGACAGGCAGAGTATCAATACCCCAGCTCCTTTGCCTTTGGATGCAGTAACCCTGAGCAGCGTGTTGTACGCTGTCTCTGTGAGCTCCTCAGTGGGGTTCACCTCCCATTGCCCACGGTGGTGACTGAGTTGGTAACACGACGCTTGTCGCTGTCTTCCTGTCTCACCCACCGACCCACCACTCCACTACCTGGGATCACCTACCAAACAAACTACTTGCTTTAGAATCCTTGTCTCAGGGTCAGTTTCTGGGAAACCCAAACTAGGACATCATTAAAGCCAGCCCCCTAGGGATGTGTTCCAGACAGCACTTGTTTCCTGCCAAATGTCTCCGATTCCTGGGGCTGGTTTTGCTGACCCATGCCTGTGGAGGAGCTGGGATGGAGCCAGCTCGGAGAATCCTGCCTCCTTCTGGGAAGTCCAGGGGATGCCCCCTGCTCCCCCAGCACACACCCCCATGGGCATGGGCGGGGTCAGGACCCATCAGATCCTTGTTGCATAGCTTCCAGGGGCAATGGCCTCGTCCCAGTCCTAAGGAGCCCAGCACCCAGAGCCATCGTGAGCAGGAGGTCAGGGTGGCGGGGCCCAGGGAGCCAAACTTGCTACCTAATCCTAGTGCTTCTCAGAGTGTGAGAGAGGAGGGCATTTCCAGTTGTTCTCAGACCAGGCTTTAGAAAACAGAAATAATCAGGCCGGGCGCAGTGGCTCATGCCTGTAATCCCAGGACTTTGGGAGGCCATGGCGAGTGGATCACTTGAGGTCAGGAGTTCGAGAAAACAGAATCACATAGTGAAAAACTTCTTTCTTTTTCCTTCTTCTTTTTCTCCTCCTCCTTCTTTTTAAGATCCCATTTTAAAACACTTCCATGGAATAGTTTTTACTTATTTTGGAAACAGTGAAAGAATTTACACAAAACTGTAAACTGTGCACACACCTACAGCTATAATAGAAACAGTGTCAACATTTTATCACATTTATGTCAGAGTTTTTCTTTTCTGAGATAGGGTCTCACTCTGTTGCCCAGGCTGGAGTGCAGTGCCATGATCACAGCTCACTGCAGCCTTGACTTTGTGGGCCCCAGCAATCCTTCTGCCTCAGCCTACTGAGTAGCTGGAACTACAGGTGTGTGCCACCACATCTGGCTATTTGTCGTAGAGGCGGAGGTCTTACCATGTTGCCCATGCTGATCTGGAATTCCTGGCCTCAAGTGATTCTCCCTCCTCAGTCTCCCAAAGTGCTGGGATTACAGGTGTGAGCCACAGCACCTGGCTCGTGTGTCAGATATTTTTAATTTTAAAAAAGATAGGGCCGGGCTTGGTAGCTCACGCCTGTGATCCCAGCACTTTGGGAGGCCAAGGCAGGCAGATCATGAAGTCAGGAGTTCAAGACCAGCTTGGCCAGCATGGTGAAACCTCGTCTCTACTAAAAACACAAAAAATTAGCCAGGCACGGTGGCGTGCGCCTGTAATCCCAGCTACTCGGGAGGCTGAGGCAGGAGAATCACTTGAACCCAGGAGGCAGAGATTGCAGTGAGCCGAGATTACACCACTGCACTCCGGCCTGGGTGACAGAATGAGACTCCGTCTCAAAATAAAAAGACAAAGGATAACAGATAAAGATGAATTCCTATTATACTCCCCGCACCAGTCCTATTTCCTTGGTGCCGTCCCGAGGGGCAACCACTCTCATGATTTTAGGGCTATTCTTCTCATCACTTTTATTTTTTGTAGAGACAGGATCCCACTATGTTGCCCAGGCTGGTATCGAACTCCTGGGCTCAAGCAGATGCTCCTGTCTCAGCCTCCCAAAGTGTTGGCGCGAGCCGCCACATGCAGACCTGCAGCTGTTCTTCTTGTACGGGGTTGGCACACTTTCAGCTGCAAAAAAGCCAGAATTCCCAACTCAAAGTGGCTCCAAGTTCAAGCGGCTCAGCAGCTCCGTGATGTCACAAAGAAGCAGGTTCTTTCCCTGGGCACCGTCACACTGTGTTTCCCCTCATCAGTGGCTTCCTGCTGGCCATGGTCACAGAGTTGTATTTCGGCAGTGGAGAGCTCATCAGTACTTGTGCTGGGGCACTGTTTCTCACTGCAGAATGTACACTCCAAAAAGGGATGGAGAGATTCCAGGATCCATCACCCACTCCAGTGCTGCACGTCCCGGGCACCTGTGCCATCTTCCATCCGATCCATCTTGGGTTCTGTTGGACCTCTTGGTTTTCCTATCAGCAATAACTTGGCCTGTGTCTTCCAGTGGTCCCAGGGAGGAGGTTCTCCACTACAAAAGACCATTGTGCCTGGCACAGTGGCTCACACTTGTAGTCCCAGCTACTCAGGATGCTGAGGCGGGAGGATCTCTTGAGCCCAGGAGTTCAGAACCAACCTGGGCAATAGAGCGAGACCCCTTCTGAAAAAATAAAAAAATCACAGGCCAGGCACAGTGGCTCACGCCTGTAATCCCAGCACTTTGGGAGGCCAAGGCTGGTGGATCACCTGAGGTCAGGAGTTCGAGACCAGCCTGGCCAACATGGTGAAACCCCATCTCTACTAAAAATATGAAAATTAGCCAGGCATGCTGGCACGCCCCTTTAATCCCAGCTACTTGGGAGGCTGAGGCAGAGGAATCACTTGAACCCAAGAGATGGAGGTTGCCAAGATCACGCCACTGTACTCCAGCCTGGGCGACAAGGTGAGACTCCATCTCAACAACAACATCAACAAATCATAAATGTGGACCAACAAGCCAGGAATGCCTTCTCTCTGTCATGACTGGAGACACAAGGAATCAAGAGCATCACAGGACATGCTGGGGAAATCCCCAAATGCCATCAGTTTCCCAAAGCCTGGAGTCTATCAGTATGGCCAACTGAACACAGTGGCTCATGCCTGTAATCCCAGCACTTTGGGAGGCCAAGGCAGGCAGATCACCTGAGGTCAGGATGGCCAACATGGTACAACCCTGTCGCTACTAAAAATACAAAAATTGCTGGGCGTGGTGGCAGGAGCCTGTAGTACCAGCTACCCGGGAGGCTGAGGCAGGAGAATTGCTTGAAGCCGAGAGGTGGAGGTTGCAGTGAGCCGAGATCGCATCATTGCATTCCAGCCTGGGGGAGAAGAGCAAGACTACATCTCAAGAAATAAATAAATAAATAAAACTAAATAAATAAATAAAAATTAAATTAAAAAAAGAAAAGAGACTGGACTAGGTAGCTCACGCCTGTCATCCCAGCACTTTGGGAGGCCGAGGTGGGCAGATCACCCAAAGTCAGGAGTTTGAGACCAGCCTGACCAATATGGTGAAACCCCATCTCTACTAAAAATACAAAAAAAAAAAAATTAGCTGGGCATGGTGGCACGTGCCTGTAATCCCAGCCACTTGGGAGGCTGAGGCAAGAGAACTGCTCGAACCTGGGAGGCGGAGGCTGCAGTGAGCCGAGATTGTGCCATTGCTCTCCAGCCTGGGTGACAGAGCAAGACTCCATCTCAAAAAAAAAAAAAAAAGAAGAAAGAAGGAAAATAAAATCATGGCTAAGTTTTTTCTTTGTGTTCCGCTATCCAAATTATACCCATCAAGACCCTCTCTGGAGAGGTGGCACCTTTGAGCTGGCAAGAGTGGCTTATCCCTAGGCGTCAGGGACAAAGGACTGCACCATTGCAGGCTGCTACTTCTTTTTTTGTTTTTGTTTGTTTGTTTTTGGTTTTGTTTGCTTTGTTTTGAAAGACAGAGTTTCACTCCGTTGCTCAGACTGGAGCGCAATGGCACAATCTTGGCTCATGGCAACCTCTGCCTCTCCAGTTCAAGTGATTCTTGGGCCTCAGCTTCCCGAGTAGCTGAGACTACAGGTGCGTGCCACCATGCCCAGCTAATTTTTGTATTTTTAGTAGAGATGGGGTTTCGCCATGTTGGCCCAGGCTGGTCTTGAACTCCCAAACTCAGGTGATCTGCCCACCTTGGCCTCCCAAAGTCACCACTTCTGTGCCTCTCTTCAGATGTGTTGTGTTGGTTCCATCCTCTGAGAAGCAGGCAAGGTGGGCCAGATGTGCAAATGATTTATTGAGGAAAACCCTTGGGAGGGACCAAGAAGGAGGGAGGAAGAGGAAGCTGGGAAGATCATCAGACTGTACTAGATCTAACACGTGGAAAAGAGAGACAGAAGGAAGGATGATGGGAGAGGAAGAGTCTTCAACTGCAGTGCAGTGAGAAAGTTTTTACAAAGTCAAGGGGGAGTCCTTGATCCAAAGCTGCCTGTTCGAGGAGTCCTGTGTCTCCACGAACAGACGCGCCTTAGTTCTTTGGCTGGGATCAGCTCGTGGGAAGCAAACCAGAGCCTTCCTGTGTGAACCACAGATGGGTTTCACAGCTGCTGCCCTTGGTCAATGACTTTTCCTGAAGTCAGAGGTCTGAATGGCACATTTTCAGGGCCGTCACCTTCCATCCCTTGCACTACTCAGCTCTACCATGGATCCTGTGAGCCTCTCTTTCTATGGGAAAACTTTGAAGAGGGAGATTAGTGGAACATGCTAGAGCCCCCGCCTCCTTGCTGCAGTTATCGAGAGGCCATAACCAGCGCTTGTTCTTTCTTTCTTCACTATCCATTCTAAATTATCCACACTCTCCACCGTCGCCTTGGCAGGCCTTGGTGGGTTACCTGGTGATGTGACCCGACCCTTCAGTCCTGAGGGACCTAAATTATTGGTTATTGTAACCCATGGATCACTGGATTCCCATATATTCCTCCTTGTCCTCCCACTGTAAAAGCAGCCCTGCCCTCTCTGCTGACCAGGGTCAGTTAGTGCAGCCATGCTGGTGCCCTCTCTTCTCACCTGCTGGTCCCAGAACACATGGAGTCCAAAGTTTCCCAGCCCCGGCCACAGCTTAAATTTAATGGGACCCATGCTGTGTCCCCTGGCTAGAGCATACCCTCTTTGGGGACCAGGACTTCCCTCCCTGTAGAACTGAGAGGGAGTCGGGAGGGGGACTTAATTACCCACAATGCATGCCAGCAAACCTTTACTAACTGCACTATGGGTAATCAAAGCCCCAGATAAGGAATCAGGGAAGGTTTCCGCAGAAGGTGGCCTTGAACTGGGCAACCCTTGATTAACTGTGGCTAGGGGCACTGCAAAGCTTGATTTGACTCCTCCCCTCTCTAGGTCTGTTTCTTCCTCTGCAAAAAGAGGAAAGTGCTCTCTAAGTGCTAACATTCTGAGACTCAGCTTTTAGACACAGAATGTTTTCTTCCTGCTTTCTCCCTCTCCAGCCCCCTCTTCTGCACACCCAATAACTCAAATCCCTCTATTAGTTTATTTACGGCACTAAGGCCTTGGAGAGGATTAGAACAAAGTTAGAATGAAATCCGAAACTCCTCTACATTGGCAGGACAAGGAGTGTGGGAGAGGAAGGGAAGACACAGAGTTCTTAGAAGAGAACTTGTTTGGAAAACAAGGAGGAAGGGAAAGGTGTTCCAGACAGAGGAAACCGAGTAGACAAAGGCGTGGAGGTATCAAAAGCAGATGTCAGGCCGGGTGAGGTGGTTCACACCTGTAATCCCAGCACTTTGGGAGGCTGAGGTGGACAGCTCACCTGAGGTCGGGAGTTCAAGACCAGCCTGGCCAACAATGGCAAAACCTCATCTCTACTAAAAATACAAAAATTAGCCAGGCGTGGTGGTACACACCTGTAATCCCAACTACTTGGGAGGCTGAGGCAGGAGAATCACTTGAACCCGGGAGACGGAGGCTGCAGTGAGCCAAGATTGTGCCATTGCACTCCAGCCTGGGCAATAAGAGTGAAACTCCATCTCAGAAAAAAAAAAAAAACAAAAACAAACAGATGTCAGGGCTGGGCGTGGTGGCTCACACTCGCAATCCCAGCGCTTTGGGAGGCTGAGGTGGATGGAAGGCTTAAGCTCAGGAGTTCAAGACCAGCCTGGGCAACATGGCAAAACCCCATCTCTACAAAAAATACAAAAATTAGCTGAGCCTGGTGGTGCACACCTGTAGTCCTAGTTACTTAGGGGGCTGAGGTGGGAGGATCACTTGATCCCAGGAGGTTGAGGCTGTAGTGAGCCATGATTGCACCACTACACTCCAACCTTGGTGACAAAGTGAGACCCTGTCTCAAAAAAAAAAAAAAAAGACAGAGGCAGATGTCCTAGAATAGCGTGGCTGAGGTCAAGGCCGAATGGAGAAGAGAGGTCCTTTGTAGGGGAATGGAGAGCAGGCTCTAAATGTTAAGGGCTTTGAATGCCAGGATAAGTAAGGTTAGACTTTACCCTGATGGTACACAGGAAGTCCTTGGCAGTTTTATGTAAGACAGCAACCCAACCCCATTTGTATTTTACAGACCTGATGATCCCAAAGGATTTGGATTCTAGAAAAAAGACAATCACCAGGCACGGTGGCTCATGCCTGTAATCCTAGCACTTTGGGAGGCTGAGGTGGGTGGATCACTTGAAGTCAGGAGTTTGAGACCAGCCTGGCCAACATGATGAAACCCCGTCTGTAGTAAAAATACAAAAATTAGCCAGGCATAGTGGCACACGCCTGTAATCCCAGCTACTCAGGAGGCTGAGCCAGGAGAATCACTTGAACCCCGCAGGCAGAGGTTGCGGTGAGGCAAGATCGTGCCATTGCACTCCAGGCTGGGCAGCAGAGCAAGACTCTGTCAAAAAAAGAAGGAAGGTAGGAAGGCAGGAAGGAAGGAAAGAAGAAAGGAAGGAAGGAAGGGCGGGGAGAGAAAAAGAAAGAAAGGAGAAGAGAAGAGAAGAAAAGAAAAGAGAAAAAAGACAATCTAGACAGAGGCAGGAGGCCGACAAGTTAAGAACTGAAACAATATTCTCAATGGTAGAGGTTGCCAACCTATGGTCTGGGGGCCAGATTTGTCTGCAAAGTGTGTTTCATTTGGCCCATTCAATATTTCCGAATTTTGGGAATTCGTTTCAAACATTTAAAAGTTGGAAGATTTCTGGATGTCCTGCTTCTCTTTGAATATCATCCAGCCACGCACAGCCCACGATGTCTCCAGTTCCCCTCTTCTCCACCCTCTCTATCACTTTACATGCGACCCCAGTCGCTCATGTCTGCGCCTGTAGGTACTTGCGTTTGCAATCCCTGGCTCCTAAAGCTCTGGAAACAGTCGGGAGTGGCTGGGAGGATTACGCTGGGTTGAGAAAACAGCCTGATCAAAAACTTAGAAGAAATAGGGGCAGTCATAAAAAATGATGAGTTCATGTCCTTTGTAGGGACATGGATGAAGCTGGAAACCATCATTCTCAGCAAACTATCGCAAGGACAAAAAACCAAACACCGCATGTTCTCACTCATAGGTGGGAATTGAACAAAGAGAACACATGGACACAGGAAGGGGAACATCACACACCAGGGACTGTTGTGGGGTGGGGGGAAGGGGGAGGGATAGCATTAGGAGATATACCTAATGCTAAATGACGAGTTAATGGGTGCAGCACACCAACATGGCACACGTATACATACGTAACAAACCTGCATGTTGTGCATATGTACCCTAAAACTTAAAGTATAATAATAATTAAAAAAAAGAATGAAAAAGAAATGCTTTTGAAGCTTGAAGCTAAAAAAACAAAAAAAAAAGAAAGAAATAGGGAAGGCGTCCTATTGGGGCTTTCTCACTAGGGAAAGAGTGAGCTGCAGGGAGGAGAAAGAACAGGGCCTGGAAGGACGAGCTGTCCCTATCTCATCTCTGTCCCCATCCACCCACTTCATCCAGGCCACCAATTTCCGGTTATCAAACAGACAATGCAACATCCCTTACACCTGCTGTACCTCTGCCTAGAATCTCCTTTCTTCCCTTCTATCCGGCGAGCAGTTCCTCCCAGCTGCACTCCTGGACTAGTCACTGCCTATTTGCAGCAGGGATCGCAAAGGCGACCTCAGTTGGATAGGGCAACCACCCAGGCCCAAGTTTATGACCTCTTCCCCAAGAAGACTGTGAGTTCTCTGACGTCTCGCTGGAAATAGGATGCATGGATGGATGGATGGATGGATGGACGGACGGATGGATGGATGGATGGAAGCGCAGGCAGGCAGGCGGACGCATGGATGAATGAAATGCATATCCGAATGCAGAACCTGGATTTGTTTTCCCTCCTTCAAACACACACAGGCTCCGCCCCACTAGCACAGACCGGGACAGTCTGGGGCAGTCTCGTCCCGCAGGGCCCAGAAAGCTGGACCAGGTGACCCTCTCAGACTCCCCCGAGTCCTCTGTAACCTCGTTCTCGCCCCCTCGTGGGCTCTGACCTAGAAAAGGAGTGGGGTGGGTGGGGGGTGGGGGGTGGGAGCCAGCTCGGGAGCCACCGGCGCTAGGACCCAGCGCGGCCGGAAGGGGGTGGGGGCGCCGCGCGGGGAGAATCTGCGCTCCGCGGCGCGCGGCGGGAGGGCGGGCGCGCGGCGGGTGAGCGCGCTTGCGCGAGGGCGCGCGCCGAGCGGGACGGACAAAGGGGCGGGCGGCGGCGCGCGAGCCGGAGGGCGGAGCCGCGGGCCGGGCGGGCAGGTGCGCGCTGGCTGGAGGGCGGAGCCGCGATGCCGCGATGGAGCGCAGCCCGGGCGGGCGCCGGGGCCGGGGCCCGAGCGCCAGGCGGAGCGCGAGCTGGAGCCGCAGCCGGAGCCCGGGCCAGGCCGGGGGCCGGGAGCGCAGGGCCGGGCTGCTCGTAGCGGCGGCGACCGAGCCCCCCAGCGGCTGAGGGGCTTCCAGCGCCCGCCGGTGGCCGGGACCCACTAAAGCCCCCGCAGCCGAGGAGTGCGGGGAGCCCCCTTCCACATCCAGGATCCGGCGAGCCTCGGGGAAGAGGGGGGGCCCTCCCGGATCCGACACCGAGCGACTCCCCTGCGGGGAAAGCGGAGACTTCCTCGGTATTTAGAAGACAGCAAGCCCCCTACGGCACCGCAAGGACTCCCCCTCCTCAGTCTGGGCCCCCGCCCCAAGACCTAGAACGCAGTGCCCCCAGGCCGGGATTGCGAGAACCCCCTCCCAAGATCCGGTCATTACAACTCCACACCTCAAGACAAGAAGACCCAGCTCAGAACGCCCCTAGATCAGGGGATCCCAATTCCCCCCAACTCCGGTACATAGAAATCCCAAATCTAGGCAGCCGGGGACAGCAAGAGACACTCTCACCAGCAAGAAGCCTCGGGGATCCCCCCCCTAAAGCTCCAGGACTTGGGCGACTGAGCCCCTGGCGGCACCGCTTGCACCCCGGTCCATGGTCGTGGCGCCCTGAGCCCCCGGGGCCGGGCAGACGAAGACCGCGACGGCGCCCAGGCCCCCTGCCGCGGCGTCCCCGCGGCCCCAGCCCAGGTAAGCCGGGCCCAGGTGAGGGGCGGCAGGTGAGTGGCCACCGAGGTCCCCATAGCCCTGCAGGTGGGGAAGGAAGTATCGGGTTGCGCGCTCCCCCTTCCCCAGCGTCGCCATGGAGCCGAGGCTGAAGGACGTCTCTTTGTGTCTCGCTTGGAGGAGCCGCCCCCTCCTCCTCTCCCTTCCCCCACCCCACTCCCTAGCCTTGAGGCTCGGGCGCAGCTCCCCGGCCCCACGGAGGAGTGGTGGTGGAGCCCGTTGTGCCATGGAGAGGGGGGAAGAGGGCGGAGAGTCCCCCCCCAAAAGCTGCGAGCCTGGAGGTTGGCCCCCAGGTCCTTGGAGTGTGAATACCCCTCCCCCACGGCCAAGCTGAGCTTCTAGTGAAGTCCCCCCGAGAGGGGAAAATTTGGGGGTGCCCACAGGTGAGGGGGGCTGCCTTATGTGGCCCTGGGTGATGGCTGGGGCTTCGGGTGTGTGTCTTTGTCTGTGAGAGTGCGGGGAAGGGGTGTGTTTGAGCGGATGAATGGGAATCGCATCTTCCCTGTGACTCTGCTGCCCGACCCAGGCCACACTGGCGGTCTTTACCTAAACCATACTTTGTACTCCCTGTGGGACAGGGAGGGAGTAAGTACCCCCCAAAGTGAGGCGCTAGTTTCTGGGGAGGAGAGGTAGCCTAGATGAAGAAGCTATTTCAGGTCAGGGCACCGTTCTGTTCCCATTTGTCCCAGGGACAGCAACCCAAGTCTTTCCCTTCCCCTCCTAACCTGGAGAACACCCAGGTTAAACCAAGGGTTGGCTCAATGTGTCCCAGACAACCAAGGGCCAATTCCAGGGTCTCACTGTGGCTTTCCAGGTGGTACACACGGCCGTACCCCAGCCTGGCCCTCAGTGAGGTCCTGAACCCCAGGCTCTACCGCATATGAGGAAGCCGAGAGACCCTAGGGGACATTGTACCCTGAAATCCTGAATCAGATCCTGAGAAGGGGCTGGACTGCATGGAAAGAACACACTCTGGGCTGCTGGGAGTTCCTCTCATCTCTTCTCTCTGAGCCTTCTGCAGACAAGCAGTGATGCTGGACCCATTTGATAGGTGCACAAACTGAGGCTCGGGAAGGCAGGACCCAGGATACAGCTAGCCCTGCCAGTAGCTCCTTCACTTATTCATTCAACAAACCTGTCGCCAATGTCTGTGATGGACCATGCGCTAGAGTCAGGGTCCTTTTCCCCACTTCATTCCTATCTCCTTTCTTGATGTCTCCTGATCATCAGACCCCTGGGCACGTCCCATTGGGCCTGTTGAAGTGGACCGGGCCAGGTCCAGCTGAGAGATTCTTGACCCTACACCTGAAGCAGCTGATCCCTGTCCTGCTACAGCCTTGGGAGCCCTGAGCCTGGGTGGCTGACTCCTCATCTCCCACCTTCCCAGCACCAAGTGCCCCCACCCCCACCTGCTGCTGGCACTGACCCAAGGGTGAGGATGTGACCAGCTGGAGACGAGGGTAGGGGGCACTTGATGCGGGCAGACCTCTGGCAGCCTCTCCTGCCAATTTCAGGACAGTTGAGGCAGCCACCTTCAGCACAGGCTGTGGGGGAATCAGGTGCCCTGAAGACTGAGTGACCTTGGGCAAGCACGTGGCCCTTCCCAGAGAAAATGACAGAGAGTGAGCCTCTCTGCAGCTTGAAGGGCGGATGGAGATCGAAATTGGGCAGGACAAGCATCCAGGTTTGCTCTACCCATTGCTGAAGGAGTTCATTTCCCCCCAGTGGGGGTTCCCAGAAGCCCAGGGCTTTGTCACACACCCCACAGGCAAGGCAGTGGAACCAGAGGCTGAAGAGCAGAAATTTGAGTCACTGTGTCCAGGGCAAACTGTGAGGAGGCCAGAGGAGGACAAGGAGCAAGACCTCCCCTCCTCACTAACCTGCAGTGGCTCTCCATTGAGTCCAGAATCAAGTCGCTGAGTCCAGATAGTCTCTGGACTGCAGCCTGGCCCTAAACCACCTCTCCTAGCCCATCTCCTCCGTGTCCTCTAATTCTCTGCCTCCGTCACGTGCTCTTCCCCTGACCTGAAAAGCCCCACTCTAGGATGGCTCCGGAGCCGTTTTCTGCCTCCACCTCCCTTTTTGAGCTGACCTGAGCTGGCACGTAGTAGAGAGCTGAATTTGATTGGTTGGTGGTTTGGTGGCTTGGAGGTAGTGGCGTGTGTCTACATGTGCAGTGAGAGTTTGTCTCCACATCTAGACTCAGCTCCAGGAGACGGGAACCAGGTTTGTCTTGTCCATACTGCATCAGCATTGTCTAATTCAGAGCCCAGCGTATGGTAGGGCACGTGCTGTAAAATACAGCCTATAGACGATTTTTGTTGGTCCAATGTATTTTACATGTTTGTCTTTGTTGTGAGTGCTTAAAAAAAGTCGGGGGGAGGCAATTTCACATACAAAAGCTGATTTTTGGATCTTCTTGAAAAATCAGATGATGTGGCAACCTCAGGCCACAGCGGGAGAATGACCACCTTCTTTAGACAGGGCCCTTGCCTTCCAGTCCACCCCCAGGCAGCCGTTCGCTCCCTTAGGTCACCTCCTGGCCCCCGATGCTGGCATCTGGGTTTGCAGGCCCAGAAAAATCTTTTTTTTTTTTTTTTTTTTTTGAGACAGAGTTTCACTCTTGTTGCCCGGGCTGGAGTGTAATGGCGAGATCTCGGCTCACTACAACCTCCAGCCCCTGGGTTCAAGTGATTCTCCTGACTCAGTCTCCTGAGTAGCTGAGATTACAGATGCCCACCACCACATCCAGCTAATTTTTTTTTTTTTTTTTTTTTAGACAGAGTCTCGCTCTGTTGCCCAGGCTGAAGTGTCGTGGCACAATCTCGGCTCGCTGCGACCTCCACCTCCCGGGTTCAAGCAATTCTCTGCCTCAGCCTCCCGAGTAGCTGGGATTACAGGCACCCGCCACCATGCCTGGCTAATTTTTTGTATTTTTAGTAGAGACGGGGTTTCACCATCTTGGCCAGGCTGGTCTTGAACTCCTGACCTCGTGATCCACCCTCCTCGGCCTCCCAAAGTGCTGAGATTACAAGTGTAAGCCACCACACCCGGCCACACCCAACTAATTTTTGTATTTTGGGTAGAGACGAGGTTTCACCATGTTGGCCAGACTGGTCTCGAACACCTGACCTCAGGTGATCCACCTGCCTTGGCCTCCCAAAATGCTGAGATTACAGCCACCACACACAGCCCAAAAAATCTTTGTTCGGTGGGCAACCTTCGTCTGTGTGTGTTCTGCACTCATGGGTGTTCCCTCCCACCCCCATGGTCAAGTTAGAACGTGCACAGAATAGTGTCCACCCAGGGTCTTAAGGGCTATGTGGTGAAGTGAACCTGAACTTCTCCAGCCTGGTTCCACTTTCCACTCTTGATCCCATCTTGCACTCTTACCCCTGAACTAGTGACATCCAGCAACCAAAAACCTGTTTTCTCTGTCCCACTTGCCCCATGTGTCCCAGGGACAGCAAACCCGAGTCCTTCCCTTCCCCTCCTGACCTGGTTCTAGGTGCAGGTCTTGCTCAGGACTCTTGGGGCAGGGCTACTGTCCAGGGTTCCGTTCACCCCTCTGTCCACAGAAGAACTGGATGAAAGCTTCTTGTAGCTGTAAGTTTCTTCCTTCTAACTTTCTAGGACTAAGTCCAAGCTGGTCTAAGTTTTGGTCAGGCAGGAGAGCTGGGGGCCTAATTATAGGAGTAACTAAAAAATATTGGTCAGGTGCGGTGGCTCACACCTGTAATCCCACCACTTTGGGAGGCTGAGACAGGTGGATCATTTGAGGTCAGGAGTTTGCGACCAGCCTGGCCAACATGGTGAAACCCTGTCTCTACTAAAAATACAAAAAATTAGCCAGGTGCGGTGGCATATTCCTGTAATCCCTGCTACTAGGGAGGCTGAGGCAGGAGAATTGGTTGAACCCAGGTGACAGAGGTTGCAGTGAGCCGAGATTGTGCCACTGCACTCCAGCCTGGGTGACAGACTGAGAGTCCGTCTCAAAAAAAAAGAAACAAAAGTTGACATTTCCTGAACAGAAACGAAACTGATGGGCATTGTGGAGTAGCTGGGCCAGGGGCCAGCAGCAGGCCCCTGTCACTGGGCACAGCTCTAGAAGGGAGTGCACCCTTTTTCTGAACACAGGTCTCCAGCAACCTGAGGTCAAAGCAGATACCAGAGCACCATGGAGGAGAGCTCAGGCTCTGGATTCTGCCTGGGCTTGAAGCTCACTGAGATGCTGTGTGACCTTCAGCAAGGCACTTACCCTTTCTGGGCCTCAGTGCCCTCATCTATAAAAGAGGGATAATACTATCTTGTAGGATCATCAGGGGGATTAAGCAGGCTAAAGAATGGAAGGGACCTAGGACAGGGTATCCCATATCAAAAATGCTCACTAACTATTGGCCCTTATTAAATGGGGCGTCGGCAGGTGGGTGACTGAGCCTCCACAGTTACTCTTCCTTGGGAGCTGGTCTAGGGAGGCAGAGGCTTCTGGTTCTGTCCTCAAGAAAGGGAAGGGGTCCCTGGGAGGCAGGATAGCATTGTGAAGTGGAGCTTGCCCCTGCCCCAGGTGTGGGTGAGGGCGGAGGCCCTTCCTGAGCCTCTTCTAGCACTCTGCCTGAGGGCTGGGACCGTGGTTTTGTGGGTAAAGCCCTCCTCCTTCCCAGCCTATGCTTTCCACGTGAGGCGCCTGCTGCCTTCTGCTGGAGAGTTTCCTGGAGACTTTCTGCCCCAGAAGGATGGGCCCCAGGCCAAAGTATTCCCCAAACCACCCCTCCCCTGGCTCGCCTCCTGCTCCCCCTTTCAGGTCTCAGGAAGGGGTGGCAGCTAGGCCTGGAAAGGCCAGTTAAAGTCCCCTCTCCTCCCCAGCCACCCTCCCATCGCCCCACAATTGCTTGGCCATACCTGGAGAGAGGACAGGTCCAGCTCAGCCCCACCTTGGGAAACCACGTAATGTCAGGGTTGGAGAGGAAGCAGCGGAACATCTCCTAGTGTCAAGTGCTCAGTGCTGGACAGCGTTTTCTCATTTAGCCCTGAGGACAGCACCACGTTAACCCCAGAGTCAGGATTTGCACCCAGCTGTGTGGGCCACCAAAGGTTTGTGTGAAGCCAGTGTCTGAGTGCCCAGGTTTGAAGCCCACCTCCACCATTCTCTGGCTGCGTGACCTTGGGCAGGTCAGTTGTCTCCTGGGCCTCAGTTTCCTCTGACGTAGAATGGAGACAATAATAGCTGCCACTTCCTAAAGTTGTTGTGAGGATTAAGTGGATCTGTTGCAGATGAAGCGCTTGAGCAGGGCCTGCTGCTTAAGTGTTTGCTCTGGCCTTCCCTGCCGGGGTATGCAAATGAGCTGATCCAGGCCCAGGGAACTGCTGTGATCTCCCACTGCACTAGCACTCCTTCCTCATGGCTTTAGGCAACCACCAGAGGGGCAGAGGATGTTCCAACTGCCTCTGGGCTTTGGGATGGCCCCAAGGGGCTGGGAGACAGGGCACGGGTGGGGCTGGAGGGGACCATCCTCCTCCTTCTGATCTGGGCCCAGAGAGGCTGTATAGCGCTGGGCCCCCACTGCCTCCAGGGCAGCTTTTCTGGGTTTGTTAGGGTCCCCCACCATAGCCAGAAGGGGTTTACCTATCCATGAGCATAATTTGTGACTTTCTGAGCCAGGGCTCAAGGCCTTGCAGAGAGGAGACTTTTCCACCTTGGGAGCTCAGGTGCCTGCCAGCCCTGACCCTAGGTGTCTCCAGGAGGCACAATGGGGCCCACAGATAACACAGCTTAGTGGTAAAAAACGCAATCCCTAGATTCAGCTGGGTGACCTTGGACAAGGTGCTTAATCTCTCTGTGCCTCAGGTCCCTCATCTGTAAACAAGGGGGATGATATTAGTACTTGCCTCTTAGGGTCACTGTGAGGAGTAAGAGAATGAATGTAAAGTGCCATGAATGGCACCCAGTACCCATTAAGGGTTTGTTGTTCATATAAGTCCTCAAAGCCCTGAGCAGAAAGGGAAAGTTAGCCCCATCTTTACAGATGGAAAAACTGGAGGTGTATGGGTGAAGCTGTTTCCTCAAGATTCCGTAGCTGGGATTTAGGGAAGAGTCTGCCTCCCTTGATACCATTCACACATGGTCCACAAGCCAAGGCCAGTCAAATGGACCTGATGGGACCTCGCCTGAGCTCCAGGGCTAGATTTCCTGCCCCACGCTTCCACTTACACGGGGCCATGGCAGTGAGAACTGTGTCAGGGAGGAATCTGCAGCACTTGCCCCAGGCCTCCCCGAGAAACCTCTAAGCTTCCCCCACCCCCTCCTCAGCCCCACTCCAAGAACAGTGTGCGATGCTGCCACAGCTGGCCTCGGAGTTTCTGAGTCTGATCGGGTCAGGTTGACACTGTCACTTTTCACTTCTCCAGGCCAGGTTGGCTTCAGGAAGGGTTTGTTCAGGTTTGGGGTTTGGAGTGCATCCCACTTGGAGTGGAAGCCAGGTCCCCGCCATGGCCTCGGAGGCCCTGAATGACAACAGCCATCCCTTCTCACCTCTGCTCTCATCTCCTGCCCTTCACTCCCTTATCCCTGTGCACACAGCAGGTCCCACCTCTAGGCCTCCACACAGTGCCCTCTGCCAGGAGAGCCCGCCCACCACAATGCCTATGTGCATGCAGCCTTCTCCATGGGCTGGCCTCCCACCCACAATTCCCTTGCCTCTTTCCCGCTCTGCTGTTCCTTGAGGACTTCTCACTGCCTGACACACATCTCCTGCTCATCTTTGTCACTGTGTGCCTCCAAACTAGAATATGAGCTCTTTGAGGGCAGGACAGTTTGTTTGGTTCACGAATGTATTCCAGACCCAAAAATAGTACCAAGTACATAGTAGGTGCTCAACAAATACTTATTGAATATTTTGGAGCCAGATAGATGATCTCTACGTGACTTCTTAGCTGTGTGACACAGGACACATCACTTAAGCTTCCTATCTCTCTTTTTTGTTTGTTTGTTTGTTTGTTTGTTTGAGATGGGATCTCACTCTGTTGCCTAGGCTGGAGTGCAGTGGCGTCATCACAGCTCATGGCACTTTTGGCCTTCCAGGCTCAAGTGATCCTCCCGCTTCAGCCTCCCGACTAGCTAGGACCACAGGCGCATGCCACCATGCCTGGCTCATTTTTTTTTTAATGTTTTATAGAAATGGGGTCTTGCTATGTTGCCCAGGCTCATCTTGAATTCCTAGGCTCAAGCCATCTGCCTGTGTTAGCCTCCCAAAGTGCTTGGATTGCAGGCTTGAGCCGCTGTGCCTGGCCAAGCTTCCTATCTCAGAGTCTCAGTTTCCTGAACTGTAAAGGATGTAAGGGGATTAATAATAGCTTCTCCTGAGATTGTCATGAAGTTGAAATGAGTCAATATATATACAGTGCTTATACTTTCAGTGGCTCATAAATGTTGGCTATTACTAATAGTACCCTAAACTGCACTGTTATTTTATTATTTCACTTTACTGAGGATGGGGAAATGGGGAGACGGTAAGTGGCAGATCCAAAGCTTCCAGGCTAGAAATGGCGGTGAAAGCCTGAACCTGGACCGCAGGCTCCTAGGCTGGGCTGTCTTCAGTCCATCCCGGTGTAGGAGCTCAGGGAGGCAAAGGAGGTGAAGGATGCAGCTGGAGAAGGGCCCATCTCTTCTGGGGCCTCTGTTCACCCAGCCATCTCACCAGAGACCACCACTTGTCCACTGGTAGACATTCAGCCCAGTCCCCTTGCCTGTCAGCCAGTGGTGGGCACCTACTGTGCCCAGCATCCTGCACTCCTGTTGATACCCCTGAGTGCTGGGCCACCTGCCTCACCCAGGCAGCCAGGCTGGGAAGACCTCCCCAGCTTATCCCACACCCCTGGGGGCTGCCCCGGGCCCTGCACCCTCCAGTAGCCAGGAGGATAGGACCCAGGACCCCTGCCTTTCACAGTGCCTCACTGGGGAGGGCAGGAGAGGCTGGAGAGCCTGTTCCAGCTCTGGGCACCAGCTGCAGGAAGGCAGCGTCACAAGCTATTAATAGCCACCAAAGATGTGCCCCGAGAAGGGGCGGACTGTGCACCAGCTGGGAGGGGAGGCTGAGGCAGAGGCCGGAGCCAAATAGGAGTTCACAGCCCCGGGAACCCCAGACTGCCCCTGGTGGGGAGGGCAGTGAGGAAGAATGTCCAAGTGTCTGCAGCTTGATCTCAGGAAAGTCTGGACTCTTCCTCCCAGGCTCCTCATGTGGGAAGTGGAGGAGCGGGGTCAGGGGATCCCTACAGTGCCTTCTGCCTCAAGTGGGTTCAGGGGTGAGATTCAGCATAGCCAAATGGCCTCCATCTACAGAACAGAAAACCAAGGCACAGTGAGAGGAAGGCCTTCCCCAGGCTCACCTGCAGAGTCAACGACAGATCCAAGGTCCAGGCCCCTCTGACCAGCAACTTCTTACTGACACCCACTTTGTGCCCCATCCTGTTAAATGAGCATTCTCAGCCCCATTTTACTGATGGGCAAACTGAGGCTTAGGCAGGTGGCACAAACTGCCCAAGGTCACACAGCTAAAAAGGGATGGAGCCAGGATTTATACCCCGAAGGGAAGACAAGGAGGGGATTTGAGAATATACTCCTCCTCCTTCTCTTTGTGAGCCAAAACAGAAAGCTTGCTGGGGTCTGTATTTGTGTTGAGGACCAAGGGGAGGGAGAGGCCTTATCTAGAGGCTTGTGGGCTCCCAGGAGCCCTGTCCCTGCTGTTGTGTGTAGAAGTATGCATGTGCTACATGGGACATTTTTCAGGGAAGAAGGTCCTGAGCCTCATGGTGCCCCGTGAAGGCAGAACTAGTAGCTTACCTCATTTCACCCACTGGAAAACTGGAGAGAAGGAGGGGCTGGCCAGGGATGACCAGGGCTCCCTGGGACCAACAGCAGAGGCCAGAGTCTTTCCAAGAACCTCACTAGCCTGGCTTGGTGGCCCCCACCCTCTGGCAGTGAATAGGAGATTCCACAAGTGAACAGACTTCTGCACTGGAGTAAACAAAGGTGAAGGTCGGGGACATCCTTCAGGGAAGGTGTTACAAGGCAGAGAGCCAGGCTGGTACATCCACCTCGGGACATAGAGGGAGGCCTCCACTCTGGGCAGGGTGTGAAGGGGGCTCCCAGATTCCTCCCCTGCTTCTTGAGCACAGACTGGCCTGCTGTGGGAATTCAGGGGGCAGTTGTTCTCCTCTGGCCCTTCTCTGGGGGTGCAGGCAGGTGGGCGGGCAGGTGCCACCCCTCCCTGGCACTTTCCTCTGGCACTGTCTGGTCTCTTGGTTCCTTTTACTCCCCAGACCCAACTGGATTGTACCCGGTAGGAATTTTCATGCCTACGCTACCCCTTTTCACCCAGTTCCTGCCATTCTCCTCAGAGGTTAATTCATTTATTCAACAAACATTTACTAAGTGCCTTCTATACTCCAGGCACATGTTAGCAGCTGGAGGATACAGCAGTGAACAAGACCAGACAGCAAAATTCCTGCCCTCCAGCTGCTTAAGTTCTAGTGAGGAAAAGAGACAGTCATAATAGATGTCAGAAGTTGGTACATTATATAATACATGAGAAAGTGATACATCCTACCAGGAAAAAATAGAGCAGGGCATGGGGGGGGGTCAGGAGTGCAGTAGGGCAATCCTGGTTGAGAAGGTGTCATTTTGTCATTTGAACAGAACTTGTAGGGAATGAGCTGTGCTGTGGATATCTAGGGGAAGGCAGAAGGACTTGCCCCCAGACAGGGGGCTGGCATGTTCAGGGAACAGTGGGGGGACCAGCGTGTTGAGCAGAGGGAGGCAGAATATGGGGGGGAGATGGGCCAAAGGGTAAATGGAGGGCCATGGTAAGGGCTTTGGAACACAATGAGAGCCAGTAGAGGCTGCTGAGCCTGGGGGTAAGGGAATGCTCCTTGGCAGCTGTGTTGAGAGGGCTTGGAGGCAGGGACCAGTTAGTAAGTTGCTGTGGTAGCTGAGAGGTGACTGATGATGGCTCAGAGAGGTGGGAGTGAGTGGAGAGTGACCAGGTTGGGTGCTGAGGTGGCTAAGCACCTTGCTAATGTCTAGTGTTGATTCTAGAGTTATTTTATGCAAATACAAATGAGAAACCTGTTCTTACTTCTCACTATTTCTTTTTTCTTTTTCTTTTCTTTTCTTTTCTTTTTTTTTTTTTTTTTTTTTTTTTGAGACAGGGTCTTGCTCTGTTACCCAGACTGGAGTGCAGTGGTGCAATCATAGCTCACTGCAGCCTCGAATTCCTGAGTTCAAGAAACCCTCCCACTTCAGTCTCCTGAGTAGCTGGAACTACAGGCATATGCCACCACTCCTGCCTGCTTTTCAAAAAAAAATTTGTAGAGATGGGATTTCACCATGTTGCCCAGGCTGGTCTCAAACTCCTGGGCTCAAGAGATCCTCCCTTGTTGGCCTCCCAAAGTGCTGGGATTATAGGCATGAGCTACCACACCCACTACTTTCCCCCATTGCAAGGTAGCATATTAACTACCTGGGACTGTCTGGCCATGTCCCAAAGTGACACTGAGGCCCAGAGAGGGTGAGGGAGCTAGTGACAACTGCTGTGTTTCACCAAGAAGCAGCCCCTTCCTACGTGGCTGGGAGAGGTTCAGTGCCACAGCTCTGTGGGGTGGGATGGGGGGTGTTGGGCACTCTCCAGAAATTCCAAACTCACTCACCCTCTAACCTAGCAAGCCTATTTCTAGACTTTATCATACGGACTCACCTGCACATGGCAAAATGACTTCTGTACAAGGCTACTCATTGTTTATAGTAATAGCAAAAGGTTAGCCACGACCCAAGTGTCTGTCATTCAGAGTTTGGTCAAATGAATGGCAGTACATCCATATATGCCTTTCCAGCGCTGGGGGCCTGGGTTCCAGTTCTGCGGCATTTCCTCCGTGCCTGGCTCCCTATCCTCCTGGAACCTCCCCCAGCCTCGCACTTAATGCTGGACAGGCCTTGGTGCTGTCCACGCCTGTGGTGCTGAAGACACTGGAGCTGGAGAGAGGCCTGGCGCTGCGAACCAGAGACCAAGAATAGAGAAGGGGAGATAGAGCAGTGGGACGTTCAGGGTTCAGTCCCTGGCTCTGCCACTCAGGAGCTGAGTGACTTTGGGCAAGTTGCTTAACCCCTTTGATCCTCAGTGTCCTTATCTGTAAAATGGGGCTGCCATGAAGATTGATTGACAGCAGCAATGTAAAGTCTCAGCACACTGAGAAAATAAATGGTAATTTTTTTGTTTGTTTGTTTTTTTGTTTTTTTTTGAGACGGAGTCTTGCTCTGTCGCCCAGGCTGGAGTGCAGTGGCACAATCTCGGCTCACTGCAAGCTCCGCCTCCTGGGTTCATGCCATTCTCCTGCCTCAGCCTCCCGAGTAGCTGGGACTACAGGTGCCCGCCACCACGCCCAGCTAATTTTTTTGTATTTTTAGTAGAGATGGGGTTTCACCGTGTTAGCCAGGATGGTCTCGATCTCCTGACCTCGTGATCCGCCCGCCTCTGCCTCCCAAAGTGCTGGGATTACAAGCGTGAGCCACCGCGCACGGCAGCGGTAATTTTTTTTTTCTTGAGACGGTGTCTCACTCTGTTACCCAGACTGGGGTGCAGTGGCACCATCCCAGCTCACTACAATCTCCACCTCCCGGGTTCAAGTGATCCTCCCACCTCAGCAGCCATATGGTGGAACTTCAGGCCCTGAGCACCTCTGACCTCTCTCACCTGCTTCACTTTACTTCTCTGTAAGGCAAGGGGACCAGAGCTGAATTCCCTTAGCCTGCAGGACCAAGCCCACTCTCTGCACCTCCATATGACCCCTCACCTGCCTCAAGGTTTCTCCCCGCCAGATCTTTCTTTCTTTCTTTTCTTTTTTTAGAGATGGAGTTTTGCTCTTGTTGCCCAGGCTGGAGTGCAATGGTGCATCTCAGCTCACTGCAACCTCCACCTCCCAGGTTCAAGTGTTTCTTGTGCCTCAGCTTCCCAAGTAGCTGGGATTACAGGTGTGTGCTACCACACCTGGCTAATTTTGTACTTTTAGTAGAGACAGGGTTTCACCGTGTTGGTCAGGCTGGTCTCAAACTCCTGACCTCAGGTGATCCGCCTGCCTCGGCCTCCCAAAGTGCTGGGATTACAGGTGTGAGCCACCGCACCTGGCCCCAATCTGTCTCTCTTTCTTTGTTTCTTTTTTTTTTTTTTTAGAGAGACTTTCTCTGTCGTCCAGGCTGGAGTGCAGTGGTGCAATCTTGGCTTACTGCTACCTCTGCCTCCTGGGTTCAAGTGATTCTCCTGCCTCAGCCTCCCGAGTAGCTGGGATTACAGGCGCCTGCCACCACACCTGGCTACTTTTTGTATTTTAGTAGAGACCATGTTTCAACATGTTCCACCATGTTGGCCAGGCTGGCCTTGAATTCCTGACCTCAAGTGATCCACCCGCCTCAGCCTCCCAAAGTGCTGGGATTACAGGCATGAGCTACCGCACCCAGCCCTGATCTTTCTTATATACGTAGTCAGATAAACTGTCTTAAAACCAGATTTGACCCAATCCTTGCCTTGCTTACATATTTTCAGTGGATTCTTGAATGGGCATGTGGTGTTTTCTGTTCCACATCAGTTTCTCTTCCTTACAGTAATGGCCCTCTCTCTGCCCGTGAAGTTTGGAAGGGATGTCTCCACCATGGTTTTGCAGGGAGGGCCTGGCCAATAAGCAGATCGATCCCATCTGCTAGGTCACTGTGACTTGTTCAGAGATGAACAAGTAACCAAAGGTGACCCACCGAGATCTAGCCCCAGGACTGTTGCTGTAGCCATCAGGAAAGAGGGACCCTCTCACCCTGGGCTGCAAAGCTGCAGGACACAGCTGTGCCGCTGCTGTGGGCCGGCTTTTCCATCATGGGGGAAGGGGAGAGCCCGCTTGAGAATAAAGCAATAAAGATATAAGCAGAGAGGAGAGAAAGGTGGAGAGATTTCCGATGACTTTGAGTTCTGGGGCCAAGCATGCCTAAAGCCAATTATACTCTTGAACATTTGTTTCATGAATCAATATACTTCCTTTTTGGCTTAATTCAGCTGGTTTGAGTTGAGTTTATGTAACTTGCAAGCTATTCGGGCTCAGGCACTGTGCGGGGTGTTGGCATGGGGTGCCTATGTTAGAGCAATGCAACAGACAAGTGGGAATGAGCCCACAAATCAGAGAGGCAGATAAAATATGGACACAGATAACCATGAGGCCAGGGCAATGGTCAGGGCTCCAACATTTCCAAGGAGGGCCCTGGCAGTAGGGATCTGGGCGGCTTCCTAAATCAGGAGGTGGCACCTGAATAGGCCTTGAAGGGGATTAACAACCCAGCAAGAAACCGAAGAGCTCCTTGAAAGCAAGCCCTGTGCCTTCCTCATCTCACTATTCCCAGCACTTAGCCAGGGTGTGACAAACGCTGGGTGAATAATTCTCTACGTGTTTGGGAAATTGTAACTTTTTATACTTGGCTTTCCTGAATGTGACCCTGTAGGCACATAGCTATTTTCCCAAGGGCCTGTGCAAAGTATCATTAGCCCCATTTTACAGGCACAGAGACTGATGGCCAGAGAGGAACAGTGATTTGCCGAAAGTTACGTAGGAAGTCAGTGGCAGGGCTGGGCTAGAAGCCAGGGCATCTGCAGGGCAAGGTGCTCTCTCCCTCCAGCAGCCCCAGCCCCAGCCCCAGCCCCAGCCCCAGCACAGTGCAGTACAGATGGGGGTGGCTGTGAGTAACAGCGGCCGCTGTGAACAGAGAGGCTGGGGGTGCTAGAAGAGGTTGATGATGCCAACGGGGAGGAGAGTGATGATAAATAGCCGACACTCAGGGAACCCCTGTCATGTACCAAGCGCCTCATGTAAATGAACTCATCTAATCCCCACAATGTCCTATGACACAGAGACTTATTAACCCCAATACACAGATGTGGAAACTGAGGCACAGAGTGGTCATGTCATTTGTTCAAAATCATCCATCCAATAGGCGGCAGAGCCAAGATTCAAATCCAGGCACCATCACTCCAGTGTCCAAAAGCTTAACCACTATGCTTCGCTGTCTCTAAAATGACAGAGTAAAAATTACCATTTATTGGCTGGATGTGGTGGCTCACACCTGAAATCCCAGCACTTTGGGAGGCCAAGATGGGTGGATCACTTGAGGTCAGGAGTTAGAGACCAGCCTGGCCAGCATGGTGAAACCTCATCTCTACTAAAAATACAAAAATTAGCCGGGCGTGGTGGCTCACGCCTGTAGTCCCAGCTACTCGGGAGGCTGAGGCAGGAGAATCGCTTGAACCCGGGAGACAGAGGTTGCAGTGAGCTGAGATTATGCCACTGCACTCCAGCCTGGGCAACAGAGTGAGACTCAGTCTCAAAAAAAAAAAAAAAAAGAAGAAAGAAAGAAAAGAAAAAATAAATAAATAAATTTCAAGATGCGTTTTGGAGGGGACATTAAAACCGTAGCAATATCTCTTCCTGTAAAATGGGGATAGCGACGGTAGCACCCACCTCCCAGGGTTGCTGTGCTTATCATCTAATAGATTTAATCCACAGTGGTTAGCACAGTGCCTGGCATATAGTAAATGCTCAGGAAATATTTGCCAGCATAATTATTCTCCCACAGAGCAGGATAGGAACAAGCCGTCTTCTCTTTACAGGCTGGTCACTCTCCACCTACTTCTGTAACTGGGTCCTTGTCACTTGGTGCCCAGTATTGTCACTGTCCTGGTTAACCTCCTCTGGCCACATTCCAGGGAGGTGGACACGCTGAGGTTCAAATCTAATCTCTCTGGTTTGTTTGTTTTGAGACAGAGTCTCGCTGTCACCCAGGCTGGAGTGCAATGGCACAATCTCAGCTCACTGCCAGCTCCACCTCCCGGGTTCGTGCAATTCTCCTGCCTCAGCCCTCTAAATATCTAGGATTACAGGTGCCCACCACCACACCTGGCTAATTTTTGCATTTTTAGTAGAGATGGGGTTTCACCATGTTGTCCAGGCTGGTCTCAAACTCCTGATCTCAAGTGATCTGCCTGCCTCAGCCTCCCAAATTGCTGGGATTACAGGTGTGAGCCACCATGCTTGGGCTTTTTTTTTTTTTTTTTTTTTTTTTTTTTTTTTTGAGACAGGGTCTCACTCTGTTGAGACCTCCCAGGCTTAAGCGATCCTTTCACCTCAGCCTCCCAAGTATCTGGGACTATAGGCATGTGCCACCATGCCCAGCTAATTTTTTTGTTTCTTTGTAGATAGAGATGGAGGTCTTGCTATGTTACCCAGATGGTCTTGAACTCCTGGGCTCAAGCAACCCACCTGCCTTGGCCTCCCAATCCAACTGCTGGGATTACAGGCACAAGCTATCGTGCCTGGCGTTCTTTGGGGTGTGTGTGTGTGTGTGTGTGTGTGTGTGTGTGTGTGTGTTTGTTTTGTTTTTAATTGATAGAGATGGGGTCCTCACTCTGTTGTCCAGGCTGGAATACAGTGGTGTGATCATGTCTCACTGCAGCCTCGAACTCCTGACCTCAAGCAATCCTCCCACCTCGGCCTCCCAAAGTGGTGGGACTACAGGTGCCATCACATGCAGCCCCAGATCTGAGCTCTTCTGCTTACTTGCTGCATAACCCTTGAATTGGGGTAGTGCCAGCTGCTGTAACAAACAAGCCCCCATATCCCAGCAGCCAAACATGATCGAAGTTTCCCAGTGGCTCCCACAACAATGCAGACGGGCAATCCTCCACAGCAGGAGGCTTTCCACACAGTGACCTGGGGACCCAGGTGCTTCTTCTCTTGTGGCTCCACCATCTTCTGGGGTTTTGGAGTCCTCTGCATCAAACCAGCTGCAGAAGAAGAGAGTGCAGATAAACCTTCCCCGATCCTTTGAAGCCCCAGGCTGACAGCGACACACATACCACTTCTGTGCACATTCCAGTGGGGAGCCAGTCACATGGCTGGCCTGGATGCAAGGGAGGCAACGTGGTTCCCTGCTGGATGGCCGCTCTCCAGCCCGACTTTGTAGTATAGGAGAGGACACACGCGTTGCTGAGGGACAGGTGGCTGTCTGTGTCATAACTATGGGCGGATCATCCACCTCTTGGGCCTCTTTTGTTGTCTGTTAAATAGAAGGCATCACTCAGTTGTGGCGATGACTGCACAGCCCTTTACGTTTACTCAAATCATTCAATTGTGCACTCCATGGGAGTTAGGTGGTATATAAGTTCTACCTCAATTAAGCTATTTTTTCAAAATAGGAATTCAAGCTGGACGTGGTGGCGCATGCCTGTGGTCCTAGCTACTCGGGAGGCTGAGGCAAGAGGATCATTTGAGCCTGGGGGTTCAAGACCAGCCTAGGCAAAATGGGGAAACCTTTTATTTTTTAAAAAAATAAAATAATAGGAAGCACCCCCCCTTCTCAGGGGTTTTGTGAGGACTCAATGAATGAAATTTTTCCAAGTTGGCCACACCATGTAGGTCTGTGTATACACGTGTGTCTGTGTGTGTGCGCATGTGTGCATGTGTGTCTGTGTGGATGCTTGTGCATCCGTGTGTGTGTTGGTGGGGAGAGCAACAAGGACTCCAAAGTAGGCCTGAGCCAGACGATGAGTTGGGTGTCGTTTCATAAGGGTGGTGCCAACGCTTGCCGACCGCCAGCAGGAAGTGGTGGGCGGCTCAGTCTTGCTTCTTGCTTGGGAAACCCTCCCCCACCACGGTGGCCCTCCCAGCTTGTGGCAGAGCCGTGACTACTGCCATGAAGTCGAGGGGGACCCCCACCCACCCTCAGCAACACAGATGGCAGATGGAGGCCTCCCTCAGGGCCGGTGAGGACACACCCTTGAGGCGTGAGGTGTGTGCGCCCTTCCTCCACCCTCTTGAGTGTGGGTGGATGCGGCGCTGACAGCCCGGCGTGAACAGAGGTCAGAGAGGCCTCCGCTGCCTGGTGCTGGCAAGTTCACAGCCATCACATCCACAGCTGCTCCTGCAAGTGGAGGCAGGGACGACCAATGACGAAATACTTTGAGGGTCGAGTTCCCACTGAGACTCGGCCCTCTTCTGGGCCTCAGTTTCCCCACCTGGCTGGGGAATCTGGGTGCGATGTTCCCAATATCCTGCCTTGGGAAAGCACAAGAGTGAAAGGTACCAGCTTTGGAGCCAATACCAATGCTAGCTGTGTGACCTTGGGCAAGTTGCCTGTTTCCTCATCTCAAAAGCCTGTGCTGCTGCTCACACCTGTAATCCCAGCACTTTGAGAGGCCAAGGCAGGAGGACTACTTGAGGCCAAGAATTGGAGACCAGCCAGGGCAGCATAGTGAGACCCTGTCTCTATTTTTTTTTAAGTGGAGCTAACAATAATGCCTACCTTGTATTTGTGAGGATTAAGTGCATTAGTCCTGAGAACGGCCAGGCAGGTGGTAAGTCCTGTGTGAATGTTGGTTCCATTATTATTGTTACTTGATTTCTTCATGGTAGGGATGGGGAAGCAGAGGCCCAGAGCAGTGGTGTGACTTGCTCAAGGTCACCCAGCAAAAAAGTGGCGCACATTAGGATCAAGGCCAAGCCTCAAGGCCCATTGCTCCCCCTGTGCCTCCGACGCCACGTGCGCCGGAACTGGGTCAGAGGCAGCATGTACCTGGCGGATGACGCAGAGGCAGGGATGGGTGCGTGGATTAATTCCTTGTCTCCTGCTGACACCTTGCGGAGAAAAGGCCTGAAGGGAGAGGGAGGTGTGGAAGGAGAAGAAGGAGGGAGGGGACAGTAGGGGGACTCCCAAAGCTGAGCCCTGGGAACCAGGAAAGGGATGCAGGAGAGGGGTGAATCCGATCCAGCCCCTGCCCCTGGGGAGCTCTTGGTTTGTTGATGGGCAGACAGGGACACAGCTGAGGTATTCAACAAGGGCCCTGAGAGAGGGACAGGCAGCCCCTGTGAATCTTGCTGTTCAGCAGAGACAGGAGTCAGCACGTGTGAGGGCAGCAGGGAAGTCTTCCTGGAGGAGTGAGACCTGGCGATGAGGAGGCACGGCAGGGAGGTGGAACAGGCAGGAGAGACTCTTCAGGAATTGAGGAGATAGAATAGAGGACACTAAAGCCTTAGAGAGGCCAGGGGTGGTGGCTTGGCAGGATCATCGCTTGAGGCTAGGAGTTTAAAAGCAGCCTGGGCAACATAGCGAGACCCCATCTCTAAACACAAAAAATAAAAAATTAGCTGTGCACCATGACGCACACCTGCAGTCCTAGCTACTCACAAGAAGGCTGAGATGGGAGGACTGCTTGAGCCCAGGAGTTCAAGGCTACAGTGAGCCATGATCTGCACTCCAGCCTGGGCAATAGAGCAAGATCCTATTTCTAAAAAAAAAAAAAAGAATTAAAGTAAATAAGTGCATTAAATAAAGCCATAGAGAGGCAGCGTGGGGTAGTGGTCAGAGCATGGGCTGAACCTGACAGTGGGGGGCACACATGGGGCCCAAACTGAGCCCACTGGACTGTGTCCCTGATCCAGCCCAGCCCTTCCCAGGGCAACTCTGAGGCAGACATGCCAGAGGGCAGAGATAAGCCAAGCATCCTGTCCCTGGGTGTGGGAGGCAGGGAGGGCTTGTAGCCACTGGTGGCCACCAATTAAGCTCCCAGAGTACACAGAACAGCCTGAGGTGGCCTTGCAGGGCCAAAGCCCAAGGCGGGAGGATTGCACACGTGTGGATGTGTGTGCTGTATGCACGTGGACCGCCCACCTCAGCAGCCCTTGGGGACTCCACACACGTCAGGAAAAGTAGGTCAGGGGAGCAGCCCAGCGTCTCCCTGTTGGGCGTGGGGAGGAGTTTGCGGCAAAGAGGGCTGCGTGCTCATCAGAGCCCCTGGGGGACAGCCCCACAGTCCACACAGAAAGGGCCCAAGGACGCGCAGGCCCCGGGGAGGCCTGCACAGAAGCAGCCTTGCCTCTCCCTGCTGGTGTTGCCGCGGTCACCTCGGTTTTCTAACTCGGAAGCCTCATCACCCCGTTGGTGGGTGGACATTTCACAGGGGTTGGAAGAGATTTTTTCCAAGCCTGAGACCAGGGAAAGACGATCACGCGGAGATGTCGCCCCATGTAAGCCCAGCTGGTGGCTGCGGGAAAGAGCCAGTGCTGTCCAGCCCAGAGCTGGGACTGCGTGGAGACATGGTGGCAAGTGGCATGTCTGCATTTGGATCAGCACACTAGAGTAGAGAGGAAGGGCATGTGGGACCGGGTTCTCTGGGCCTGGCACTGTTCCTACCTCTGGTGGAGGGGACTGTGGAATGAGCGAGGCCAGGGCACATGTTTAGGTGGAAATGAGCTAGGAAAGAAAAGACAGTTGCTGGAGAGGAAGTTCCTGTTGGAACAGGGGCAAGGAGGCCAAGTACAGTGGCTCAGGCCTGTAATCCCAGCACTTTGGGAGGCCGAGGCAGGAGGACTGTTTGAGCCCAGGAGTTCAAGACCAGCCTGGGCAACAAGGTGAGACCCCATCTCTACAAAAAATAAAATATGGGCCGGATGCGGTGGCTCACGCCTATAACCCCAGCACTTTGGGAGGCTGAGGCGGGCAGATCACCTGAGGTCGGGAGTTCGAGACCAGCCTGACCAACATGGAGAAACCCTGTCTCTACTAAAAATACAAAAATTAGGCATGGTGGCACATGCCTGTAATTGCAGCTACTCCAGAGGCTGAGGCAAAAGAATCGCTTGAACCCAGAAGGCAGAGGTTGCGGCGAGCCAAGATTGCACCAGGCAACAAGAGGGAAACTCTGTCTCAAAATAAAATAAATAAAATACGAAAAAAAATTATCTGGGCGTGGTGGCACGTGCCTGTGGCCCCACCTTCTCAGGAGGCTGAGGTGGGAGGATTGCTTGAACCCAGGAGCTGGAGGCTTCAGTGAGCCATGGGGGCACCACTGCACTCCAGCCTGGGCAACAGAGCGAGACCCTGTTTAAAAAAAATTTAATTTAATTTAAAAAACGACAGGAGGCTGGGTGCGGTGGTTCACACCTGTAATCCCAGCACTTTGGAGGATTGCTTGAGGTCAGGAATTCAAGACCAGCCTGGGCAACATGGTGAAACCCCATCTCTACAAAAAATACAAAAATTAGCCAGGTGTGGTGGCGTACACCTTGTGGTCCCAGCTACTCAGGAGGCTGAGATGGGAAGATTGCCAGAGTCCGGGATACAGAAGTTGCAGTGAACTGAGATCACGCCACTGCACTCCAGCCTGGGTGACAGAGCGATACCCTGTCTTAAAAAAAAAAAAAAAACATACTGACAGGGGAGATGAGCTGGTTCATGAATGGAGGGAGGCAGGAGGCTGGGAAGACAGGGATGGGAGCAGGCTGCAGGGCGGGGAGGGGAGGGTTCCTTCCTCCCCAGCCAGCTGAGAGGACGGTGCAGATGGAGCTCCGTTTGGGGCTGGGTGGGAGGCCAGGAAGTTCTCTCCTGATGTTCCTCCTCTCCGTGTGAAGTGGGAGGCTGGGTCGTGCCGAGAGTGAAGGGGAAGGCAGAGGAGGAGGAGAGGCTTGGGGCCTGGAAGGGAGCCGCTGGGCTGCGAGAGGATGCGGGGCTCATGGAGTGCTCACCCCCTCCCAGCCTCCAGCAATGCCCACCCGCCCGCCCACCCTTGCTCAGCCAGAGAGAAAGCCGGTGATGATGACGAGAACAACACAGCAAGCCTGGGCACCTATGGAGCACTTACTGCATGCCACATGCCAGGGCTTCACGCCTGTTAACTTACTTAACCCTCGCAAGAACGCATCGGGAGAAGGCACTGTTGTTGTTGTTGTTGTCGTTATTATTGTTATTATTATTATTATTATTATATTTAGATAGGGTCTCACTCTGTCATCCAGGCTGGAGTGCAGTGAAGTGATCATAGCTCACTGCAGCCTCGAATTCCTGGGTTCAAGCGATCCTTCTGCTTCAGCCTCCTGAGTAGCTGGGACCACAGGTGTGCACCACCACACCCAGCTAACTTTTTTTTTTTTTTTTTTTTTGTGGAGACAGGGTCTTGCTCAGGCCGGTCTCACACTCCTGGCCTCAAGCAATCCTCTCACCTTGGCCTCCCAGATTGCTGGGATCACAGACGTGAGCTACCTTGAGTGGCCCAACGCACTATTATTATATCCTTTGTATAGATGAGGAAACTGAGGCACAGAGAGAGGAAGTAACTTGCCCAAGGACATCCAGCTAGCAAGTGACAGAGTTGGGACTCAGACCCAGGCTGTCTGGCTCTACATCTGTGCCTTCTCCCAGAGGGAGCTGTGGTCATTGTTCTTCAGGGTGCAGGGGTGCTTAGGAGCAGGCTAGGGACACTGGAGTGACATGTCTGGGATTAGAGGGAGAAGGGGCCAGGTGCGGTGGCTCACGCCTGTAATCCCAGCACTTTGGGAAGCCCAGGCGATGGATCACCTGAGGTCAAGAGTTCGAGATCAGCCTGGCCAACATGGTGAAACCCCATCTCTACTAAACATGCAAAAATTAGCCAGATATGGTGGCGCACACCTGTAATCCCAGCTACTTGGGAGGCTGAGGTGGGAGAATTGTTTGAACCCAAGAGGCGGAGGTTGCAAAAAGCCAAGATCACACCACTGCACTCCAGCCCAGGTGACAAGAGAGAAACTCCGTCTCAAAAAAAAGGGAAAAAAGGGAGAAGGGAGTGCAGGGAGGGTAGAGGGAGGCTGCACCCGGAAGCAGTGCTCAGGGGCTGGAGGCTGGTGGCAGCTTCTAAAGGAGGCAGCCCTGGCCTCTCTTGCCAGTGCACACACAGATACATACTCATGTGTGCCTGCGCCTGGGAAAGGCTCATCCCCCATAGTCTACCTCTCTCCATTTACAGATGAGAAATGAATGCCCAGAGTGGTTGCCTGGAAGACCGGGGTTGGGGGGATGGGGTTTTAGAAAGGGGCAAAAGGAAACTTTGGGGTAATGGATGTGTTCGTGGTCTCGACGGCAGGGATGTATACATATGTCAGAATCATCACACTGTACACTTCAAATATGTGTAGTTTTTTGAACACCAAATATACCTCAATAAAACTAGAAAAATGACATGAGATAAGGGGAAATAAAGAAATGAAGGCCACGGATGGAGAGTTAGTTCACTGTCACCCACATGACAAGTCAGGTCTTAGCCCAAGTGGTGGCTCACGCTGTAGTCCCAGCACTTTGGGAGGCTAAGGTGGAAGGATCGCTTGATCTCAGGAGTTCGAGACCAGCCTGGAAAACATAGCAAGACCCCATCTCTCCAAAAAATTTAAACATCAGCCAGATGTGGTGGCGCATGCTTGCAGTCCCAGCTACTCAGGAGGCTGAGGCAGGAGGATCCCTTGAGCCCAGGAGTTCGAGGCTGCAGTGAGCTATGATCATCCTACTGCCCTTCAGCCTGGGCAACAGAGCAAGACCCTGTCTCAATACAAATACAGTTTTTTTTTTGAGACGGAGTCTTGTTCTGTCGCCCAGGCTGGAATGCAGTGGCACGATCTCTGCTCACTGCAGCCTCCACCTCCAGGGTTCAAGAAGTTCTCCTACCTCAGCCTCCCAAGTAGCTGGGATTACAGGCGTGCATCACCATGCCCAACTAATTTTTGTATTTTTAGTAGAGACAGGGTTCCGCCACATTGACCAGTCTGGTCTCGAACTCCTGACCTCAAGTGATCCGCCCACTCAGCCTCCCAAAGTGCTGGGATTACAGTTGTGAGCCACCATGCCCAGCCTAAATACAATTTTTGAAAAAGTCAGGTTGGCCAGGCGCAGTGTTCATTAGTCGGGTGGTGAGGTCGTCTGCAGTGGGGGAGGCACTGCCAGGCTGTGCTGATGTGTGGCCATGTGTATGGTGGGATGGTGTGGCCACATCTATACCATCCTGCCAGTTTGGCCTGAGACCACGTGGCCAAGGTATGTGATGATGCAATCATGGCCCTCAGACCTCTTCCCCACCCCCTACCTTATGGACAGCCATACCACTTTCGATCGTAATATACAACTGATGTGATCACTGTGTCTACTGCCCTTCTCCCCCTGGGGTGTAAGCCCCATGGTGGCAGGGAATCCTAGGTGTTTGTTCCATGCTGTGTCCTCCAGGCTTTGGAGAGCCCTGGGGAACAGCAGGTGCTTCGTCAGTACTTGTGAATAAGCTGGGCACAGTGGCTCATGCTGGTAATCCTAGTGCTTTGGGAGGCTGAGGTGGAAGGATCACTTGAGGCCAGGAGTTCTAGACCAGCCTGGGCAACATAAAGAGATGCCAACTCTACAAAAAAAAAATTAAAAATTAGGCATGATAGGTGCAGCAAACTACCATGGCACACGTTTACCTATGTAACAAGCCTGCACATCCTGCACATGTACCCCAGAACTAAAAATTAAAATAAATAAATAAAAATTAGCCAGGTGTGGTGGCACATGCCTGTAATCCAATCTACTCAGGAGGCTGAGATGGGAGGATAGCTTAAGCCTGGGAGGTCGAGGCTGCAGTGAGCTGTGATTGCGCCACTGCACTCCAGCCTGGGTGACAGAGCAAGACCCTGTCTCAGAAATAAAAATAACAACAAGCCGGGTGCAGTAGCTCATGCCTGTAATCCCAGCACTTTGGGAGGGCCAGGCAGAGGGATCACTTGAATCCAGGATTTCGAGACCAGCCTGGGCCACATAGTGGGACCCCCCTCTCTACAATCCAAATAAAACCAACGCTTCTGAATGGGAGTACCCGTGTGAACTCGGTATCTGGCTGTGTCTGTGTGACATAAACAGGGGCCTTGCCTGACACTGTGTGTGGGTGGCAGCATGAGGCAGAGGGGCTGGTGCCACCAAGCGCAGGGTCTGGCAGTGACTGGTCTTCGGGGAGCTGACTCAGGCCTGGCCCCTGAGGCTTTGGGGAAGGCGACGCGACCAAGATGCTTGTCGCCCCCTTGTGGTTATCTTGGGCCTGGCATCCGGGCCCATCCTCAAGTTTTCTGGGTTCTGGGGAGGGCAGAGGGGCTGGAGGAGGGGACCCTTGCCTGATGTCACACTTCATGCTCACCACCCCTACCCAACAGGGAGAAGATGAGCGTGGGCTGCCCAGAGCCTGAGCCGCCCCGCTCCCTGACCTGCTGTGGGCCGGGGACTGCCCCTGGGCCTGGTGCCGGTGTGCCCCTTCTCACTGAAGACATGCAGGCCCTGACTCTCCGCACACTGGCCGCCAGCGACGTCACCAAGCACTACGAACTAGTCCGGGAGCTGGGCAAAGGCACCTATGGGAAGGTTGACCTGGTGGTCTACAAGGGCACAGGTGAACAAGTGCAGGGTGGCAGGGCTGAGAGGTTGGGGTGGGGCAGGGCTGGGAGGTCAGGGTTGGGGGACATGACCTTGCAGCTGGGCCGGGGCTCTCTGGTGCTCTGTGGAAGCCAGGAGGCAGGGTCAGGGGCCAGATGTAGAGGATGAGGCCTGAGGCAGCCCAGGGGGAAAGAGACTGGGCAGATGGGGCAAGGGAGGAATCCGGGGCAGAGTGGCCAGGGTACAGGATGGGCTGCTGTGGGGCCATCTGGGGTGACTTTGAGACAGCCAAGGGGCTGTGCCAGGAGTGTCTGGGGAGGGCAGGGCTGCCGGCTGTGTCTGAGTATCACCAGCGTCTCAGGGATGTCTGGCCCCAGGAAGGTGGATGGAGAGTGAGGGTGGTTCCTCAGGAACAGGGTGCCACACTTAATGGGTGGTGGAAGGACCTGTGAGGTCAATATTGCAATCACCATCTCTCAGGTGAGGACAGGGAGACCTAGGCCAATTCAGCCACATAGCCAATGCCCTGCAGCTACAGAGGCTGTGAACCAAAACGAGACCCCAGGAGTCATCTCCAGAGCCTTGTCGCTTAGTCACTGAGCTTGATACCTCCCCCACACTGTAGGTCACAGCCGTGCCACCCAGCCAGCCAGGGGCTGGGGCTGTGTGAGCTCCCACAGCTGCACGCGCTTGGGTCCAGGGGCTTTGTGCTAACTGAGGGCAGCAGGAGGAGCACCTAACATGGGGTCACCTGAGCTTTGTTACTTGCTTGCTGTGTGACCTTGAGCAAGTGACTTCACCTCTCTGTGCTTCAGAGTCCTTCTCTGTAAAATAGGGTAACATTAGTGCACAACCCATACAATCATAATGAAGTGTGAGTTGTGAATGTGCAGTGCTGAAGGCAGGGCCTGCGATGTGTAAATGCTCCGTGGACACACATGTGTGCTCCACCCAGCTATGTACCAGATGGGCACAGATGCTTGCCCAGGCACAGAGTTGTGGACACATGCCTTGCAGTGTCTCATTTCTTATTCATTCATCCATTTAGCAAGACAGGAAGCTTAGGGAGACCCGTTCTAGATGGGGTAGGCTGACAAGATAAATAAGCATATGGCGGGCAGGACAAAATGAGAGAGGTGGAGGGCATCACAGGCCCCCTCGCCCCCTCCTCTTGGAGAGCTGCAGAGTGGGTGTAGAAGGCTCAGGTTGACCCTGCCTGCATGGCCTTGGGCAAGTCCTTTCCTCTCTCTGGGTCTGTTCCCATCCGTGAGATGAGGACAGTCATGCCTGCTGGGGACCCTGTTGCACCAGGGTCCAGAGACAGGCATGGGTGCATCCAGTGCGGAGGCACTGGGAGAGGGGGCTTCAACCCTGTTGCTGTTGCTCCCATCAGGCACAAAAATGGCACTGAAGTTTGTGAACAAGAGCAAAACCAAGCTGAAGAACTTCCTACGGGAGGTGAGCATCACCAACAGCCTCTCCTCCAGCCCCTTCATCATCAAGGTCTTTGACGTGGTCTTTGAGACAGAGGACTGCTACGTCTTTGCCCAGGAGTACGCACCTGCTGGGGACCTGTTTGACATCATCCCTCCCCAGGTACTCGGGATGGTGGCATAGGGTGGGGAAAGGGTCTTCAGGGTCCCAGAGTGTGAGAGTGGGAGTGGAGTCAGACCATTTAATTAACAAGTATTTACTGGGTGCCTGCTGTATGTCAGTTACCATTTGGGGAGGTGGGGATGTGCAGTAAGGAAGACAAAAGTCCCTGTTCTAGTGGGAAACTGACACTCCACAGCGGGCCAGATAATAACAGATGGAGATGAGTGCCTAAAAGGAGACAGTGAGAATGATGGGATGAAGTCACTGGGCCCTCCCCTGGGGCTACACAAGAGGAGAGGTGTCAGATCCACCTGGGAAGGGGCCCTCAGAGGAAGCGACCCTGGAACCGGGACGGTGGGGGAGGGTTCCAGGCACTAGCTTTAAATCTGCTCTGCCACTTGCTGGCTGAGTGATGAGACCTTCGGAGCAGGTCCTCCTTCTTTGCTGAGCACCTACTACATGCCAGAATCTGGAGACACAGATGCACGGACACAGCAGGGAACAGGACGGGAAGCTCAGGGAGCCCCGTTCTAGTTGGGGAAGACCGACGAGATAAGTATCTAGCAGGCAGGGCAAAATGACAGCAGGTGGAGGGCGCCGCGGACCCCCTCATCAACCTCCTGGAGAGCCGCGTGTCCCTCCTGGAGCCCCGATGTCCCCATAGGAGAAGCAGGCATGGTAGCCACTATGAGGATTGGATGAGACAGCGGGGGAAAGGGCGCTCAGCAGCATCCGGGCCGCGTCTGCGCGGTCGCCCCAGTTACTGGGGACAGGGTGGGAGGCGAAAACCGCCTTGCTAGAGAGGGAGCTGGAGGGGAGGGCGGCGGGGCGGGCGCTGGAGAGCTGGAAACAGCGCGGCTTCCCCCGGCCGCCCGCAGGTGGGGCTCCCTGAGGACACGGTGAAGCGCTGTGTGCAGCAGCTGGGCCTGGCGCTGGACTTCATGCACGGGCGGCAGCTGGTGCACCGCGACATCAAGCCCGAGAACGTGCTGCTGTTCGACCGCGAGTGCCGCCGCGTAAAGCTGGCCGACTTCGGCATGACGCGCCGCGTGGGCTGCCGCGTCAAGCGCGTGAGCGGCACCATCCCTTACACGGCGCCTGAGGTGTGCCAGGCGGGCCGCGCCGACGGGCTGGCGGTGGACACGGGCGTGGACGTGTGGGCCTTCGGCGTGCTCATCTTCTGCGTGCTCACCGGCAACTTCCCGTGGGAGGCGGCGTCGGGCGCCGACGCCTTCTTCGAGGAGTTCGTGCGCTGGCAGCGGGGCCGCCTGCCGGGGCTGCCTTCGCAGTGGCGCCGCTTCACCGAGCCCGCGCTGCGCATGTTCCAGCGCTTACTGGCCCTGGAGCCCGAGCGCCGCGGCCCAGCCAAGGAGGTGTTCCGCTTCCTCAAGCACGAGCTCACGTCCGAGCTGCGCCGCCGGCCCTCGCACCGCGCGCGCAAGCCCCCCGGGGACCGCCCGCCCGCCGCCGGGCCACTGCGCCTCGAGGCGCCTGGGCCGCTCAAGCGGACGGTGCTGACCGAGAGCGGCAGCGGCTCCCGGCCCGCGCCCCCCGCCGTCGGGTCGGTGCCCTTGCCCGTGCCGGTGCCGGTGCCAGTGCCCGTGCCGGTGCCTGTGCCCGAGCCCGGCCTAGCTCCCCAGGGGCCCCCCGGCCGGACCGACGGCCGCGCGGACAAGAGCAAAGGGCAGGTGGTGCTGGCCACGGCCATCGAGATCTGCGTCTGAGTCGCCTCCGCCGCCCTCGGACCCGGGAGCAGCCCGGGCCCGCCCCGAGCCGGTGCCCGGTGCGGCGGTAGGGAATGGAGCCACCTCGCCGCGGGGCAGGGGGCGCAGCGGTAGACTAGGCAGGACGCGGCCCGGCACCTGGTCCGTCCCCGGCGGGCTGGTGAGGGGGCCACCAAAGACCCCTAGCGCGGCCTGGTGAGCGGGGGCTTGGCCCAGAGGAGCCAAGCCGCACAGACCCGAGAATTCGGAGGCCACCACACAACACACACACACACACACACACACACACACACACACACACACACACACACACACACGCCAGGAGCAAGGGAGCTTTCGGGCCACACTCCCAGACGCCTCCCTGAGCCCTGGAACCCGGACTCGTTGCTCCTGGCCTTCCATACCCCCTGGCAGATCATCCTGCGGTCCCACCCCAGATCCCCTCCTCCTCGCCATCCCATTCTGCCCCCTCCCCACCCTGGGTACAGAAAGGGACTGAAGTGTTGGGCAGAGAGGGGGCTTAAGGCCCCTGGGCACAGGCTGGGATCAGGGCAGTGAGCGAAGGGCAGCTGTGTCCTGCCCTCCCTTCTGGAGGCTGGAGGGGAGAGGCCAAGCCCTTGGAAAATGTAGCAAATGTCTGGATGTCGCATAAGTGCGTGTATGTGCGGGACAGGCCCCGAGAAGCTAGTGACTCCTGCACACCCCCATTGCACAAATGAAATCACAGCCCAGGAGGGAGGGTAGCTTGGCACTGGCTGAGAAATAGAGCTCTCTCCCCGCCCCTCCCCCTAACCACAAGGGATTGTCCTGACAACTTGTGGGGATAGAAGGGCTCACAGGGCAGGGGTCTCAGCTGCCCCCATCCTTAGGGCAGGGGAGTTAGTGTGGAGCCGAGAGCAGGTCCCAGCTCCCCCTGCCAGCCGCACTGTCCCAGGCCCAGGGACCTCTGCCGGGTCCTCCCAGCCCTTGCCACACAGCCTAGACGTAGTAGCCTGGGCTTCCAGCAGGTGGCGAGCTGGTTCGTGCTGGAAATTTCTCCTGGGTTTCTTGGGGTCAAACATGCCAACCTCCAAGACCCCATCCTCACGTCTCCCACTTTTCTGGCGCTGGAGTGTGCAGGGCGTAGGACCTGCATGTGTGGGTGTGAGAATGGGGGCGGTGGACACCAGGGGGCGAGTGTGTGACTAGGTGTGTGTGCACATGTGTAGGGTGCAGACGCATGGGTGCCATCCTTTGCGTTCAGTGACTGTGCGTCCAGACCCCTCACCAGCGGCCCCCCCACCACACCCTGGTCCTCCCAGGCAGCTGTCCCAGGGCGCCCAGGCCTGCCTTGCACCACAGCCCTCAGGAAATCCGGCAAGGAGGCCCCTGCAGGTTGGTTCAGGCCCCCAGGTAGCAAAACAGAGACAACAGCAGCCCCGCCTGACCCCCTGCCCCTCTCTGTGGAGGCCCGGGACCCCCGCAATAAGCACCACATGGGTGAGGCTGTCCCTGTCAGGGTCCCCTGCCAGGGTCCCTCCTGGGGTTCTGGGCCATTTGAGGGGCTCTTTGATGGGCCAGGCCGGCCAGAGTGAACTCCGAGCACTTTCTGGCTGGTGCCCCAACCTCTCCACTCCCCACTCATTCCCACCTTGAAAAAGGGCTATAGGTCCCCTGCCCTGCCCGGGTCCAGTTTACAAACAGTGTGGGGTGGCCCCAGGGCCTGGCCCCACTCTCCCTGCTGTGCCCACTCCTCTCCAGACTCCACCTCCCCAGTGGGTATGGGCCCTCCACATGCCAGGTAAGTAGCAAACCCCCACTCCCTCCAAGGACCAGGTCTCAGAGAAGGCCCTGGTCACTGCCCCCGGCCCACCTGGAGCCCATCGGGGCTGCCTCTCCCAGCCGCGACTTCTCCTTTTGCCTTAGGCCTCGCGACATCCTGATCTCTCCTGCAATAACTAGGAATCGAGATTCCACAGTAGACGTCCCTTGCCGTGCTCGCTCTCTCTCTCGCGCGCGCTCTCTCTCTCCCTCTCTCTCTCTCTCTCTCTCTCTCTCTCTCTCTCTCTCTCTCTCTCTCCTCTCTTTCTCTCTCTCCCTCTCTCTGTTAAGATCCTGTTCGGGAGTTTCCCCAGCCGTTGTAGTATCTAGTATGTTAGAGTTGGGAGGGGACCATAGTTATGTAGCCCAGCCCCCTCATTCCCAGAGGCACCCAGAGGGCCAGCCTCCAGCCTGACCCCAGAGCAGAACCGGAACACCAGGTTGGGGCCCTGGTGCTGCCACCTCCTCTGCTGGTCGGGCTGGGACCCTTTGCCCCTTAGGAGAGGTGTTGGTCACAGATGTTTACCTCAGTTTATGTCACTGTCGAAGAAACAAAAAATAATAGCAAAAAATAACACTGTAGACATGAAGACTTAGAAGACAAAAAAAAAAAAATCACACAAAAAATCTCCCTTGTTGCGATTCTTCTGTGAAGGTACAGTGTGTATGTGTGTATGTGTGTATGTGTGTGCGTGTCTCTGTCCCAGACCCTGTGTCCCCCACACTGCCCCCTGTCCTTCGGTGCTTCCCAGAGACCCCTCTGAGCTGGCCTGTGGGGCACGGGAAGCCCCCTGGATGGGAGGCGGGGCCACAGGTCGGCTAGAGGGTCTCCACCAGGCCCACTGAACAGAACCCCACGGCTGCCAGAATGTTCCCTGAGCCCACACTGTGGCCAGTGGGACAGTCCTGGTGGCTGACATCAGCGTCCATGCTTGGCTCAGGGCCTGGGGCGGGGTCCTGGGTAGAGTCCTAGCCCCAGAGCCCCAGCCCCTCATGTCTTGCCGCCCTTCCTCCATGTGTTTGTAAATACTCTGGCATCCTTTGGCCCTGAGAAGGTTTTTAAATGTGTTATTTACTTCTCTAAACATGACGATTGCTATAAAAATAAACAAAAGTTTAGAAAAATGACCACTGGGTGGCTGTCTTTTCTCAAGTTTGGGGTGGAGAGGGCGGTGGGGGTGGGGGCACACAGGTACTCTAGAAACTGAAAACTTGGGCTGGGCGGAGCGGCTCACATCTATAATCCCAGCACTTTGGGAGGCCGAGGCGGGCGGATCACCTGAGGTCAGGAGTTCAAGACTAGCCTGGCCAACATGGTGAAACCCCCATCTCTACTAAAAATATAAAATTAGCTGGGCGCGATGGCGCACGCCTGTACTCCCAGCTACTTGGGAGGCTGAGGCAGAAGAATCGCTTGAACCCGGTAGGTGGAGGTTGTAGTGAGCTGAGATCGCGCCATTGTACTCCAGCCTGGACAACAAGAGCAAAGTTCCATCTCAAAAAAAAAAAGAAAACTTGACCTTGACATAGGCTCTAGGCCTCCTGTGACCTCTCAGAACTTGAGCATGAGGGGAACAGGACCCAGATTCTGGGACAAGGGGTAGGCAGTTGTCCCTTGCCTGGAGTTCAGCTTGTAGCCCTTCAGCCTGGCCAGAAAAGAAGCAAAAGCCCAGAGGCAGACCAGTTCACCACTCAGCACCTTTTTACTGAGCACCTTTTGTGTACCAGGATTCCTCCTAGGGGCTGGGGACACAGCACTGAGCAGGACAGACAGGGCCCCTGCCCTTAGGCAGCTGGTGATCTAATGATGAAGGCAGACATTGCCCAAACAGCAGGCTGAGCTCAGTGAGAGCATGGAACTGGGAGACCCATCGAGTTTGGAGGAGCCCACAGACGCTCCCTGACGATGGGGCCAGAGCAGGGGACAGGAGAAAGCTGAAAGGGCCGGTTGTGGGTGTAGACTCCAGCAACAGTCAAGGCGGATGTTCTGAAGGAGGGGGAGCTTCAGTGGACTGTAGGGAGTTTCATGATTCAACACTCATTCAAACAAATATTTGCTAATTACCTACTCATGTCAACAGAGCAGTTCTGTTGGCTCTGCCTTCAAATACAGGCACATCCCAAGGCAGCAACTGCCCATTGCCTGCATTGCTGCCCCTGGACATGGCCTCCCTCCCTGGCCTAAGGCAGGAGCCTCTTCTGAGCCTCTGCAGGTTCTTCTTTTTTTTTTTTTTTCCCAAGAGTTGGGGTCTCGCTCTGTTGGCCAGGCTGGAGTACAATGACATAATCATAGCTTACTTGCAGCCTCGATCTCCTGGGCTCAAACAGTCCTCCCACCTCAGCTTCCCAAGTAGCTAGGACTACAGGCACATGCCATTGCTCTGGGCTATTTTATTTTTATTGTTACTTTTTGTAGAGACAGGGTCTCACTATGTTGCCCAGGCTGATCTCCAACTCCTGGACTCAAGTGATCCTCCTGCTTTGGCCTCCCAAAGTGCTAGAACTACAGGTATGAGCCACTATGCCCGGCCAGACAGATCCTTTTGATAAGATCTGTCACTATGTTCAGAACCCTACAATGGCTTCCTATTCCACCCAAAAATCAAAGCTGAAGTCCTTAGAGTGGTCTCCAAGGTCCCACGAGCTCTGAGAGGTCACAAGAGGCCTAGAGCCTATGTCAAGGTCAAGTTTCAAGCCCAGCACATTCCAGCCTCATCCCTACCATCCCCTGTACTGCCTGCCAAGCATGTGCTCACCTGGAAGCCTTAAACTTTGCCTTGTACTCTCCCAGGGATCCCTCCCGCCCTTCCTTCAGGGTCAGAGCAAACTTCCTGAGCCGTCTAGGTGGAGAGAAGCCCTCCTTAGCCTGCTTCACTGCACACTGAGCACTCGTCACCACCTGCAGGACCATGTATTTGTTTGTTACCCATCTCTCCCCCCTAGAATGGAAGTTCCATAAGAGCAGAGGCAGTGTTTGGCAAACTGCTACTTCCCTCCAGCCCCCACGCCTGGGACAGGGCCTGGTACGGTGATGGGAACTCCGTAACAACTTGTCAGACTAATGAATGCATGCCTGCTACTATTTTCGGGGCCAAGGAAACAGCAATAAACAAGACACACAATCCCTATCACATACCCTGAGACATACTCTTTTTTTCCTTTTTTCTTTTTCTTTCTTTTCTTTTTTTCTTTTTTTTTTTTTTTTTTGAGATGGAGTCTTGCTCTGTTGCCCAGGATAGAGTACAGTGGCGCAATCTTGGCTTACTGCAACCTCCAACCTCCTCCACCTCCCAGGTTCAAGCAATTCTCCTGCCTCAACCTCCTGAGTAGCTGGGATTACAGGCACATGCCACAATGCCCGGCTAATTTTTTTGTATTTTTAGTAAAGATGAGGTTTCACCATGTTGGCCAGGCTGGTCTTGAACTCCTGACCTCAAGTGATCCACCCGCCTCAGCCTCCCAAAGTGCTGGGATTACAGGCTTGAACCACCGTGCCCAGTCTTTTTTTTTTTTGAGATGGAGTCTCACTCTGTCACCCGGGCTGGAGTGCAGTGGTGCGATCTCGGCTCACTGCAACCTCCGCCTCCGGGTTCAAACCATTCTCCTGCCTCAGCCTCCCGAGTAGCTGGGATTACAGGCACCTCTACTAAACCCTATCTCTACTAAAAATACAAAAATTAGCCAGGCATGGTGGCATGAGCCTGTAGTCCCAGATACTCAGGAGGCTGAGACAGAAGAATTGCTTGAACCCAAGGAGGCAGAGGTTGCGGTGAGCCAAGATCGTGCCATTGCACTCCGGCCTAGGCTACAAGAGCGAAACTCCATCTCAGAAAAAAAGAAAGAAAAAGAAAGAAATACAGTGTGCAATAAATGTAACGTGCTTGAATCATCCTGAAACCATCCCTCCATCCCCATCTTCGCTTCACCCCACCCCACCCCACCCCTGGTCCGTGAAAAAATGGTCTTCCACAAAACCAGTCCCTGGTGCCAAAAAGCATGGTGACTGCTGTTCTAAAGAGCAAAACAGACATTCTATAAGTTACATAATTATATATGAAATGATGGGGTGGGGGCAGAAAGAAAAAGAGAGGGAGGGCAAAAAGAACAGCAAAAAGCCCTACCGGGGCAGAAAGGACTGCTACCCAACTATTTGATTTGGTATATGTTAAAGAAAAGCTCTGTCATTTCAAAATGTCTGCCGCTTCTCTGCCATGATAAGGGTGTCATCCACTTTAATGGATTGTTAGGGGATAGAGGAGAAATCTACAAAGCAAAAGAGCATCACTGGTTCCCCAGCTTGGTGGACAAACATCACCTCTTCAGATCCCCCACTTAGCCACAGAGTGGCGGGACTTGCCACTAGGGGGCCCAGGCTTTCGGCAGCCATGGCTTCTGTCTCCGCCATTCACTCATGTCACTGCTGAATTCACTTGGGCAATATCAGGCATCCTCCAGGCTACAAAGCTTTTGCCCTGCCGTGCCCATGGCTTGACTGGAAGGGCTTCTAATCTCACCCACACGCTGCAAGAGAACTAGCCCTGTCCCTGTAGCCCCTTCTATCCTTTAATTTAGCCTTGGTCGCCTCCCCTGATCATGGCACATTCCTTCTTGAGGGTGCTGGTACCCTGTCCATAGTCTTCCATCCAGACTAATCAGTCTATCAAAAAGGTTCCAATAACATTAAACTTCCGGCCAGGTGCGGTGGCTCATGCCTGTCATCCCAGCACTTCAGGAGGCCGAGGCGGGCAGATCACTTGAGGTCAGGAGTTCAAGAGCAGCCTGGCCAACATGGTGAAATCTCATCTCTAATAAAAATACAAAATTAGCCCAGCATGGTGGTGCATGCCTGTAATCCCAGCTACTCCGGAGGCTGGGACAAGAGAATCCCTTGAACCTGGGAGGCAGAGATCGTGGTGAGCTGAGATTGCACCATTGCACTCCAGCCTGGGCAACAAGAGTGAAACTCCGTCTCAAAAATAAAAAATAAAAAATAAAAAAAAACATTAAACTTCAAGTCCGGGTGCAGTGGCTCACACCCATAATCCCAGCACTTCAGGAAGCTGAGGGGGGTAGATCACTTGAGGTCAGGAGTTTGAGACCAGCCTGGCCAACATGGTGAAACCCCATCTCTACTAAAACTACAAAATTAGCAGGGCATAGTGGCAGGCACCTGTAATCCCAGCTACTGGGGAGGCTGAAGCAGGAGAATCACTTGAACCCAGGAGGTGGAGGTTGCAGTGAGCCGAGATCACACCATTGCATTCCAGCCTGGGTGATAGAGCAAAGCTCCATCTCAAAAAATTAAAATAAATAAAATAAAATAATATAATAAAATAAATTAAACTTCAGAAGGAAAGAGAGTTGTAGCCTTGATTCCTTTTTTCCCAAGACACTCCTTGAGGCCTATGCAAATTTTCCCAACTCCTCAGCAGTCACAGCTAAGCGGGCCAAAGCAAGGGCTAGTGGAAGGAGTGATCGCAGACCCCATGACACCCTTCACACAGAGCCATAGATGACTACTCAACTTACGGTCACGTCACCATGCGAGAGTCACCAAACAGCATCTCTCTCTCTGAAATGTCAACATCTATACACCCATCTAGTGTCTGGTTTAGGGTGGAAATGTGGGTGTAAGAAAAGTAATTTAGAGGTAATTACTGGCAGCTGAGGGGAGGAGACTGTTCCTCACCCAGCCTTGGGTTAGTGGAGATTTGGTGCAATGGACAAAAACAGAGGTTTTGATTTGGAGGCGAAGAAAGGGGACAATGGCTCCAGAGGCCAAGAGCAGAGAAGGACAGCCAGGAAGTGGGCTGAGCATGGTGGACTCAGGAGATGGGGAGCCCCATCTTGGGATGCCTCAGAGACATTGTGGAGGGGGCCTGGTTTTCCTTTTTGAACATTTTTTATTGTTAATTTATTAATTTATTTATTTTTTATTTTTATTATTATTTTTTGAGATGGAGTCTCACTCTGTCATCCAGGCTGGAGTGCAGTGGCATGATCTTGGCTCACTGCAACCTCCAACTCCCACATTCAAGCAATTCTTCTGCCTCAGCCTCCCGAGTATCTGGGACTACAGGTGCACGTCACCACACCCAGCTAATTTTTGTATTTTTAGTAGAGACGGGGTTTCACCATATTGGCCAGGCCGGTCTTGAACTCCTGACCTCGTGATCCACCTGCCTCGGCCTCTCAAAGTGCTGGGATTACAGGCATGAACCACCGCACCTGGCCCTTTGTTTTTTTTTCTTTGAGACAGAGTTTCACTCTTGTTGCCCAGGTTGGAGTGCAATGGCGCAATCTCAGCTCACCGCAACCTCCACCTCTTGGGTTCAAGCGATTCTCCTGCCTCAGCCTCTTGAGTAGCTGGAATTACAGGCATGTGCCACCATGCCCGGCTAATTTTATATTTTTGTAGTAGAGACGGGTTTCTCCATGTTTGTCAGGCTGGTCTCGAACTCCTGACCTCAGGTGATCTGCCCGCCTCAGCCTCCCAAAGTGCTTGGATTACAGGGGTGAGCCACCATGCCTGGCCTACAAACTGTTCTATCAGCAAGGTCTTTATGACCTGTATCTTGTGCCAACCTCCTGTCTCATCCTGTGACTTAGAATGCCTTAACCTCCTGGGAATGCAGCCAAGCAGGTCTTAGCCTTATTTTACCCAGCCCCTATTCAAGATAGAGTCGCTCAGGTTCAAATGCCTCTGACACTCCTGCCTCAGCCTTTCAGACAGCTGGGACTACAGGCACACACCACCAGGCCTGGCTAATGTCTTCATTTCTATTTTGTAGGGACAGGGTCTTGCTATGTTGCCCAGACTAGTCTCAAACTCCTGGCCTCAAGCCATCCTCCCACTACAGCCTTGTAGAGTGCTGGGATTACAGGCATGAGCCACCACGCCAAGCCTTGATTTTTCTTAGTATGTGGGCTCAAGTCATTCAATGTTGATGTTAAAGGAAAATGGGGCCGGGCACCGTGGCTCACACCTGTAATCCTAGCACTTTGGGAGGCCCAGGGGGGCGGATCACCTGAGGTCAGGAATTCAAGACCAGCCTGGCCAACATGTCAAAACCCCATCTCTGCTAAAAATACAAAAATTAGCTGAACACGTTGGCTCATGCCTGTCATCCCAGCACTTTGGGAGGCCGAGCTGGGTGGATCACTTGAGGTCAGGGGTTTGAGACCAGCCTGGCTAACATGTACTAAAACTACAAACATTAGCCGGGCACAGTGGTGGCTGCCTGTAATCCCAGCTACTCAGGAGGCTGAGACAGGAAAATCGCTTGAACCCGGGAGGCGGAGGTTGTAGTGAGCCAAGATCGCGCCACTGCACTCCAGCCTGGGCGACAATATAATAACAATTATTTTTTTTTTGACAGAGACAAAAAATAATAATGATACTTTTTTTAAAAAAAGGAAAATGGGAGGTGATTGTAGAAGGTAGAGGATTTGGAGTGATAGTTCATTACAATTGTAATAAGGACCACAAGATGCTAAGAGTAATGAGATGTAGCGGACGTCTGCTATTTTTGCCTGTTCAGCATCCACTCGTTCTGCTTTGTGTGATAGCACCCCAAGCTTCCTTTGACCCAGTCCTTCCTTCAGCGGAGGCCGACCCCACCCCTTCGCTCTGTGGGGTGGCCACATGACCCAGGTCTAGCCAATCAGCACATTCCATCCCCCAGCGGCAGCTGTGTGCCCCTAGCCCAAGCTAGGCTGCTCCTGGCCTTGTGTACCTATTAGGGGAAAATGTGTTCTCTTTTCACTGGAGTTGCTAAGCATGTGGGATGTAAGCCTGGACATGCTGGTGGCTGCCTTTGCCACCGCTTAGGGAGATTCTGGCCAGGCATGAAGCCGGCACAGAGTAAATGAAGCAGGGCCAGGAGATGAGGAGAGATGGATTCTGATTGCGTTATATGAGTACTAGGATCTGTGTCTGAAATCCAAATGGCTTTTTCTTTTCTTTTCTTTTCTTTTCTTTTCTTTTCTTTTCTTTTCTTTCTTTTTCGAAACGGAGCACACTCTGTCACCCAGGCTGGAGTGCAATGGCACGATCTCAGCTCACTACAACCTCTGCCTCCCGGGTTCAAGTGATTCTACTGCCTCAGCCTCCCGTGTAGCTGGGATTACAGGCGTGCACCAACACACCCGACTAATTTTTGTATTTTTAGTAAAGACAGGGTTTCACCATGTTGGCCAGGCTGGTCTTGCACTCCTGACCTCACGTGATCTGCCCCACCTTGGCCTCCCAAAGTGCTGGGATTACAGGTGTGAACCACTGCGCCCAGCCACAAGTGGCTTTTTCAATTACATGAGCCAACATATTCTCACAAGTCCATTTGAGTTTGGTGTCTGTTACTTGCAAATAAGGGAGTTCTGATTGGTTCCCAGTGAAACCTCATCTGTAAGACCTCTGAGCCACCAGTATCCACGGGGCTTGTCCTATAACAGCTCTTGTGCAATCCAGTAGCCTTGAACACTGGAAGCCACTGAGCCCTTCTGTGAGTAGATGCACACCTCTGAGGCTAAGATTACTGGTGTACTCATTGGGACCAGTTTGGTCTCAGTGACTGAAAACTCAACCCAAACTTGTTCATTTGGAAAGGAAAAGTCAACCAGGCACAGTGGCTCATGCCTGTAGTTCCAGCACTTTGGGAGGCTGAGGTGGACAGATCGCTTGAGCCCAGGAGTTCAAGACCAACCTGGGCAACATAGGAAAACCCTGCCTCTCCAAAAAAAAAAAAAAATTCTTTTTTTTCGAGACAGAGTCTCGCACTGTCGCCCAGGCTGGAGTGCAGTGGTGCAATCTTGGCTCACTGCAATCTCCGCCTCCCGGGCTCAAGCGATTCTCCTGCCTCAGCCTCCTGAGTAGCTGGACTACAGGCGTGCACCACCAGGGCCAGCCAATTTTTGTATTTTTAGTAGAGACAGGGTTTCACAATGTTGGCCAGGATGGTCTCGATTTCTTGACCTCGTGATCCGCCTGCCTCGGCTTCCCAAAGTGCCAGGATTACAGGCGTGAGCCACTGGTGCCTGGCCTCTACAAAAAATATTTTAAATTAGCAGGCATGATGGTGCATGCCTGTAGTCCCAAATGGGCAAAGTTGTTCTCTGATTGGCTGAGGTCTTTGTCACCTGCTCCACCCCTGAGCTGGAGCCCCACCCAAAGTAATTGACTGAAAGGGGGTGTTCTCCAGTGGGAAATTAGGTAAGGTGTACATTATTTGGCCCTAACTCTTCACCCTTCCCCCTACCCATGCCCTTAGCCATGTAATTTTGCAGTGCCCTCCTGTCACAGGCAGGATGACCTGATGCCTCTTTTTTCTTTTTTGAGATGGAGTCTCACTCTGTCGCCCAGGCTGGAGTGCAATGGTGCAATCTCAGCTCTCTGCAACCTCCACTTCCTGGGTTCAAGAGATTCTCCTGCCTCAGCCTCCCAAGTAGCTGGGATTACAGGCGCCTGCCACCACACCCAGCTAATTTTTGCATTTTTAGTAGAGAAAGGGTTTCGCCATGTTGGCCAGGCTGGTCTTGAACTCCTGACTTCAGGTGATCCTCCTCACCTGCCTTGCCTCCCAAAGTGCTGGGATTACAGGCATGAGCCACCACGCCCGGCCCTGCCTCTTGAGCTGGGGAGTTCAAGACCAGCCTGGGCAACATAATGAGATTTCAGCTCTATTAAAAATAATAATAATTAAACAAAAAAAAAGAATGGCCCTACCTTTCACTGGCAGGGAAGGGTGGAGGGCCCTCCTGTCATCTCCAAATCATAGTACTGTCCCCACCAGCCATAGCTGATCATTTTAGGAGTGGTTCCAAGGAGTCCCAAGCTGGGCCCATTACAGCCTCTCCTGGAGGGTTACAATTGGATGAGAAGCCAATCGATATCCTCTATAATTAAAAATATAAGAACTTAGGAGTCGTGGGGCAGCTGTGTTTAGTTGAAAGCCTAGAGAAGCAGAGAGAGTCCATGTGTTTGTTACTTACGGTAATGCTGGCTGCTGGAACAGATAAGCCCCGAAATCTCTGTGGCTTAACATCACAGAAGTTTATTACCTGCTCAGATAACAGTCTAAGGCAGATGTGCCACATGGAGATTCAGGGACTGCTACCTTGTGGTTCTGCTGTCTCTCGGCTGGTAGATAGCAAACAATGCAGACAGGAGAAGACAGATCCATGATCTTAACCATCTCAGCCCCAGACAGGGGACCGCGTCATTTCCACCCACCTTCCATCAGCAAGAACCAGTCACATGAGCACATCTAACAGCAATGAAGGCTGGGAAATACATGCCCAGGAAGGGAGGAATCAGTTTCTTTGCAGAGGAGAGAGGGAACAGAAGAGAGGGAAAGGGGGAAAATAGAGAGACGGAGGGAGAGAAAGAGAGAAGAACTAATGAGCACAGAACTAAGAAAGCCCAGGCACAGTGGCTCACATCAGTAATTCTAGGGCCTTGGGAGGCAAGACAAGAGAATCACTTGAGGCCATGAGTTCAAGGGCAGCCTAGGCAACATAGTGGGACCCTATCTCCACAAAAATAATAATATTATTATTATTAAATAAAATAAAAGGAAGAGACAGCCATGAAGATAACTAGCTGAGGCCAGGTACAGTGGCTCATGCCTATAATCCCAACACTTTGGGAGGTTGAGGTGGACAGATTGCTTGAGGTCAGAAGTTCCAGACCAGACTGACCAACATAGCAAAACCCCATCCCTACTAAAAATACAAAAATTAGCTGGGCGTGGTGGCAGGCACCTGTAGTCCCAGCTACTCGGGAGGCTGAGGCAGGAGAATCACCTGAACCTGGGAAGCGGAGGATGCAGTGAGCTGAGATCATGCCACTGCACTCCAGCCTGGGTGACAGAGCGAGACCCTGTCTCGAAAAAAAAAAAAATCACCTGGCTTGTTAAAACAGATTCCTGGACCCCACCCCAGAATTTGATTCAGGTTGGGAGTGAGGCCTGTGAAGTTGCATTTCTAGCAAATTCCCAGGTGATGCTCATGCCGCTGGTCCCAAACCACACTGTGAAGTGCCAGTTCCAGACTAGGAGACTCCAAAGAGACACTGGAGCCAACCACAATGTGCAAACCTGATTGGGTCCTGATTTGGAAATTAAACATCTTTAAAATGCATTCAGGGAATAATTGGGTTCATTTGAACGTGGACTCAATATTAGAAAATTTCTATTGATTTTCTTGGGTAGGGTGGTGACATGTGGCTGGCTATAAGGGAAGATGTCTTTATTTTTAGGAGATTCACATTGAAGTCATTATAGGGGTCAACTGACATGACATCTACAGCTAACTTTTATTTCATTTATTTATTATTATTATTATTTTAGAGACAGGGTCTTGCTCTGTCACCCAGGCTGGAGTGCAGTGGCATGATCGTAGCTCACTGCAGCCTCAAACTCCTGAGATCAAGCGATCCTCCTGCCTCAGCCTCTCCAATAGCTGGGACTACAGGCCCACACCACCATGCCTGGCTTACAACTAACTTTTAAATGTTGGCCAGGCGCAGTGGCTCACGCCTGAAATCCAAGCACTTTGGGAGGCCGAGGCAGGCGGATCACTTGAGGTCAGGAGTTCAAGACCAGCCTCGCCAACATGATGAAACCTCGTCTCTACAAAAAATACAAAAAATTAGCTGGGCATGGTGGCAGGTGCCTATAATTCCAGCTACTCAAGAGGCTGAGGCAGGAGGATCACTTGAACCCAGGAGGCGGAGGTTGCAGTGGGCCAAGATCATGCCACTGCACTCCAGCCTGAGCATTAGAGCGAGACTCCATCTCAAATAAATAAATTAATTAACATTTCAGCAAAATACACACATGCACACAGACAAAGAAAATATGACAAAATGGTAATTATTGAATTTCAGGATAGGTGTATGAGTGACAATTATACCACTTTTTCAACTCTTCTATGTTTAGATGCTTTAAATATTTAAAGCTAGGGGCTGGGTGCAGTAGCTCATGCTTGTACTCATCATATTTTGAGGGGCTGAGGTGGGAGCATAGCTTGAGCCCAGCAGTTCGAGGCTGCAGTGAGCTATGATCACACCACTGCACTCCGGGCTGGGCAGCAGAGCAAGACCCTGTCTCAAAAAAATATAAAATAAAATGAAATAAATCTGGGGAGCACGTGGGGGAGGGACTAGTGCATCACAGCCTAGTTGAACGAGCAGGAGACTGCCATGGGATGAGGCCAGGCCCAACTGTGTCAGTCCCTCTGGGTCATTCTAAGGACTTCGGATTCTATCCTGAATGCATGAGGAAACCCTTGAAGGCCTTAAGCAGAGAGTGACATGGTCTGATTTTCTTTTAAGCTGTAGCTTTGTTTTTGAGATGGGGTCTTGCTAAGTTGCCCAGGCTAGTCTCGAACTCCTGGGCTCAAGTGATTCTCCTGCCCCAGCCTCCCAAGTAGCTGAGATTACAGATAAGTGCCACCACGCCCAGCTAATTTTTGTATTTTTAGTAGAGACGGGGTTTCACCATGTTGGCCAGACTGGTCTCAAACTCCTGACCTCAAGTGATTCGCTCGCCTCAGCTTCCCAAAGTGCTGGGATGACAGGTGAGAGCCACTGTGCCCAGCCAATTGTACATTTTTAAATAACTCAAAGAGTGTAATTGAATTGTTTGTAACACAAAGGATAAATGCTTGATGTAATGGATCCCCATTTACCCTGATGTGATTATTATGCATTGCATGCCTGTATTAAAACACCTCATGCACCCCATACATATATATGCCTACTATCTACCCACAAAAATTAAAAAATGAAAACATTATCCTTTTGATGCTTGGCCACATGGAGGACACAGCAAATGGTTCATGGCCAAGCACAAGAGAGCCACTAATGTCTGCACCAGGAAGGGATAATTATCCAATTATAACCCAGAGGCAGCCTCTGGTGTCAATAGCTGATTGTTCTGAACAAGTCCAGATTCTATGCTTCCCCAAAGCTGTGTGAAATTTAAAAATTCATAATCATTGGCAAATGATAATCGTAATACAGATGCCAAGGCACTACCCAGACCAAGGAAATCCAATTCCCTTGGCACCAAGATCAAATCCAAGATCCCCAGGGGATTATTTATTTATTTATTTTGAGACGGATTCTGCTCTGTCACCCAGGCTGGAGTGCAGTGACGCAATCTCAGCTCACTGCAACCTCCACTTCTGGGTTCAAGCAGTTCTCCTGCCTCAGCCTCCTGAGTAGCTGGGATTACAGGCACCCGCCACCACGCCTGGCTAATTCTGTATTTCTAGTAGAGACGGAGTTTTAGCACGTTGGCTAGGCTAGTCTCGAACTCCTGGTCTCAGGTGATCTGCCCACCTAAGCCTCCCAAAGTGCTGGGATCACAGGCGTGAGCCACCACACCTGGCCCCAGGGGATTCTTGATTGCAGCCAGGCAGAGCCTGCAGTCCCAGGGTGGCGAGTTCCAGCAGACCTATGAAGGACTGGCTCCAGGGTCCCTGAGCACAAGGTTGCAAGGCCATGTTGTCACACTCTGGACCTCTTGTTTGTTTGTTTGTTTGTTTGTTTGTTTTTTGAGACGGAGTCTCGCTCTTTCGCCCAGGACGGACTGCAGTGGCATGATCTCGGCTCACTGCAAGCTCCGCCTCCCGGGTTCATGCCATTCTCATGCCTCAGCCTCTTGAGTAGCTGGGACTACAGGCGCCCGCCACCGCGCCCACCTAAATTTTTTGTATTTTTAGTAGAGACGGGGTTTCACCATGTTAGCCAGGATGGTCTCGATCTCCTGACCTCGTGATCCGCCTGTCTAAGCCTCCCAAAGTGCTGGGATTACAGACGTGAGCCACTGCGCCCAGCCAACAGATGAGTACAGTCTATCTGTTCGTGTGGCTATAAGAAAGTACCAGAGACTGGGTTATTTATAAAAAACGGAAATTTTGGCCAGGCACAGTGGCTCACGCCTTTAATCCCAGCATGCTGGGAGGCCAGGGCAGGTGGATCGTGTGACCTTAGGAGTTCGAGATCAGCCTGGGCAACATGACGAAACCCTATCTGTACAATGCCAAGAAAAAAAAAAAAAGCAGGGTGTGGTGGTGCATACCTGTAATCCCAGCTACTCGGGAGGCTGAGGTGGGAGAATCACTTGAACCCAGGAGGCAGAGGTTGCAGTGAGCCGAGATCGTGCCACTGCACTCCAGCCTAGGTGACAGAGACCCTGTCTCATACAAACAAACAAACAAAACCCAGAAATTTCTTTCTCACAGTTCTGGAGGCTAGGAAGGCCAAGATTAAGTTACCAGCAGGTTGGTATCTGGTGAGGGCATGGTGGCCATTTCCAATATGGCACCTTGCTGCTATGTCCTCCCGGGGGGACCAGTGCTGTGTCTTCAAGTGACAGAGGGATGTAAGGGCAATGAAAGGGCCTAGCTCATTCCCGCCAACCTTTTTATGAGGTTACTAATCCCATGCCCTCATGACTTAATGATGCCCCACCTCTTAATACTACCAGACTGGTGGTTAAGTTTTAACATATGAATCTTGGGGAACACATTCAGACCACAGCAGATATACTGTAGAAAAGAATAGTCCGTAAATTCCCCAGCAGTAACACTTCGCATATTTTGCCTCTTATTACTTGGAGTATACTGTGTTTCATATGGCTTTTTAAACTTTGTAAAAACTGCAGCAAGTGCCTGATTACTTAGGGCTTGTTTATCTAGTGACAGACTATTTAGTCCATTAATTTTGTGCTGTACAACAGGAAAGAGAGAGAAAGAAAATGACTTCTGAAGAGACTGAATCATCTTTATGTCCTCTATGGTAGTTGGCACTTGGTAGATATTAAATAAACAACAGGCTGGGCAAGACGGCTCATGCCTGTAATCCCAGTACTTTGGGAGGCTGAAGCAGGTGGATCACTTGAGCTCAGGAGTTCAAGACCAGCCTGGGCAACATGGTAAAATCCTATCTCTACAAAAACTATAAAAAGTAGTGGGATGTGGTGGCATGTGCCCATAGACCCAGCTACTTGGAAGGCTGAAGTGGGAGGATTGCTTGAGCCCAGGGGGTGGAAGTTGGACTGAGCCAAGGTCCAGCTCCAGCATGGGCCACAGAGGGAGACCCTGTCTCAAAACAAACAAACAAACAAATCTCTTTAACTCCCAAAATGGAAAGTTCTCCAAGATATATGTTAAGTGATTAAAAAAAAAAACAAAAAAAAAGGGCCAGCCTGGCATGCTGGCTCATGCCTGTAATCCCAGCACTTTGGGAGGCCGAGGAAGACAGATCACCTGACGTCAGGAGTTCGAGACTAGCCTGACCAACATGGGGAAACCCCGTCTCTACTAAAAATACAAAATTAGCCAGGTGCGGTGGCACATGCCTGTAATCCCAGCTACTCGGGAGGCTGAGGAGGAGAATCGCTTGAACCCAGGAGGCGGAGGCTGTGGTGAACCGAGATCGCACCACTGCACTCCAGCCTAGGCAACAAGAGCGAAACTCCATCTCAAAAAAAAAAAAAAAAAAAAAAGGAAACCGCATCTCTACTAACAATACAAAAATTAGCTGGGCAAGGAGCTAGGTGATTATAGTACCAGCTACTCAAGAGGCTGATGCAGGAGAATCACTAAACCGCATCTCTACTAAAAATACAAAACTTAGCCAGGCAAGGAGCCGGGTGACTATAGTGCCAGCTACTCAAGAGGCTGATGCAGGAGAATCACTTGAACCCGGGAGGCGGAGTTTGCAGTGAGTTGAGATTGCACCACTGCATTCCAACCTGGGCAACAGTGCGAGACCCTGTCTCAAAAGAAAAAAATAATATAAAGTGACCAGGTGTGGTGACACACCTGTTATCCCACCACTTTGGGTGGAAGCAGGAGGATCACTGGAGCCCAGGAGTTTGAAACCAGCCTAGGCAACATAGTGAGACCCTGTCTCTGTATTAAACACACACACACATGCACACACACACACACACACACACAAAGGCAGCCAGACTATGCACTAGGAACTGCCCTGGGAATCCCTTTGCATTCTCACAACAATCCCATTTCACAGATGAAGAAACCAAGGCACAGAAATATTAAGTAACGTGTCCAGGTGCGGTGGCTCACGCCTATAATCCCAGTACTTTGGGAGGCTGAGGCAGGCAGATCACGAGGTCAGGAGTTCGAGACCATCCTGGCCAACATGGTGAAACCCTGTCTCTACTAAAAATACAAAAATTAGCTGGATGTGGTGGCAGGTGCCTGTAATTCCAGCTACTCAGGAAGCTGAGGCAGGAGAATTGCTTGAACCCAGGAGGCGGAGGTTGCAGTGAGCCGAGATCACACCACTGCACTCCAGCCTGGGTGACAGAGCAAAACTCCTTCTGAAAAAAAAAAAAAAAAAGAAGAAGAAGAAGAAATATTAAGTAACTTGTCTGAGGCCACTTAGTTACCAAGACGTGGGAGCTGGGACTTGAACCCAGGCAGTCTGGCTGGATTCATGCCTGCAGCCTCTGCACTCCTGCTACTTACTGTGTGAGAAGCGCCTGTTCTGTGGAAGGTTGTGGGCTGAGATCTTTCCATGAGTTCCACTCATTTACCCCCCAAGGCTGTTCTTAAAGACGGGCATGACAGTTATGCCCATTTTACAGATGGGGCCCTGAGGCTCACAGGGGCATGCCACTCGCCCATTTCCACAAAGCTATAGCTCGTTAGCGGAGGGCAGAATTCGGCCGCCTCTCCCCTAGCTCGAAGGCTGTGATTGACACAGAGGTTTTTTTGTTGTTGTTGCTGTTGTTTGTTCCTTTTTCTTTTTTTTTTTTGAGACAGGGTCTTGCTCTGTCATCCCGGCTGGAGTGCAGTGGTGCGATCTCAGCTCACTGCAAACTCTGCCTCCAAGATGCAAATGATTCTCGTGCCTCAGCCTCCCAAGTAGCTGGAATTACAGGTGTGCACTACCACGCCCAGCTGTTTTTTGTAGAGATGGGGTTAGTAGAGATTTGTTTTATAGAGACGGGGTTTCACCATGGTCTCTACTAAACCCTGTCTCTACTAAAAATACAAAAATTACCCAGGCGTGGTGGCACATGCCTGTAGTCCCAGCTACTCAAGAGGCTGAGGCAGGAGAATCACTTGAACCTGGGAGGTGGAGGTTGCAGTGACCCAAAATCATGCACTCTAGCCTGGGGTCTCGCTTTTGCCCAGGTTAGAGTGCAGTGGCACAATCATAGTGGCTCACTGCAGCCTCAAACTCCTGGGCTGGAGGGAATCCTCCCACCTCAGCCTCCCAAGTAGCTAGGACTATAGGCATGTGCCATCCTGGCGAGTTAATTTTTTGTGTGTTTTTATTCTCTCGAGACAGAGTCTTGCTCTGTTGCTCAGGCTGGACTGCAATGGCGTGATCTTGGCTCACCGCAACCTCCACCTCCTGGGTTCAAGCAATTCTCCTACCTCAGCCTCCCGAGTAACTGGGATTACAGGTGCGTGCCACCATGCCTGGCTAATTTTGTATTTTTAGTAGAGACAGGGTTTCGCCATGTTGGTCAGACTGCTCTCGAACTCCTGACCTCGTGATCCACCTGCCTCGGCCTCTCAAAGTGTTGGGATTACAGGCATGAGCCACTGAGCCTGGCCTGGTGAGCTAATTTTTAAATTTGTTATAGAGACAAGAGTCTCTCTTATGTTGCCCAGGCTGGTCTCGACCCCCTGGCCTCAAGTGATCCTCCCACCTCAGCCTCCCAAAGTGCTGGGATTACAGATGCGTGTCACCGCACCTGGCCTCTGAGGAGGATTTCATTATAAACCTGCCCTGAAGGGAGGGAATCCAATTTTACGAGAGGGTGTAGCCTGGTGAGGCCTGGATGACCTCCGGAGGCAGGGGCTTGTGCCTGGGCTGAGGCCTAAGGGACAATGGGCAGACATGAAGTTGCCCCAGGCAGAGGGTACAGTGTGGGCAAAGTCAGGAAGTGGCAGGGCTTGGATCACTCCAGGAAGAGAGAGGAGTCATGTGTCACAGGAGCTCGAGACCCAGAGAGTGAGGCAGGCAGGCAGGGACCAAGCTTGGGCACAGCCAGGAAGGCAGGACAGGGCATGGTGGGGCCAATGGAATCATTATCGAAGTCGGGGATTTTCAGGGAAACAGCTTAGATAAGGCCAGGCATACAGTAGCTCCCACCTGTAATCCCAGCATTTGGAGAGGCTGAGGTAGGAGGACTGCTTGAGCCTGGGAGTTCGAGACCAGCCTAGGCAACATAGACCCCATATCCACAAAAAATTTAAAAAAGGAGTTTGTGTTCCTGTAGTAGCATACTTGGGAAGTTGAGGTGGCAGTATCACTTGAGCCCGGGAGTTCAAGGCTAAAGTGAGCTGATGGAGCCATTGCACCCCAGCCTGAGCAACAGAGAGATACGCTGTCTCAAAGGAAATACAAATTAAAAAACCAGCCGGGCATGCTGGCGTGTGCCTGTAGTCTCAGCTACTTGGGACACTGAAGTAGGAGGATCGCTTGAGCCCAGGAGTTCAAGGCTGCCGTGAGCTATGATTGTGCCTCTGCAGTCCAGCCTGGGCGACAGAGAAAGACCCTGTCTCTTAAAAAAAAAAAAAAAAAAAAAAAAAAAAAAAAAAAACTTAGATAAGAGGATGCTGTGCCTCCCTGGGGGTCTTCAGTCACCCATGGTCCTGGCAAGAGAGGAGGGCCAGGAGAGAGCTTCACCCACCTGCTGTCCTGCCCATGTGACATCCGCAGGTGCTGCCATGGCCACGACTGTTGTTACACTCGAGCTGAGGAGGCCGGCTGCAGCCCCAAGACAGAGCGCTACTCCTGGCAGTGCGTCAATCAGAGCGTCCTGTGCGGTGAGTCCCCAGCAGCACCATGCCACCCACCCCGAGTATCCCCTGGGCACCCTGGCATAGCCAGATGACTTCTGTGCCCCTGTTGCAATAACCACTGCTTCCAACTCTCTATAGAACACCCCTTGGGTATATCTAATGTAAGTGATATTTATTTTATTTATTTTTTGAGTCAGAGTCTCGCTCTGTCACCCAGGCTAGAGTGTGCTGATGTGATCTTGGCTCACTACAACCTCTGCCTCCTGGGTTCAAGCGATTCTCATGCCTCAGCCTCCCAAGTGGCTGGGACTACAGGCATGCACCATCACGCCCAGCTAATTTTTGTATTTTTTTCAGTAGAGGTGGGGTTTCACCAAGTTGGCCGGGCTGGTCTCAAACTCCCCACCTCAAGTGCTCTGCCCGCCTCGGCCTCCCAAAGTGCTGGGATTACAGGCATGAGTCGTGGTGTCTGGCCCTAATGTGAGTGATCTTTAACAATGAGGACTTGAAAAAGAAAACCCTGAAGAAACCTAATTCTTTGATGTCTGGACGACAAGGAAGAAGATAGAAATGGCATCAGATAATAAACAGTGTAAATGTTTATCAGAAAGAGGCTGGTGGTCGGGACCAGTAGGAGGATCGCTTGAGTCCAGGAGTGCATCTCTACAAAAAAGTTAAAGGATTTTTTAACATTGGCCAGGCGTGGTGGCACACATCTGTGATCCCAGCTACTTGGGAGGCTGAGGCAGGAGGATTGCTTGAAGCCCAGGAGGTTGAGGCTGCAGTGAGCTGTGATCGAGCCACTGCACTCCAGCCTGGGTGACAGAGCAAAACCCAGTCTCAAAAAAAAAAAAAAAAAAATAATAATATTTTACATAACCAACCACTTCTAAAGATTAAAAAAAAAAACCCTACAATTAATTAAAAACCTCAGGTCCCTCAGGCAATCATACCAGATATTGAAACAAAGCAATAACATAAGGACTGCAGTATTTATTTTATTTTTATATTATTTATTTATTCTTCGTTAGTTTGTTTTTGGAGCGTGGGTTTTGTTTTGTTTTTTGATTTTTTTCTTTTTTTCGACCTACGGATTTATTCTTATTGCCCAGGCTTGAGTGCAATGGCGTGTTCTCAGCTTACTCAACCTCCGCCTCTTGGGTTTGGGTAATTGTTGTGCCTCGGCCTCCCTCTGCCTCTTGGGCTTGGGCGATTGTTCCACCTCATCCACCCTCCGCCTCTTGGGTTTCGGTGATTGTTCCACCTCATCCACCCTCCACCTCTTGGGTTTGGGTGGTTTTTCCACCTCGGCCTCCTGAGTAGCTAAGGGAGGAGTCTTGAGATTATCATCCACTGAGGGTGGAAGAGGAGAGGGTGGAAGCGGGACAAAGAGACATTCCTTCAGATTATCATCCACTGAGGGTGGAAGAGGAGAGGGTGGAAGAGGAGCAAGAGGACACTCCTTGATATTATCATCCACTGAGGGTGGAAGGGGAGTGAGCAGACACTCAGTAGGTGTCTTGAGGCTCAGGGAGTTATCAGTTATAGAATGTTGTTGAGTTGGAGGAGGTGGCTGGCGGCCCATCCTGTTTTTTAAAGTTTCAGCTGTGAGGTAGGGCCAGTAGGGCAATCCTGAAGAATGACGATGCTCCGCTGCCACCATTCTGACCTGTAGGGCCAAAGGAGGGAATGTTTTCACACATATTCATTTGATGGACAAAATTACCACCACCAACACAGTCTGCACCTTCTGTTGCTGGTGATAGATTTTTGCACCTTTCCATCCTCCAGGTTTCAAAATAGCAGTATCAGTGTCATAATATCACCCTTCCACTGAGTACTGCCGACAGCTGGGGGGTAAAGAAAAGTCATTGGGACACACTGTTGTCTCCACATGCCACTGTGTCTGTCTGCAAATGTAGGCAGGCTGGGGTCCTGCCCCAGGGAAGACAGAGTCATAACAGAGTAATAAAGAAGCATGTTTGAGACACAGGAGTGTCTATGTCTATCCTCATTCCTCCCTCACAGCCATCACCAGAGCATGTTTCTTGCACCAGGTCAACAGACAGTAAGAGACAGTAAGAGAGGCATGAAAAGCCCATTGTCCACACATGTTGCAGCTTCTTTTTGGAGAATGTTTTCCAGGCCTTTTATGTTCTGTCTCTGACTCTCAGAACTCTGCAAGGTCAGTGTGACCACCCTGCTCCAAATCTAAGAAAACAGAGGTTTCCAGAGGAAGGAGAAATTGTGCCCAGGGTCACACAGCTTGCAAGAGGCAGAGTGGAAGTTGATTCCAGCTCTGCCTGCAGGACCCTCTCATTTCCCCTCTGTTTCCCTTCTTGACAAAGGATCTTCTTCACTCTGGAGGTGCCACCCATGAGAACAAAGAGCTCTGGAGAGATGTGGATTCCTGAAGAGCTGCAGGGGAACTGGGAGAGGGTTTTCTGACAGAACAATCTCACCTCAAGAAGTCACTTAGGCATGGCTGTAATATTTCTTTTCACTCCCAGGTAATACCAAATTGTAAGTGCACTAGGACATAAAGAATACTTTTGTCCATGGAAAAATGAGGTGGGAATTCTAAACAAAGCAAGTTTTAAAACTGTGTTTCACTTCAAGTGTACAAGTCCCATCACGTGTAATCATAGGACTTGGCAGCTTTTGAAGGTACAGAGGCCACACAAGAACCAGCTTAGCTGAGCATCATTTAAGGCCTTCATTTGGAATTGTCCCTGTGGGTAATAAGTTACATTCACTCTTCACTAATTTACAGTCAGGGCCCATTTGCTATTACAAATATGGAACCTCTGACACTTTGAATTTAGATCAGGGGCCCCACTGGGTGGGGATGAAGGTGTTTTTGCACAACACGGTTACCAACAGGGATGGGACTGTGATGCCTGTAGGCAGCCTTCCTCTCTGCCATCTCCCTCTGCAGGGCTTGAGCACAGAGCTGTAGGGAGAAAAATGTATCCATGTCCTGACCTGGCAGACTATGTTCAAAAGCAAGGAAAACAAACAAACTTACCCAGTTGCAAAGAGGCTTTCTTGCAGAAGGGGGGATCTGAAAAAGCCAACACATGAGAAATTGAATGTTGAGAGAGTCTAAGAGCCGTGGCATCATCTGCATCAGCACTGAACTATCCTGCAACTGCGGGGAGGAAGCTCCTTACTTTGCATTTGTGGTAGTCCTCTGCCCGCCGCCGCAACTCTTGCGCACGTTGAAACATTTTCCTATGGATTACAATCACTTTCATCAGATAAAGCACCACGTTCAGGATGATTTTAAATAATCTGCCATGTTTCTGTTATCCTCACAACTGTACCCTTACACAATCTATCTCTACCTAGAAAACGTATTTCAGATGGCTATAAGAGTACAGTCTGAGCCGGTCACGGTGGCTGATGCCTGTAGTCCCAGCACTCTGGGAGGGCGAGGCGGATGGATCACGAGGTCAGGAGATTGAGACCATCCTGGCTAATACGGTGAAACCCCGTCTCTACTAAAAATACAAAAGATTAGCCGGGCGTGGTGGCAGGCACCTGTAATCCCAGCTACTCGGGAGGCTGAGGCAGGGGAATCACTTGAACCTGGGAGGCGGAGGTTGCAGTGAGCCAAGATCACATCATTGCACTCCAGCCTGGGTGACACAGCGAGACTCCATCTCAGAAAAACAAAAACAAAAACAAAAACAAAAAAACTGTACGGTCTGATCCAAACTGTTGCTGTATTGATTCCTCCTCTTGCTTACTGCCTGTTGACTTCTGAGATGATAGTTTCCTTCCCCATTCTCAGTATATCCCTAATTCATCCTTCATTGAGCATCTTTTATCATAAAGCTGTATTCTCTTTGCATTAATATCCTCACCGTGTTTCACAGGGCAGAAACAGCTGGGCTTATAAACAGGCATAGTCCTTTTGAAGGATGTGGTTGATCCTACAACAACACACTTTCCTAAGGATGACAACAACTCACCCCACCCCTAGAATGGCTGGTATGAACCGAGTTTCCACACAGTCTAGCTGGTAATGGGGTCAGGAGCCGTTTTGCTACTTCACATCTTTTGGTCACTGGTAAATATTAAGGTACTTTGTTTTCTGTTTTGTGAACTCTCTCTCTCTCTCTCACGATATGTCTTCTGACCGTTTGTTTCTATTTCTGCATTTACTGGGTCTAAACATTGTACAGAGGTTAAAAACAGCACTCCAATGGGCGTTTCCCAGGAGGGTGGGGTTCAGTTTCTGAACTCACTTGTAGGTGTGTATTTCTTTCATATCCAATTTCCCATTTTCCTCTGCCTCTGATACCTGCCTCTCCTTTTCTGCGTGCTCACATTCTTTCATGCTTAGTTTCCTCAGGTTAGAAGGGAGAGAAATGCACACACATGATCCACCAGTCCATGTGGGATTCCCTCTGCCCTTCTGGCATCTGAAGGCTGTGATTCAAAGATCCCCCCTGCAACCTTCCCACAAATGAACCAACTGATTCTCACAACCGAAGGGAGAATGGACACCTCCCATTGAGGGACCAAAAAAAATCACACTCTGGCCTGCTGGCAAGTCACCTGTCATTTCCAGCTCATCTTCATAGTTCCATAGTTAGTCCTATTCTTTAGTAAATATAAAGACTATTAAAAGCTTCTATGAGGTGCACTATGTGTGTCTCTGGGGTCAATCTTGTGCTTGACACAGCGAAAGATCATTTTAGTTCAGTGTGAAAAACCAGACCTCACCAACTCATCACAACTAACTCCATAGGAAGCAGAGGATTGCTCCTCATCTGACTCTTCCTGTGTGAGACCTGATTCTCAGTCAGAGGCTGATGCCGGAACTGAGACCATCAGCCATAGAGAGATCCTTCCAGAATATGGTGTCATTAACCCCGCAGTTCACTACTGCACTTTGCCATGATTCAGGACTGGAACTCTTGTCATCGACTTTAAAGATCCTGGTTGAGAGAAAAGGCAATCTGAATGCTGGGCGCATCTATTGAATTAGAAATGATCGGAATGGCTCCTAAGTCAGGGTGTTATGTCCTGAAAATAGGTGACAACGGCAAACCATCCACCCTGGTGTTGACTGACTTTAACAAGGTTCAGTTCACAGACATTGAGGGCAGAAAAAGGAAATGGCCTAAAAAGGGTAAGTTTGCTGTGTTGCCCTCACACCACTTGATTCATGGTCCTGATCCTAAGGATCTCACCTGATACTTGGTTTTATAGGAAGGATGTGTAAAATTCCCAGAACGCTAGGAAACAGGGGCGAAAACACTTCAAAGAGAAAGTTAATGAACTTGTTTCTGACCACAGGGCATCCTTCAGCACATGCTGTCTGGAGTGGCCTCCAACAAGGAGTGTGTGGTGTGGTGCTGAGAATGCAATGGGAGCAGGGTCCTGTCCCCACGGTAAAGAAGCTCACAGCTTAATGCAAATGAGAAGCCAGTGAGGACATCACTACTCCTGCTGTCCACTTGGGAACTAGAAACACAAAACCTGACTCTGGAGGGAAGCTAAGGAAGCATTCTACTCTTGAGTTGACATAAGTGCATCTGAAGCTTCTGATCTCCGATGAGAACAATGGGGGACACCAAACAGAATATAAAACCCATGATTGAATACATCAAATTGCTAACATGGCAGTAAACAGACATGAGGTGAAGATGGAGAAGAAGGAAACCCAGGACGAAAGTCAGCCTCGCATTTGGAACCCATTTCCCTGAGTTTCATTGCTGAATTCCAGAAGGAACTACTGAGATGTAAAGAAGCACAGCAGCTTTTGCACACATGCGTGGGATTAGATGGAAAACAAGTGGATTGAGGGTCTGCCAATGAAAGCGACCCGTACTGAAGTCCACTGGCTCTGGTTGAGACCCAGAAGAGTCATGCATCAGAATAGAGGTGGACAGGAAATACCCTGGCCTTTGTAGGGACTGAGCCTGCACCGACGACCTCAATTGCAGCCTGTATGGAGGACCCGTGACCATCCCCCAGAAGTAGACTCCCATCTCTTCTGCAGCAAGATAACATGCCACTAGGCCTCAATTCATTGCTAAATATTTTTTAACAAGTATCTCACATTTAACAAAAAGAGCTCAGTCATATGGCAGCAAAATACAATGTAATATGACCAAAACATGAAAGACTGTGAAAATGAATCTGGAGGTGACCCAAGCATTGAATTCAACAATCCAGGCTGGGTGCGGTGGCTCACACTGGGAGGCTGAGGTAGGCAGATCACCTGAGGTCAGGAGTTCAAGACTAGCCTGGCCAACATGGTGAACCCCTGTCTCTACTAAAAATACAAAAATTGGGCCGGGCACGGTGGCTCACGCCTGTAATCCCAGCACATTGGGAGGCCGAGGTGTGTGGATCATGATGTCCAGAGTTCTAGACCAGCTTGGCCAATATGGTGAAACCCCGCCTCTACTAAGAATACAAAAATTATCCGGGCATGGTGGCATATGCCTGTAGTCCCAGCTACTCAAGAGGCTGAGGGATAAGAATCACTTGAACCTGGGAGGTGGAGGTTGCAGTGAGCCAAGATCATGCCACTGCACTCTAGCCTGGGTGACAGAGTGAGACTCTGTCTCAAAAAAAAAAAAAAAAAATTGGCCGAATGTGGTGGCACACACCTGTAATCCAAGCTACTCAGGAAGCTGAGGCAGAATTGCTTCAAACTGGGAGGCAGAGGTTGCAGTGAGCCAAGATTGCACCATAGCACTCCAGCCAGGGCGACAGAGCGAGATTCTATCTCAAAATTTTAAAAAAAAAAAAAAAAGGCTGGGTGTGGTGGCTCACACCTCTAATCCCAGCACTTTGGGAGGCTGAGGCAGGTGGATTACCTGAGGTCAGAAGTTCGAGACCAGCCTGGACAACATGGTGAAACCCCATCTCTAGTAAAAATACAAAAATTAGCTGGGCGTGGTGGTGGGCACCTGTAATCCCAGCTACTTGGGAGGCTGAGGCAGGAGAATTGCTTGAAGCCAAAAGGCAGTGAGCTGAGATTGTGCCATTGCACTACAGCCTGGGCAACAACAGCAAAGCTCCATCTCAGGAAAAAAAAAAAGAGAGAGAGAAAGGAAAACCAATGCCAGTACTAGCAACTCCTCTTCCCCCGAAAAAATTACAAACAAGAATGTAGGAAGGGAAAGGAATTATACAGCTTAAACTAATGAAGCAGAAAGGACAAACTCAATTTTGAGCCCACTGAATTTGCCACAAATATTGTAGAAAATATTCTCAAGGACTTTACAGTTGTCTACTTTGATTGGCACATGGTTCATACAACAGTATTTGTGTCAAGGCACATCTTACTGTTTTCTGGCGGTCTTCCTCTTTCCATTGATTTTGTCATGACGGTTGATTTTCGTTGTCACCTTCCTCTTACGGATTTTAGCTCTAACTTTTGTTTCCACATGCCTCCGTAGAGTAATGACGTCTTTCAGGCCAATTTTATTTCCTCGAAAGGAAGAAACTCTTTTCTTTGTGTGCATACAAATGGACCTCAGCCCTTGGTGAGAGTGAGGAGAGGAGAAGGTGAGAAACCTGAGGTCAAGAAGCTGTTCTTTCCCTTTCCAGGGCAAACTCATTTCCACACTATGGGGACTCCAACAGAGCCATACCTTTCTGTCTACTGCGGTTGGACCTCCAGGCTCTCTGCTGTACATCCATGGATCCATCATGTCCATTTCGAGACCAGAAGATAGTCTTCAGGAAAGACACCTAGGAAATAATAATATAAGAATGACGGCTGGGCACGGTGGCTCATGCGTATAAATAATCCCAGTACTTTGGGAGGCCGAGGCAGGTGGATCACGGGGTCAGGAGTTCAAGACCAGCCTGGCCAAGATGGTGAAACCCTGTCTCTACTAAAAATACAAAAATTAGCCAGGCATGGCAGCGGGCGCCTGTAATCCAAGCTACTCGGGAGGCTGAGGCAGAGAACCATTTGAAGCTGGGAGGCGGAGGTTGCAGTGAGCCGAGATCACACCACTGCACTCCAGCCTGAGCGACAGAATGAGACTCTGTCACACACACACACACACACACACACACACACACACACACACACACACAAGAATGACATGAGGCTGGCACGGTGGCTCACTCCTGTAATCCCAGCACTTTGGGAGGCCGAGGCAGGCGGATCACCTGAGGTCGGGAGTTTGAGACCAGCCTCACCAACATGGAGAAACGCTGTCTCTGCTAAAAATACAAAATTAACCAGGCATGGTGGTGCATGCCTGTAGTCCCAGCTAGTCAGGAGGCTGAGGCAGGAGAATCACTTGAACCCAGCAGGAAAAGGTTGTGGTGAGCTGAGATTGTGCCATTGCACTCCAAACCTGGGCAACAAAATTGAAACTCTGTCTCAAAAAAAAAAAAAAAAAAAAAAAAAGAGCCCAGGTGCGGTAGCTCACGCCTGTAATCCCAGCACTTTGGGAGGCTGAGGCGGGTGAATCACAAGGTCAAGAGATGGAGACCATCCTGGGCAACATGGTGAAACCCCGTCTCTACTAAAAATACAAAAATTAGCTGAGCATGGTGATGCACGCCTGTAGTCCCAGCTACTCGGGAGGCTGAGGCAGGAGAACTGCTTGAACCCAGAAGGCAGAGGTTGCAGTGAGCCAAGATCCCACCACTGCACTCCAGCCTGGTGACAGAGTGAGACTCCGTCTCAAAAAAAAAAAAAAAAAAATGACATGAATATACTTCACACAACTGAACTGTACACTTCAACACGGTTAGATGGTAATTATCATCTTATAAGTATTTTCCCACAGGTTAACATGTTTCACAACTTGAAAAGGAAGTAATTACCTTCAGCTCTCTGAGTTCTAGAATTTGTAACATTTCACCCCCTGCTCCTTCCTGATCTGCACTGGAGCATCTTCCTTCTGTCCCTGCTCTACTCAGAGTTCACTTTCCCTTCCCTCACATCAGCTTCATTGAGGCTGGTTTGAACTTAACGCAAAACATTCTCACTAATGACTGAATTCCCACCAAGATTTCCATATTATCACAGTATGCTTTTAATCTTCTAAGATATTAAATATTTGTTCTCATCATAGGGAAAATGCAATGCAAATCCCATCTCAGATGTGGGTCAGATACCTATGAATGTCCTGAGGTAGTCATTGAAATGACTTTTTTCTTGAGATGGAGTGTCACTCTCAACCATGCTGAAGTGCAGTGGCACTACCTTGGCTCACGGCAACCTCCACCTCCCAGATTCAAGCGATTCTTGTGCCTCGGCCTCCCAAGTAGCTGGGATTACAGGTGCCTGCTACCATGCCTGGCTAATTTTTGTCTTTTTAGTAGAGATGGGGTTTCACCATGTTGGCCCATCTGGTCTTGAACTCCTGACCTCAAGTCATCCACCTGCCTCAGCCTCCCAAAGTGCTGGGATTACAGGCATGAGCCACCACACCTGGCCTGAAATAATATCTTTCAAATTCTTTGTAGAATTTGTTTTTTCCTGATTTCTGCACATAGGATAAAAAAAAAAATCATGTACTAGGATTTCGAGAGAAGCAATGGGTAATCTAAAAAGATGAAAAGAGCAACCACGTCAATCCCACAGCTACTACTAGATTTCATAGGAAAGGTAGCTGGCCCAGTTTGGAGCTAGGAGAAATGTCAAACACATGAAGAAATGACAAGCAAAGAAATGCCATCACGCATGAATGCTTCATGGCACCCATGATGTCCCTGCTTAGGAGGTAATGGTATAGATGACTAGATGACAAGGACAAAGATGAGAGGTGCGAAGTTGTCCAAGTCCAGCAGCTCAACTGAACTTTCCTAAATGGAACTGTTAAAAAGTGGTAAATTTAAAAACTTCCCCTGGCTCACGTGGTGGCTCACGCTTGTAATCCCAGCACTTTGGGAGGCTGAGGCGGGTGGATCATTTGAGGTCGGGTTTTGAGACTAGCCTGGCCAACATGGTAAAACCCCGACTCTACTAAAAATACAAAAATTTGCTGGGCATGGTGGTGGGCACCTGTAATCCCAGCTACTTGAGAGGCTGAGGCAGGGGAATCGCTTGAAGCCAGGAGGTGGAGGTTGCAGTGAGCCGAGATCACACCATTATACTCCAGCCTGGGCAACAGAGGGAGACTCGTCTCGGGGGTGAGAAAAGAAAAAAAAAAAAAAAAGCTTCCTCCAATTTATACCGAAAATTCTCTGTTCAGGACTAAGTGGCATAGAGAATGTTAAGTGTGCCTAGATATCTTCATAACTCATATATTTTCTGTTTTCTACATATCTTGAAAGGCAGTGCCAAATGACGTGTAATTATCTAGGTGGTAAAACTGAAACATACTTCCTCTTCCCTTGAATATAAAAAAGCATTGTGGTATTAGTACTTTTATCTTGGATCATTGTTCAGGAGGTTCAGCCCCCAGAAAACCACATTTTTACTGTCATGAATGGCAAGACAAAATGTAGAGCTCAACTTACCCAAAGGAAAAAAGGCTCAAAAGACAAATTATGGCACAACTTAGCAGCCAAATTCTTACCAAGTACAGACTTTTGACATACTGATCTCTCTCCAGTTGCAAGTGGGAACATGCACTTTGAATGATGTCATTCAAAATTACCCTGCCCAGACACACTTTTCATTGATTCTCTTGGAGGGCAGTTCTAAGAGATTCTCTGGGGCTTTCTCTGCATCATGAGACGCAGTGCAGTTCTGCCCTTCACCTTCCGGCAGTTTGTCACCTCGTCCCTATGACCTCAGAGGAACTTTGTCTCAGGCCAATTGTTTGTTCCTTGGCCTCTTTCATTTCCCCTAAAAATCATTTGCTGCCCCTCTAAATGGCCTACATCTCCATCTATCTCCCTCTCCCCTCAGAAGAGGGTGCTCTTTAAGCATCAACCATCCGGCCCTTCTAGCAGTCTCATTTTTCAGCTGGTTCCCATGTTTATGCCTGTTCTATGTTTTTCTTTTCCTGTTAAGCTGTCTGTTGTCAGCTCATTTCTGCAGTGAATCTTCAGAGAGGAGATTGGAAGCTTTCCTTCCACCCATACGATAGAACTATAAAGCAGAAGAGTTTAGAAAGAATTTCCTATTTAAGTGACGAAACCTCATACTCCATTTGTGATAAATAGCACAAAGGCTAAAAAAACTTATTTTTGACCAAAAGCTCTGTTGACATTCTATTAAACAAACACCGACCTATTTAATTTTCATAATGTAAATGGCAGACATTTTCATAATTCTTATGCTAATAAATCATTTCCCTGATTTTTTGGGTAAAACCACATATTCATAATGAAGTCCAGAAACGTGAATTGTTTTATATAATTTATTCTTATTTGTGATTACAAGTATACCTCTACAGAAAGTTAGTATACTCACACAAAGGCAACTTGTGCAGAAGAGAATGTTAAATGTGTAACGTCTCAGAAACCCAATAATGATAATTATCAAATTATCCAATTTTTGTGGAGATGGGGTTTTGCCATGTTGGCCAGGGTGGTCTCGAACTCCTACACCAAAGTCAGTCTCACGATGACGATAGACAGCCAGACTATTGATAACCTGGAATAATAATAGTTGAAATAATGAAAAGGTCAATGACACCGACAATATTTCACTCAGAAAGAATCATCCTTAGAAACCGTCAACCTCCTCCAAAAGGTAACCACATCCCTCAGATATCACCGTGGGATTCCACTGCTACAAAAAAGAACAGAAGTTAGAAGTCTCATGTTTTTCAGATGGCTGGTAGTGTTTTTAGGCATTGCAAATGTGCGGTGTTGTCTTTCTTGGTATAAAGCAGGGATATCCAATCTTTTCACTTCCCTGCCTATATTAAAAGAAACAAAGTTGTCTTGAGCCACACATAACATACACTAACACTAACAATAGCTGATGATCTAAAAAAAAACTCTTTTTTTTTTTTTTTTGGAGACAGAGTTCCGCTCCACTCAGTCGCCCAGGCTGGAGTGCAGTGGTGCAATCTCGGCTCACTGCAACCTCCAGCTCCTGGGCTCAAGCCATTCTCCTCCCTCAGCCTCCCGAGTAGCTGAGATTACAGGTCTCTGCCACCATGCCTGACTCATTTTTGTATTTTTAGTAGAGATGAGGTTTCACCATGTTGGCCAGTCTGGCCTTGAACTCCTGGCAGGCGATCTACCTGCCTCGGCCTCCCAAAGTGCTGGGATTACAGGTGTGAGCCACCGTGCCCAGCCATTTTTTTTTGTTTTTGTTTTTGTTTGGTGTTTTGTTTTTGAGATGGGGTCTCACTCTGTCACCCAGGCTGGAGTGCAGTGGCGTGCTCTCGGCTCACTGCAACCTCGGCCTCTCAGGTTCAAGTGATTCTCCTGCCTCAGCCTCCTGAGTAGCTGGGAGTACAGGTGCCTGACAATGCACTCAGCAAATTTTTGTATTTTTTGTGGAGATGGGGTTTTGCCATGTTGGCCAGGGTGGTCTCGAACTCCTGACCTCAGGTAATCTGCCCGCCTCAGCCTCCCAAAGTGCTGGGATTACAGGCATGAGCCACTGTACCTGGCCAAAATCTCCTAATGTTTTAAGAAAGTTTACAAATTTGTGTTGAACTGCATTCAAAACTGTCCTGGGCCACATGCAGCCCGTCACTCATGGCTAAGACAAGCTAAGTATAAAGTAATTATCTTTTCTTTTTGTTTGGAGACAAAGTCTTGCTCTGTCACCCAGGCTAGATTGCAGTGGCATGATCTCAGCTCACTGCAACCTCCGCCTCCCGGGTTCAAGCGATTCTCCTGCCTCAGCTACTGAGTAACTGGGATTACAGGTGCCTGCCACCGCACTCGGCTAATTTTTGTATTTTGAGTAGAAACAGGGTTTCACCATCTTGGCCAGGCTGGTCTCCAACTCGTGACCTCTTGATCCACCTGCCTCGGCCTCCCAAAGTGCTGGGAATACAGGTGTGAGCCACTGCACCTGGCCAGTAGTTATCTTTTCTTTAAAGTTATTTACTTGTTTTTTAAATTGATGTATAACATTGGATGCATTTATTATATATCACATGGTAAAAGAATCCCTCTAAATAATACTTCTCTCTTGGATTATATGAATCTTTGTCATTTGAAGCTCAGCATAAGTAAAAAAAAAAAAATACAATGAAGAGATTACTTCATTCACAAATAAGTATCAAATTTTAGTGCTTAAAAATTAACAAGGTGGGCCGGGTGTGGTGGCTCACGCCTGCAATCTCAGCACTTTGGGAAGCCGAGGTGGGTGGACCACGAGATCAGGAGATTGAGACCATCCTAGCTAACACGGTGAAACCCATCTCTACTAAAATTACAAAAAATTAGCAGGGCATGGTGGCACGTGCCTATAGTTCCAGCTACTTGGGAGGCTGAGGCAGAAGAATCACTTGAACCCGGGAGGCAGAGGTTGCAGTGAGCCGAGATCGCACCACTGCACTTCAGCCTGGGTGACAGAGCGAGACTCTGTCTCAAAAAAAAAAAAAAAAAAAAAAAATTACCAAGGTGGAGATCATGAAAATGGCATGAATAGTGTGGGATTTCTCTAAGATTGTTGATATTAATTCCAGTAGACTCTTATGTGAGTGAAGACGAAGACTTCCCCTGAGTAAGTTCAGACAGCTTGTGATAACATTTCTACATCGATTCCTCAGGATTTAACTATATATTCTTGAAAACATCTCAATTTTAAATGTTTCTTTCAAGATGGTGAATTAAACAGAGATAGCCCTTCAACAGGTTGAACTCAGCATATGCTGAGTCTGAAATGGAAATGATGGAGTTAGAGAACCATACAACAATGGTAATGATTTCAGAAACATGGTGTTGAGCAGAATAAAGCAGACACAAAAGAGTACCTATGGCATGGCACGCATCTGTATACGCGAAATTCCAGAATAAGCAAGCTAACCTATGATAAGAAAGAGACTGGCTGGGAAGAGTGAGAGTTCACTTTCTGGGGTGACATAATAGTGTAGATCTTGGCTGGGCACGGTGGTTCACGCCTGTAATCCCAACGCTTTGGGAGGCCGAGGCGGGCGGATCACCTGAGGTCAGGAGTTCAAAACCAGCCTGACCAACATGGAGAAACCCTATCTCTACTAAAAATACAAAATTAGCTGGGAGTGGTGGCACATGTCTGTAATCCCAGCCACCCGGGAGGCTGAGGCAGGAGAATCGCTCGAACCTGGGAAGCAGAGGTTGCGGTGAGCTGATATTGCCCCATTGCACTCCAGCCTGGGCAACAAGGGAGAAACTGTCTCAAAAAAATAAATAAATAAATAAAATAATGTAGATCTTGAAAGGGGGTCGGTTTATGCTGGTGTAAGTACTTTCCAAAGTTAGTAAACTTACACTTAAGGGTATATATTTTGGCCAGGCGCGGTGGCTCACGCCTGTAATCCCAGCACTGGGAGGCCGAGGCAGGCAGATCACGAGGTCAAGAGATGGAGACTATCCTGGCGAACATGGTGAAACCCCGTCTCTACTAAAAACACAAAAATTAGCCAGGCGTTGTAATCTGAGCTACTCAGGAGGCTGAGGCAGGACAATTGCTTGAACCCCGGAAGCGGAGGTTGCAGTGAGCCGAGATCTTGCCACTGCACTCCAGCCTGGGCGACAGAGTGAGACTCTGTCTAAAAAAAAAAAAAAAAAAAAGTCATCAAACCAGATGACACAAATCAAATGACATTTCACTTTGTTTTGGTCCATTTTGTTTGTTAGAGACAAGAGTGCAGCGGGGCCATCTCAGCTCACTGCAACGTCCAGCTCCTCGGCCCAAGCGATCCTCCCACCTCAGCCTCTCCAGTAACTGGGATAACAGGTACGCACCACCAGGCCCGACTAATCTTTTTTGGAATTTTTTGTAGAGATGGGGTTTCGCCATGATGCCCTGGCTAGTCTTCAACTCCTGGACTCAAGTGATCTGCCCACCTCGGCCCCCTAAAGTGCTGGGATTACAAGGCCTGAGCTGTGTAATTTCATGCCGCGTGACACAGCCCAGTAAAAAGGAAGAAACCCCGCGGGTCCAGCGTCTACTCACAGGGGTGGGCTGATGGCTGATAAATCCCAGCAGGAGCCAAATGAGGAGCCAAAAGCGCAGCCGCATGTCATGATCCTTTCAGGGTGCCCTGAGGCGGCCAGGACAGAGGTGGAGGTGGCTTAGGGCAGGGGGGAGGGAAGGGGACGGGGACCGGGGCGGATCTGAGTTGGGGAGGGGCAGGGGAGGGGGAGGGGAAGGGGAGGGGGAGGGGAAGGGGAGGGGGAGGGGAAGGGGAAGGGGAGGGGAAGGGGGGAAGTAAGGGAAGGGAAAGGAGAAGGGGGCTGTTGGGCACCTGGAGGAGGTGGAGGAGGGGGAGGAGAAGAAGAAAGGGGTCTGGGAAAGGATCCGGTTCAAATTAAGTTCTCAAGCGCTGGTGGAAGGTTTAGCTACAGGTCACGGAGAAGATCAGGGAAGCAACAGGACACGCGGGGCAAGGGAGCGTGAGGCTTAGGAGCAATTAGAGGGAGACAAAAAGGTTCTGCTATCCGCCAAACCTTCTTCGGTCTGGGCCCTCCCTTAGCAAACCTGGGGCTTTATACTCCCTCTCCACCAATCCCTGATGACCCCGGTGGTGCCTCACAATGGACAATGCCAAGTAGCGCCCGCATCATTCCAATGACCCCTCCCCCATCTCAGTCTCCCACACTCCTCGCAAGGACAGGTCCTCTCTGGAACCTTCACAAACCTGATTTCTGGTCCTCCCCAACCAGCTCCCTGTCCCTGCTTCTGGGCGCTCCTTCCTTCCTGAGCTCCCAGGGTTCCTCAAGGTCACTTTTGGCGACAAAACATAAAAAACAAATGATGGCAGGATGGCAGGAAGAACCTCATACCCAAGCAGAGTGCCAGGTTTTACAGCCTCCGCTCAGCCATTCATATCCTAAGCAACAAAACATCAGCAGGATGCGGAAGGTCCCGATAGTAAACCATCTCCATCACATCCATGTAGCCATCCGTCCATCAACCTGTATCTCAGGAACAAATGTAGATACATTCATTTTAAGCATGCATGGTACATTTACAAAAATTAACCTGACTTATTTTGTTCCAGCAAATCTCAATATATTTGAGAGCAATCAAATCACACAGCACGTTTCTGATCATATAACTGTGCTAGAAGTCAATGATTAAAAGCTAATTCAAAATTATTATTTGCTTGGAAATTCAAAGTGCCCTTATAAGACATAAACATAAGAAAGAATCCAAAATGAAACAAGATTGCCTTTCAACTCAATGATAAGATCATAACATGGCAATAAAATGTCTCCCTCTGGCCTGGGAATTCCTCTTTGTGGCACAAGGTTGTGTGATCTCAAATCACCCCTAACCCACCTAGACATTTTAACATCCGAAACCGAGTGATGATGTCCTTATCTATAATCATCTTACTGCCTGTGTGTGTGGACTTTAAATTCTGAACCCAAATGAGGGGGAGAAAACCAAGTTGACCTTCATGATTGACCTCTCAGGGATGTCCAAGGAATCTGTGCATTTCAAGAAACAAAGTTCATCAGCTTCTCTCCTAAGGTATTTGCCCACAATACCCAGAGGGCTTGGCAGCATCATGTGTGATGGGTGGGGAGCTCCAAGCAGGTGGGCAGGACGCAGGGGTCTGGTGACCAGGACAGACCCCCACTGTCCATCACCTTTCCTGGCCCTGTCCTCAGCTAAACTTCCCACAGGCCTTCTGCCTGATCACACAGAGTGTGCCCAAACTCACTCAGGCCTCTGGGAGCTGAAAACCACTGCTTTAAATCCCTTTACCATTTACTATGACATAAGGTTATTGTAAACAGGAAATATTCTATTGATGCTACAAATGGAAAGCCAATGCCTTTACCATAAATAGAAAAACAACCCTAAGAAACAAGCAAAACAAAAACAAAACAGGGGCTGGGTGTGGTGGCTCACGCCTGTAATCCCAGCACTTTGGGAGGCCGAGGTCGGCGGATCACAAGGTCAGGAGTTCCAGACCAGCCTGGCCAATATGGTGAAACCCTGTCTCTAATAAAATATAAAAATTAGCCGGGTGTGGTGGTGGGCGCCTTAGTCCCACCTACTTGGGAGGCTGAGGCAGGAGAATAGTTTGAACCCGGGAGGCAGAGTCTGCAGTGAGCCGAGATTGCACCACTGCACTCCAGACTAGGCGACAGAGAGAGACTCTTGTCTCAAAAACAGCAACAACTACAAACAAACAAAAAACAGGGTTAACAAAACTATGGAATTCAATTCTATTTATATGCTGCAGCCATGTTCCAGCCCTAGATTTGGCTGGGCATGGTGGCTCACGCCTGTAATCCCAGCACTTTGGGAGGCTGAGGCAGGCGGATCACGAGGTTAGGAGTTCGAGACCAGCCTGACCAACATGGTGAAACCCTGTCTCTACTAAAAATACAAAAATTAGCCAGGCATGGTGGCACCCGCCTGTAATCCCAGCTACTCAGGAGGCTGAGGCAGGACAATCCCTTGGACCCGGGAGGCGGAGGTTGCAGTGAGCCGAGATCGTACCATTGCACTCCAGCCTGGGTAACAGAATGGAATGAGACTCTGTCTCAAAAAGAAAAAAAAAAAAAAAAGCCCTAGATTTCGGTTGTGTTGGTTGTAAAAGGAGAGACCAAGTAAGTGGGGGTTGAAGTCAGATTAGACCAAAAGTGAATGGCAGAGAGTACTATAATGTCCATGAAGGGTTGCTAGAGTCACCGTGATCATAGCCCAAGCAGAGACAGGGAAAGGAAGATGTGAGCAGAGTTTGGGGTCTCGAACAATGGAGGTTATTCGTGCAGCCCAGGAAAGGCTCCCCAAAGCCAGGATCAACCTCCCTTGCAGGCGGTCCCTCATGGAGGCATGGCCAGGCACCTTAGATTTGAGACCAGCTATGTTGCTGCTGACCAGCTGTGTGACCCTGGGCTGGTTTCCTTCCATACAATGGGAGTGCCAATGGCTGCATGCATGCAAAGACCGTCTGAGGATAGGAGGAAGCAATCTGTTGAGCACCCGTGTACCTGAGTGTCATCACCTCCCAAGGGCATCTTTCGTTCCAGAGCTGGCACCTTGGAAGGCCCTTGGTCACTGAAGGCAGTGATGATGGTAACAGCAGTAAATCATCATTTACGGCTGATGAGGGAAGGCCAGGGGTAGGGCTCCTAGGTCCTGGATAAGAATGAGGGTCTGGGCACTCCTGGGGACAGCTGAGTGGTAGGACTCCTGGGTCCCCAGGGTGCAGGTCCATCTTCAGTGGCATTGGGCCTAGGCTGGGATGCTGAGTTATCCACTGGAGCATCAGCAGTACAGGCAGGCACAGAGGCAGTGGATCCATCGGAGGTGGCAGGTGTAGGATCATCTGGTGAGCAAGTAGAGTCACCAAGCCTGGCTGACCACTACCCCCACTATCCCCACAGACGATGCCCTGTCCCTTGCCTCATGCTCCGGCAGGGTACAGGCTCGCACCTGGGGCCTCATGGAGCATCTCTCTAAGACCTCTGTGTCCTGGTCATTGAATGGGCACTTGAGTCACCCAGGGCCATTGGAACAAAGAGGAAGAATCAGGCCCCACGCTGTTTTGGGAGAGTGTTTAGCACAGGAAAATGCACAGAATACATGCACGACACGGGGGCACTGTCAGTGTGGGAGCAATAGTTCACAACCTCCAGCCCTAATCTGAGCACTCTCACCTGTGCAATCTGAAAGGAACAGGAGACTTGCAGGAAAGACAGTGCCTGGATTTAACTTAAAGGAACTAAAAATGTTGGAATTTTTACTCTTGATATCCTTCCAAATCAACTCTCTCAATGTTCCCATCCTCAAAACTATCATATGGGGTAACTGAGGCAGTCAGAGATTTACTGACTCAATGTCACTCAATTGATTCTGAGTTCACTGCTGATTACATCCGACCAAACTGCTTTTTCTGAAGTCTACTCTGTTTCATCATGCTGGTGATGATTTTGTGCGGCTCTGGGACAAACTCCACCTGGCTGAGGATAAAGCAAATCTGCGGTGACTTAGTCCTCCTGTCATTTCCCATCAGTTCCCCACTCTCCTCCTCTGCCCCTCCACAGTCTCCCATGCAGGCTGACACCATATGACAGCCTTAATGGAGTCCACCAAGTATTTCAGGTTCTCTCTTGGGCCACTTGAAAGTGGATGTACCCATGGGATTTGCTTTGACCCAAGAGATGTGAGTGGAAGTGAAGCGTGTCACCTCGAGGCAAAAGAGTTGGGAGCCATTGAGACTGGCCACCCTCTCCTTCATCTCTTAGAGCAGCTGACAGCTCCCATATGGAGGCTGCTCCTTTATTCTCGTGGCAGGATGAGGGCATGTGGGGCACAGGGCACAGGAGAGCCATGGAGGATGTGCAGCATGGGCAGGAAAAGAGCCTTCAGTGGTGTACATTTCCATCGTTTGGGGCTGTTTCTTACCTACAGTGATACCTAGCCCATCCTAGCAGGCATGCACCATCTACCCCACACTCTGTGATGCAGACTAGCCTGCCGTCAGAACAGGAACTGGTGGTCAGACACACGTAGGTTTCAGTTCCAGCTCTGCCTCTTATTGACTGTAACCTCAGGCTTAACTTTCAGTCTCTGAGCCTCAGTTTCAACTCTGTAAAATGAGGTGGCTATACCATCTCAGGTTGCAGAGAGAATTAAATGAAATATAAGTGCATGTAGAGCATTGAACCCAGGGCCTGGCACACACAGTCAGTACTCAATGTTAGCCATGTAGCTTCATGATGCATACTGATTGTCAATATTCAGACAATCCAGTAAAGTATTACCAAAAATAAAAGTAAACTTATTTGCATATGTATTCTTTCAATCTTTATTTTTAAACAGGGTAAAACTATGCATATTCTTTCATAGCCAGTGTTTTTCTCTTCATAGTATATTGTTAAAATAATTTTATCTTGGACCGGGTGCAGTGGCTCACACCTATAGTCCCAGCACTTTGGGAGGCCACGGTGGGCAGATTACGAGGTCAGGAGTTGACACGAGCCTGGCCAATATGGTGAAACCCCATCTCTACTAAGAATACAAAAATTAGCTGGGCATGATGGTGCACACCTGTAGTCCCAGCTACTCAGAGGCTGAGGCAGAGGAATTGCTTGAACCCGGGAGACAGAGGTTGCAGTGAGCCAAGGTTGTGCCACTGCACTCCAGCCTGGGCGACAGAGTGAAACTCTGTCTCTCTCTCTATATGTGTGTGTGTGTGTGTGTGTGTGTGTGTGTGTGTGTGTATGTGTGTGTGTGTGTGTATCTATATAAATCTCAAAAATAAAAGATCATTTTTGAGATTATCATTTTAAAAGACAAGATAATGTTCAACTTAATGACTAATTTAATTATTACTATTGGACTTTTTGTAGACTGCACAGAGCATTCAAAACAAATGAAGGAGAATAAAAAATATGTATTACATGTTGTAAAATAAATGTGATGTGGTTAATTCTTTTATTCAAAATTATAGAACATATATATGTACTATAGAATGTATTTCTTATTATGAGTCATGTTAAAAAGTAGTTTAGAAGCTGTTGATTTGAATTTCCTTTTCAAATTTTGCAGGATAATTTTTTTTTTTTTTTGACAGAGTCTCGCTCTGTCGCACAGTCTGGAGTGCAATGGCATGATCTCGGCCCACTAAAACCTCCACCTCCTGAATCTAAGCAATTCTCCTGTCTCAGCCTCCTGAGTAGCTGGGACTACAGGCTCACACCACCATGCCCGGCTAATTTTTGTATTTTTAGTAGGGACGAGGTTTTGCCATATTGGTCAGGCTGGTCTTGAAGTCCTGGCCTCAGGTGATCCACCAGCCTCAGCCTCCCAAAATGCTGGGATTACAGGCATGAGTCACCATGCCCAGCCTAAACTTGGCAAGATAATAAATAACCTTTTTAAGTGTTGTTGGGCACTTGTCTGGTTGTTTTTCTTTAGGTTACCATGCCAGCAATGATTCCTTTTGAGTTTCTGACAGAAGATAGTGGTTTTCATCCAAATAAGTCAACTACTCTACCCCATCCCTAAGCCACTTGTATGGAAAGAAAAAGAGGAAGAAGCCAGTACTGTGACTGCGTAAGCTTCCCCCAGCATCACCCGCTATGAGATGTGTGGCAGCTGAGACCCGGGAACTGCTCAAGGGCACCAGGCCCCATCTGTCTGCACTCACTCACCTTCCTCAGGTACTCGCATGGGCATGTCACTGACTTTACATGCTGCTGCAGCTCCTTGGTGAGCTGGCTCTGGTCATGCGACAGGAACTGTGGGGTCAGGACAATAGAGAGCTTCACCATTTGCAGAATGAGAACAGGGGCTCATCATGAGTGCCAACCTATTAGATAATTTAAAAAAATAGTGTTGAATGAGTGGAAAAACAAGGTGATGTTTGAGTCTATAGTGGTCAAGGGCTTCAGAAAAGGACAGAACCAAGTTCAAATTCCTGTACTTTGAATTTCTACTTCATGCCATGCAAAATTACTTTACCCCTTTTAACCTCAGTTTTCTTCTGTGTGAAACAGGAACAATAGTTTCATTCGTCATTCAGTTTCTCTCAAGGTTTCACGAGATCATACCTATAAAACATCCAAGTCATTTAAATGTATCATCATTTCTGTCATAATTAGTGGGATCCATTTCACTATTATTGGATATACAGTTCTGTGCCTGAAACCTACAAAAAAAGAAAATGTTAAGTCTAAAAAGCATTAGTGATTTCTCATTTTTATATTACTAATTATAACCCTATTTAATCACACAAGGCCTTGTCCGTGGCAGGTGCTCAATAAACACTTGTCGAATCAATGCATGTGGGCTCCGGAGCCACACTGTTTAGATTCTATTCTGCCTCCACCACTTATCAGCTGTGTGATCTGGGTAAGACAATTCACCTCTTTATGTCTGCACTTCCCTCTCCATAAACTATATATAATGAGAATCCTTAGCTCATTCGGTTGTGGTGAGGGGTGAATGATTTGGCACACAATCCCAGCTACTCGGGAGGCTGAGGCATGAGAATTGCTTGAACCTGGGAGGCAGAGGTTGCAGTGAGCCAAAATTGTGCCACTGCACTCCAGCCTGGGCGACAGACTGAGACTGTGTCTCAGAAATAAAAATAAAAATAAACAAAAATCAATGAACTAAAAACCAATTTCTAGTGGTTTCTAATAAGGAAAAAATGGTTCAAAAAACTGCTAAGCGAGATCAAGCAAAACAAAAAAATCTATTACGATAATGTTTTTATAACTGGTATTTAAAACATTGTTGATTCATTCTTTATTTTTATTTTGAGACAGAGTCTCACTCTGTCACCCAGGCTGGAGTGCAGTGGCAGGATCTCCGCTCAGTTCAAGCAATTCTCCTGCCTCACCCTCCCGAGTAGCTGGGATTACAGGCGCCCGCCACCACGCCCAGCTAGTTTTTGTATTTGTAGCAGAGACCGGGGTTTCACCATGTTGGCCAGGCTGGTCTCCAACTCTCGATTTCAGGTGATCACCCCCTGCCTGGGCCTCCCAAAGTGCTGGGATTACAGGCTTGAGCCGCCGCGCCCGGCCCTTGTTTTGTTTTCTAGATTGAAGAAAGGTTTTTCTCAGAAGTTATCTAGAATTTACACCGATTTGGTAAAGCACACTTTTGTGAACAAAGGTGGGTGGAAGCGTTTGTTTTTCCTCCCTATCTGATCCTTCTAAAGTTTGGAAACTATTCATAAATATTCTTATTTTCATGTACATATGTTCTCTTTATAAGCAGGCTACAATCAGAAAGATTGGTTATATTATCAAGGCTTTGACTGAAACATCCTATTTAAGAATATGCAGAAAATTCCTGGCTTCGAGTTTGCAGCCTTACGTTACAGTCAGGGGGAAACTGTCACTCCCTGCAGGCCTGAGAACCTTAGAGCTTTTCGGGGAGCAACTTGGCAAGGGGGGGTCCCAGCAGCTGCTCGCGGGCCAGGAACCATGGGGCACAGCCCCGGGCGACCCTCGGGCCGGCGGGGGCCTTCCGCTTCCTGGCGTCTTTCTTCCCCGCCCCGCCGGCTGCTGGGGAAGCGGCGGGCGCCCAGTGCCTGGAGGTCGCTCCCTCGCCTCCTCTGGCTGCGGGAACGGAGAGGCGGCGGCGGCCGGAGCAGGGTGGGCGGCCTGAGCCGAGAGCCCGGCCGGCCCCCGCGAGGAATATGGCGACCTGCGGCGACCGGAGCAGCAGCGGCGTCAGTTGCTGCACCGCCGACTTCTTGGAGCAGCGAAAGCGACTCGCGAGAAGACGCCGCCAAGTGGAACCCGGGCCCTGCGGCCCTGGGAGGGGGCAGCAGCGACACAGCCATGAAGCCCCGGGCGCGGCGCTGGGCGCCAACGAGAGCCACGGCAACCTCCAGACGGCGCCACAGCAACCTCTAGGCAGTGCCCACACCAGCCTACAGGTGGCGCCCCTCGCACTGCACCTGCCGCGGCCGCCCCGGGTGTGAACTGCGCTGTCAGCAGGGCCGCGCTGACCCGGGTGGCCCAGGCCCGCAGCAGCCGAGGAGCCCAGGGGCACTGCCCGGGGTGACGAGAAGGAGAAGACGGTGCCCCAGAAAAAGGCAAGAGCTCAGAGCTCGGGTCCCCGTGCCAGGAATGGCCAGGAGCAGAAGATGGAGAGGTGGAGATGGAGAAGGAGAAGCAGGAGGTGGGAAGGAGCGGCGCTCCACCGGTGGGGTCAACATGCGCTGGCTGAGCTTAGAGTATGAAGAGGATGAAGCAAGTCAGAAAGAGCGGAAACGAGAAGGTGCAATGACACAGCAGAGCACAATGCAGAATCCAGCCCTAGGACTCCAATAAAGGCTGGGTTTAATTCCAACTCACACCCTCCCACCCCTAATCAGAGAGGATCACAGGAGAGAGAGGACCCAAGGAACACTGGAACCTGAAGGACAGGAATCTGAGGCCAAGACTGATTGCTGGAAATTGTGGGAATCAGGAAAGGAGAAACTGAGGCAGAATGGGGGGATGGAGGGTGGTGGTGGGGGGCAGTGAGCTGGGTTAGGAAGGATTAGAAATCAGAACCCTAGGAAGGATCCAGAAAGGAACTGTCCTTAAGAAGGTGCATGCTGCGGCTGGGTACTGTGGCTCACGCCTGTAATCCCAGCACCTTGGGAGGCCGAGGCGGGCAGATCACCTGAGGTCAGGAGTTCGAGACCAGCCTGGCCAACATGGCGAAACCCCATCTCTACTAAAAATACAAAAATTAGCCAGGAGTGGTGGTGTGCACCCGTAATCCCAGCTACTTGGGAGGCTGAGGCAGGGAGAATTGCTTGAACCTGGGAGGTGGGAGTTGCAGTGAGCTGAGATCGTGCCACTCCATTGCAGCCTGGGCAACAAGAATGAGATTCTGTTTCAAAAAAAAAAAAAAGAAGAAGGTGCATGCTGGGGATGAAGGAATGGGTTCTAAGACTCAGGGAGTGAGGGAAGGGGAGGGACAGGGGTTGGGGGTGCAGTGGGGTGCTAATGCAGCACCCAAACAGAAGAAGACTGGAGGAAAGCAGGGCCCTTCTCCTCCAACTCCAGCTGCTCCTCTGAGTCCCAGGCCACCTGCTCCTGTGTCTGCCGACCTACTGGCCTATCTCTGAATCCTGCTGGAATGCCATTCCTCCTGATCTCTGCCCTGCCTCAGACCTTTCACTAACACCACCACCCCTACTGCCCAGGGCCCACCACCCCCACTGTCCCCGACCATAGCCTGCCCCTATCCAGAAGCCCCTGCTTCCAGCCACATGCCCTAGGTGACCTAAAGGGGACCTGGACATGCAGGGGAAGAGGGTGCTCTTCTGGTTCCTCCTGCTTAGGTATCCCAGTCTCGCAATCATGAGTGTGAGTAAATGTTGGATATGACACAGATTCTATTTCTCAAGCTGTTTCACACTGTGGTTTACCTAACAGTGTTTTGTGGGGTCATCGATGGGGATTTGGTTCTCCCTGCAGACCAAGGACCTCAGCGCAGATTTCTTGAGCAGCCTAGAGAGGCTCTGGCCTCACCTGGCCACATCAAGTTCTGGGTCCTGCCTGCCCTGCTTGGCCCAAACACAGCAAGGGTGACAGGAGGGAAACGGGAAAATGGTGACTTTATAATATTGGAAAGGAAGGATTTCATGGCCCAGTGGAACACAACAGAGAACCCAGAAATAAATCCATGCATTTACAGCCAGCTCATTTTGCACCGAGGCACCAAAAACATACCATGGGGAAACAGATGGTGTCTTCAATAAGTGGTGCTGGGAAAATGAGATATATCTATGTGTGAAGAATAAAACTAGACCCCTGTGCTTCACCATATATAAAAATCAAATTGAAATTAATTAAAAACTTATATGTAAGAAACTACAGGCTGGGCACTGTGGCTCACACCTGTAATCCCAGCCCAGGCCGAGGCGGGAGGATTGCCCGAGCTCAGGCGTTCGAGACCAGCCTGGCCAACATGGCGAAACCCCGTCTCTACTAAAAATACAAAAATTAGCCAGGCGTGGTAGCGCACACCTGTAATCCCAGCTACTAGGGAGGGAGGCGGAAGAATTGCTTGAACCCAAGGGGTGGAGGTTGCAGTGAGCTGAGATTGCACCACTGCACTCCAGCCTGGGTGACAGAGTGAGACTCCATCTCAAAAAAAAAAAAAGAAAAGAAAAGAAAAGAAACTATGAAAATATTAGTAGAAAACACTGGGGAAATGCTTTATAACACTTGTCTAGGCAAAGATTTCTTGAGTAAGACTTCAAAAACACAGACAACCAAAGCAAAAATTGATAAATAGAATTACATCAAGCTAAAAAGCTTCTGCACAGAAAAAAAATTTGTTTAATTAAAATTAAAAATAAACAAAGTAGACCAGGCACGGTAGCTCATGCCTGTAATCCCAGCACTTTGGGAGGCCAAGGCGGGCAGATCACTTGAAGTCAGGAGTTCTAGACCAGCCTGGCCAACATAGTGAAACCCTGTCTCTACTAAAATACAAATAATTAGCTGGGGATGGTGGTGGGTGCCTGTAATCCCCAGCTACTAGGGAGGCTGAGGCAGGAGAACTGCTTGAACCCGGGAAGCGAAGGTTGCAGTGAGCCGAGATTGTGCCACTGCACTCCAACCTGGGCCACAGAGTGAGACTCCGTCTAAAATAAATAAAAAAACAAAGTGAAGAGACAACCCACAGAATGGGAGAAAATTTTTGCAAACTATTCATCCATCAAAGGATTAATACCCAGAACATATAAGAACTCAAAAACAAAAATCCCAAATAATCCCATTAAAAAATGGACAACAGCCACGGCGGGCCGGGCCAGCAGGTCCACGCCTCGCCTGGGGCCCAGGCCCGCTGCCCCCAAGCGCGGCGCCCAGCCCGGACCGCATGGACTCGGCCTCGCCCGGTGCCGCCCGCGGCTTGGACCCGCAGGACTCTCCGCGCTCGCGCTTCTGGTCCAACTTGTGTCCCTCACCAACTGCCCTGCGGGGCCCAGGCTGGCCCGGGGCGGGGCGTCATCCAGACCAAAGCCCTGTCATTGCGCTGCCCCGGCCGCCAGCCCCTCAAGAAGCTATACATGAGACGTAGGTAGCCGTAGTCGGACTGACTACACTGGCCAGGGAGCAGTCCCCTCCGAGCCCCCGGCCGTCCCCCCTCATCGCCCTGCGCCCACCCCCATCGCCCCTGCCCCCGGCGGCGGCCTCGCGTGCGAGGGGGCTTCCTTCACCTCGGTGCCTCAGTTTCCCCAGCTGTAAGATAGGGACAGGGCGACCCAGTGGCGGAGAGGAGCCGGCTGTGGAGCCCTGCCCGCCCCCTGCCCTCTAGGTAGCCCGCCGTCTGATGAGGATTGTTATTCTAAGTGCAATACTTGGCCCTCCGGCTTCCCGCTGCTCCCACCGTGCTCACGCAATAACCTGCCCAGCCGCCGTCCACGCGCGTCCCGCGGTGACCTCCTGGAGCAGTGCCCCAGCTCCCTCCAGCACCTGCGCCGAGGGGCGGGCCGTCCTGGCTGCGCAGGGCGCGTGGGCGAGGCTGCAAAGGCTGGAGTCCCGCCGCTGTGATTAATGTACTGACGAACCGAGGCAGCAGTGCCCCCATCACGACCCCCACGCCCCACTAACCCCCACGCCCCCACTCCGCGCAATAAACGACAGCATTGGCAAAAAAAAAAAAAAAAAAGGCAAAAGATCTCAATGGCTATTTTCCAACAGAAGACATACAAGTGGCCAACAGGTATATGCAAACTTAACATCACTAATCATCACAGAAGTGCACATCAAAACCCAGTAAAATTTCATCTAACCTCAACTAAAATGGCGACTATCAAAAAGTCAGAAAACAACAAATGCTGACAAGGACGCAGAGAAACAGGAGCACTCAAACACTCTTGGTGGGAATGTTTTTTGTTTGTTTGTTTTGAGACAGAGTCTCTCTCTCTGTCGCCCAGGCTGGAGTAGTGCGATGGCGCGGATCTCGGCTCACTGCAACCTCCGCCTCCCGGGTTCCAGCATTCTCCTGCCTCAGCCTCCCGAGTAGCTGGGACTACAGGCGTTTGCCACCATGCCCAGCTATTTTTTGTGTTTTTAGTAGAGATGGGGTTTCACCATTTTGGCCAGGATGCTTTTGATATCTTGACCTCGTTATTCTCCCGCCTCAGCCTCCCAAAGAGCTGGGATTACCAGCGTGAGCCACCACGCCTGGCCGGTGGGAATGTAAAATAGCTTATCCACTACGGAAAACTGCATGGAGGGTCCTCAATAAGCTAAAAATAGAACTACCGTATAATTCGGCAATCACACTGCTGGGTGTAAGTCCACAAGAAAGAAACTCAGTATCTCAAAGACACATCTGCACTCCTATGTTTATTGCAGCACTATTCAAAACAGCCAAAATACAAAATCAACCTAAGTATCCATCAACAGATGAATGGACAAAGAAAATGTGGTACATATACACAAAAAGAAAGGATTTGTGAATATACTAAAAGCCATTGAATTGTATGCCTTAAATGGGGAAGTTGTATGCTACGTGAATTCTATTTCAATAAAGTTGTTTTTAAAAAACGTAAGGGGTCAGACACAATGGCTCATGCCTGTAATCACAGCACTTTGAGAGGCCTAGGCGGGTGGATTACGAGGTCAGGAGTTCAAGACCAGCCTGGCCAAGATGATGAAACCCCGTCTCTACTAAAAATGCAAAAATTAGCCAGCGTAGTGGCGGACGCCTGTAATTCCAGCTACTCGGGAGGCCAAGACAGAGAATTGCTTGAACCCAGGAGGCGAAGGTTTCAGTGAGCTGAGATCGTGCCACTACAATCCAGCCTGGGTGACAGAGCAAAACTCAAAAAAATAAATAAATAAAATAAGGAGCCGGGCACCATGGCTCATGCCTATAATCCCAGCAATTTGGGAAGCTGAAGTAGGTGGATCTTCTGAGGTCCGGAGTTTGAGACCAGCCTGAGCAACAGGGTGAAAGCCTGTCTCTACTAAAAAGACAAAAAATAAGTCAGGCATGGTGGTGCACACCTGTAATCCCAGCTACTCGTGAGGCTGAGGCAGGAGAAGCACTTGAACCTGGGAGGCGGAGGTTGCAGTGAGCTGAGATCGCACCATTGCACTTCAGCCTGGGCAACAAGAACGATCACTTTGGGACTGTGATTTTTGAGATTTTAGATGTGAGGGATTTTGATCTTTCAGGATTTAACCTATTTTACAGTTGAGCAGACTGAGCCACAGAGAGGGGATGTGAACTGCCCAAGGTCTCACAGGTGGTAAGTGTTTGTAGCTGGAACCTGAACTAACGAAGGAGACCACTACTACTCCGGCTGCCCTCCTCCCACCATCTTGCCTAGTTCACAAGACAGGAGGAAAGAGAGAAAGCAAAAATTTAGAAACAAAAGTAAGATAAGTAGCCAGACACCTTGGCACCACCACCTGCCACAGGAGTTAAAAATAATAATAATAATGACATCAACCCCTGACCTAAACTACTTGTGTTATCTGTAAATTCCAGACCTTGTATGAAAAAGCATTGCAAAGCTTTCTGTTCTGTTAGCTGATGCATGTAGCCCCCACTCACCTTCCCCATGCTTGCTCGATTTATCACGACACTTTCACGTGGACCCTTTAAAGTTGTAAGCCTTTAAAAAGGCCAAGAATTTCTTTTTCGGGGAGCTCGGGTCTTAAGACACAAATCTGCTGACGCTCCTGGCCAAATAAACCTTTTCCTTCTTTAATCCGGTGTCTTGAGGAGATTTGTCTGCGGCTCGTCCTGCTACAGAACCAGGGTCTACCTTGGCAAGGGATTCCACACTGAGTCTCCTCCTGAGAAGCCTGCTCTCTGGGGTTTTGAGGAAATTCATGGTCAGTAAACTGTGTCTCAGGAAATTGTTCCTCTCATGCCATTAGTACCTCTAATGCATCAGTCAGCATAAACAAGATTATGATGCAGTAACAGGCAACCTCCATTCTCTCTCCCTTTGTTTTGCTTTGTTTCATTTTATGGAGATAAGAATCTCGCTCTGTTGCCCAGGCAGGAGGGCAGTGGCGTGACCTTGGCTCACTACAACCTCCACCTCCTGGTTCAAGCAATTTTCCTGCCTCAGCCTCCTGAGTAGCTGGGATTACAGGCATGCCCCACCACACCTGGCTAATTTTTGTATTTTTAGTAGAGACGGGGTTTCACTGTGTTAGCCAGGCTGGTCTTGAACTCCTGGCCTGAAGTGATCCACCAGCCTTGGGCTCCCAAAGTGCTGGAATTACAGGCATGAGTCATCCTGCCTGGTGCACCCCCCATTCTCCGTAGAGAAATAGACAAAGTCAATTTCTCTCCCATAGGACACATCCACAGCAGCCTTGGATTAGTCTGCATTGGAAACATCCAGAGTCCTGTGGCACAAAAAAAAGAGAAATGCCTGGCCACTTACTGACTCTGAAAGTTTCTGCTAAAAAATGACAGGGGTTCAGGCCGGGCGTGGTGGCTCACGCCTGTAATCCCAGCACTTTGGGAGGCCGAGGCGGGCGGATCACAAGGTCAGGAGATCAAGATCATCCTGGCTAACACAGTGAAACCCCGTCTCTACTGAAAACACAAAAATTAGCCAGGCGTTGTGGCGGGCGCCTGTAGTCCCAGCTACTCAGGAGGCTGAGGCAGGAGAATGGTGAGAATCCAGGAGGCGGAGCTTGCAGTGAGCCAAGATTGCGCCACTGCACTCCAGCCTGGGCTACAGAGTGAGTCTCAAAAAGAAAAAACAAAAAGTGACACAGGTTCCTCCCAGCCACATTTCACTGATCAAAGTGGGACACCAGCAAACATTGTAAATGCCAATACAAGCCAGACAGCTGGAAGTTTTTGTTTCCTTTTGCTTTCCTTCTTTTTCCTACGAAGATTCACGCTCTTTCTTCCTTCTTTCAACAACCCGTGGTTTCACTTTCTTTACTATAAGAAAATGCTGGCCGGGTGCAGTGGCTCACGCCTGTAATCCTAACACTTTGGGAGGCCGAGGTGAGTGGATCACTTGAGGTCAAGAGTTCAAGACCAGCCTGACCAACATGGTGGAACCCCATCTCTAGTTAAAAAAAAAAAAAAACACAAAATTAGCCAGGTGCGGTGGGGCATGCCTGTAATCCTAGCTACTTGGGAGGCTGAGGCAGGAGAACTGCTTGAAGCCAGGAGGCGGAGGTTGCAGTGAGCTGAGATCACGCCATTGCACTCCAGCCTGGGCAACAAGAGCGAAACTGCATCTCAAAAAAAAGGGGGGCCGGGTGTGGTGGCTCATGCCTGTAATCCCAACACTTTGGGAGGCCAATGCAGGCAGATCATGAGGTCAAGAGATGGAGACCATCCTGGCCAACATGGTGAAACCGTGTCTCTACTAAAAGTACAAAAATTAAGCCGGGCACAGTGGCTCAAGCCTGTAACCCCAGCAGTTTGGGAGGCCAAGGTGGGTGGATCACGAGGTCAGGAGATCGAGACCATGGTGAAACCCCATCTGTACTAAAAATACAAAAAATTAGCCAGGCGTGGTGGCTCATGCCTGTAATCCCAGCTACTCGGGAGGCTGAGGCAGGAGAGTCGCTTGAACCCAGGAGGCAGAGGTTGCGGTGAGCCGAGATAGCACCATTGCACTCCAACCTGGGCAACAAGAATGAAACTCTGTCTAAAAACAAAAAATAAAAGGCTCCGCATTCCATGACTCATCATGGAAAAGATAAAATGATCCAAATTAAATATGTATTTCTATGCTGACTTATAAATTGCTAAAATAGTTCATAACCAATGTTTCGTTTGTCAAATCCATGTTCCTGGGAAGACAATCAAAGCTTCAGGTGCATTTGGCTACCTCATGGGCAATTTGAACATTTCAATTGTCAACTGTCATTTTCAATGCATGTTTTCTGGTTGCTTTCCCATGCAAGAGGGCTGATATTATAACAGTAGATCTATGGTATGGTGTATTTTCACCAGATACTGAAAGCTTTTTATGGCTCACTGACTGGGGACAATCAATTCCTTCACAATCTAGAACCTGAAGATTGGATCTTCTGAGAACATCAGAGAAAGAATGTCCTTGCCATCCACACTACAGCAGAACTTCAGGACCTTGAACTTTGGGTTCATAATCTCACAAGAGGGAAGTTTTTCGCTGGAAGAAGATGGCATCCTTGATGTGAACAGCTTTTCCCAAGATCACAGATCAAGACTTCTGGTTTTTATTGTTTTTTTTTTTTTTTTTGAGACAGACTTTTTTTTTTTTTTGATATGGAGTCTCGGTCTTCTCGCTCCAGCTGGAGTGGAATAGCGCAATCTTGGATCACTGCAACCTTCACCTCCCAAATTCAAGCGATTCTTGTACCTCAGCCTCCTGAGCCGCTGAGACTACAGGCACATGCCACCATGCCTGGTTAATTTTGTGTGTGTGTGTGTGTGTGTGTGTGTCTGTGTGTGTGTGACAGGGTTTTACTCTTGTTGCCCAGGCTGGAGTGCAGTGGTGCGATCTTGGCTCACTGCAATTTCTGCCTCCTAGGTTCAAGTGATTCTCCTGCCTCAGCCTCCTGAGTAGTTGGGTTTATAGGCGCCCAACACCATACCCAGGGAATTTTTTGTATTTTTAGTAGAGACAGGGTTTCACCATGTTGGCCAGGCTGGTCTCAAACTCCTGACCTCAGGTGATCCACCCGCCTCAGTGTCCCAAAGTGCTGGGATTACAGGCGTGAGCCCTGTGCCCAGCCTCCGTTCCCCCCCACCCTTCTCTTGACTGAGAGAGACTGACTGGGGACAATCAACTCTCTCTAGACTGACAGAGAGAGAGAAAGAGGGAGGGAGAGAAAGAGACGGAGTCTGGCTCTCACCCAGGCTGGAGTGCAGTGGAGTGATCTTGGTTCACTGCAACCTCCACCTTCCGTGTTCAAGCGATTCCTGTGCCTCAGCCTCCCAAGTAGCTGGGATTGTAGGTCCGCACCACCACGCCCTGCTAATTTTTGTGTTTTTAGTAGAGACGGCTTCGCCATGTTGGCCAGGCTGGTTTTGAACTCCTGACCTCAGGTGATCCGCCAGCCTCGGCCTTCCAAAGTGCTGGGATTACAGGCGTGAGCCACCTCGCACCCGGCCAAATGAAATAAAATGCTAAAGTAAATTCAGGACTACCCCTCCTCCAAGTCTTCTGTCCCCTTTGGGCGCCCAGGTGAGCGGGGGAGGGGCTGGGGGAATAATAACATCAAAAGAGCGCCTTTTCCTCCCTTATTCCGAGGAGACTTTCCTGGGCCTGACTCCCGGTCCTGTCCCCAGCGCCCCGCGGCCTCTCGAGCCCCTTCAGTGACCAAGATGCAGAGATCAGGATGCCTTTGCACCACCCCAGGTGCCCACCCCTAGCTGGTTCCGCCTGGGCCCCGAGGGAAGGTGAGGTCGAGGGCCGGGCCGAGGCGTGGCATCCAGGGTGTGTGTCCGCTGGGCTTGCTGCCTCCGGCGGCCCGGCAGCACCGCCCCACCTCTGCCACCCTCCGATGGGGCCGCTACCTGTGCGCCTGCCAATCAAGCTGCTCCTGCGGCTCCCGTAGCTGCTGCTGCTGCTGCTTGAACCTGGCCCCAGGTCCGGCGAGGGTAAGTGAGGAAGGGGCTTTCCCGGAACTCAGGCGTTCCGGGATTCCTCCAGCCCTTCCTAGGGACCCAGCAGCCCTGCCTCCCATCCCTCTTCAAGTTCCTAGTTGCCCTAGAGCCCCCAGCTCGCTCTTCTAATGCTCACCCACACTCTGGGTCCCAGCCCTCTGCAGGGCCCCCCACTCACTCCTCCCAGGGACCCAGAACTAGCCCAGCCCTTCCCCGGGGCCACAGAGTCCTCTCCTGGCTCCCTCCCCTAACCGGCTGTGACCCTCTCCAGCAGCCCGGAAGCTTCCCGCTTGTCCTGATCTGGGGTCCGCGAACTTATCCTTCATTCCACCTATCCCTGAGATGTGAGACACCAGAGGGTGGGAGGAGCAGGGGCAGAAAGGGCCCGGCTTGGGGGTGGGAGAAGAATATATTGTGCCCCTGTACAACAAACCCCTGTGACCAAAAAAAAAATATAGATCATACTGTCCCTATCTCACTATCCATCATTTGGGGTCACTGTAGAGAGGTCTCCTGGGTGACTGCCCATTTCTGGGGTGCACAGATACATGTAGCCACAGAATACTATGCAGACACCGCCAGCACACAGATGCGCAGGCACAGGACCAGCCCCAGACTCACCTGGCCCTCAGGTGTGCAGCTCACGGTGTGCAGCTCCCACAGGCAAAAATACTGAGATACCGCTAGGGGGACACATGCACACACAGCTCAAGGATACCCGAGACAGCACTCAGGACAATTCAGATGTGCCGTGTATATACACACACACACACACACACACACACACACACACAGAGCAGCACAGACACACATATGTGCACATAGACCCTGGGGCTCACAGGATGCACAGACAACCCTGGCCCTCCCCGAGGAGGCTGCAGCGGGCAGACAGGGCAAACAGACCCCAGCGTGACCTGCCCCACCTATGTTGGCACAGAGGGAGTGTTTTGCTTGGTTATAAGCAGTGCTCATGCCTGCCCCATACCTAGAACCCTCCCTCTATAGGGCTGTTGCTAGGGCTCTGAGATACCAGAGTGTGGTCAGGGAGTGTGGCAGGGGAAACTTTGGGGACAGCTTCAGGGTACTGTGTTGGGACTGGGACATTGTCAGGGTGCTCAGAGTGGGCGTGTTCCCTGGGTCTTGGTGGATTTAGAGGTCGAGGGACCATTTCTGGAAGCTCACTGTGTGCCAGGGGAGCTTATATCAGAGATCTTTTTTTTTTTTTTAAGACAGTCTCACTGTTGCCCAGGCTGGAGTGCAGTGGCACCATTTCAGCTCACTGCAACCTCCACCTCCCGGGTCCAAGAGATTCTCCTGCCTCAGCCTCCTGAGTAGCTGGGACTACAGGCGTGCACCACCACACCTGGCTAATTTTTGTATTTTTAGTAGAGACGGGGTTTCACCATGTTAGCAAGGCTGGTCTCGAACTCCTGACCTCAGGTGATCCACCTGCCTTGGCCTCTGAAAGTGCTGAGATTACAGGCATGAGCCACTGCACTAGGCCAGAGATCTGCTCTGGAAGACCCCCCAGGCTGGAGGGCACTGCCACAAGCAGACAGTATGGCGAGGGTCCCTATGGCCACCTGGCAGGCAGGGTGGATTCTGGAGGGAGGTGGCCTGGGAGCAGGCTGAGGATGGGGTGAGGGCATTTGAGCAGCAGAGTGTCTGCGTGACCAGGCATAACTGGAGGAACAGTAAACAACTCTTGTGTGAGAGGATGAGGGAGGGGTGAGAGGGGCTGACTACCCCCAGGACTTGGGGTGCGTTGAGACTCCTTAGCTTTATCCAGACTCTTGGGAGCCATGGAGGTTTGAGGCAGAGGTGTGGGCTGCTGGGAGAGTGAGGACTCACCATCCAGAGAGGAAGGCGAAGCTTTCAACTCTAAATGCCGTTTTATTTTCGTGTTTTTTTTTTTTTTTTTTTTTTTGAGATGGAGTTTCACTCTCGTTGCCCAGGCTGGAGTGCAATAGCACGATCTCAGCTCACTGCAACCTCTGCCTCCTGGGTTCAAGCGATTCTCCTGCTTCACCCTCCCAAGTAGCTGGGATTACAGGTGCGTGCCACCATGCCTTGCTGATTTTGTATATTTATTAGAAACAGGCTCTCCCTCTCCCTCTCCCTCCCCACAGTCTCCCTCTCCCCCTCTTTCCACGGTCTCCCTCTGATGCCGAGCCGAAGCTGGACTGTACTGCTGCCATCTTGGCTCACTGCAACCTCCCTGCCTCATTCTCCTGTCTCAGCCTGCCGAGTGCCTGTGATTGCAGGCGCGCGCCGCCACGCCTGACTGGTTTTCGTATTTTTTTGGTGGAGACGGGGTTTCGCTGTGTTGGCCGGGCCGGTCTCCAGCTCCTAACCGCTAGTGATCCACCAGCCTCGGCCTCCCGAGGTGCTGGGATTGCAGACGGAGTCTCGTTCACTCAGTGCTCAATGGTGCCCAGGCTGGAGTGCAGTGCCGTGATCTCGGCTCGCTACAACCTCCACCTCCCAACCGCCTGCCTTGGCCTCCCAAAGTGCCGAGATTGCAGCCTCTGCCCGGCCGCCACCCCGTCTGGGAAGTGAGGAGCGTCTCTGCCTGGCCACCCATCGTCTGGGATGTGAGGAGCCCCTCTGCCTGGCTGCCCAGTCTGGAAAGTGAGGAGCGTCTCTGCCCGGCCGCCATCCCATCTGGGAGGTGAGGAGCGTCTCTGCCAGGCCGCCCATCGTCTGAGATGTGGGGAGTGCCTCTGCCCGGCCGCGACCCCGTCTGGGAGGTGAGGAGCGTCTCTGCCCGGCCGCCCCGTCTGAGAAGTGAGGAGACCCTCTGCCTGGCGACCGCGCCGTCTGAGAAGTGAGGAGCCCCTCCGCCCGGCAGCCACCCTGTCCGGGAGGGAGGTGGGGGTAAGCCCCCTCCAGGCCAGCCGCCCCGTCCGGGAGGGAGGTGGGGGGCAGCCCTCACGCAGCCGCCACCCCGTCCGGGAGGTGGGCACCTCTGCCCGGCCGCCCCATCTGGGAGGTGAGGAGCCCCTCTGCCCGGCCGCCACCCCGTCTGGGAGGTGTACCCAACAGCTCATTGAGAATGGGCCATGATGACGATGGCGGTTTTGTCAAATAGAAAAGGGAGAAATGTGGGGAAAAGAGAGAGAGATCAGATTGTTACTGTGCGTGTGTAGAAAGAAGTAGACATAGGAGACTCCATTTTGTTCTGTACTAAGAAAAATTCTTCTGCCTTGGGATGCTGTTAATCTATAACCTTACCCCCAACCCCGTGCTCTCTGAAACATATGCTGTGTCCACTCAGGGTTAAATGGATTAAGGGCGGTGCAAGATGTGCTTTGTTAAACAGATGCTTGAAGGCAGCATGCTCGTTAAGAGTCATCACCACTCCCTAATCTCAAGTACCCAGGGATACAAACGCTGCGGAAGGCCGCAGGGCCCTCTGCCTAGGAAAACCAGAGACCCTTGTTCACGTTTATCTGCTGACCTTCCCTCCACTATTGTCCTATGACCCTGCCAAATCCCCCTCTCCGATAAACACCCAAGAATGATCAATAAATACTAAAAAAAAAAAAAAAAAAAAAAAATTTTTGTGCCCTGCTACTGGCCTCAAGTGATCGTCCTGCCTCGGCCTCCCACAGTGCTCGGATTTCAGGTGTGAGCCACTGCGCCCAGCCCCAGCTGTGAATTTGTTTATAAAAACCCAGAGCATTGAAAGTTTTAAGAGACGGCCCGGGTAAGTCTTCAGTGCATCTCCTGCACATGCTCCACACCTGCGTTACACTAATCATGCCACTATCTCACTTCTCCAACCCTTTGAGCTTGCACTTTTTCCCTCTGCCTACATCAGTGCTTCTCAAATGTGGTAAAGGATCATTTAAAAAAAATTTCCAATCTAGACCAGGCATGGTGATGCATACCTGTAGTCCCAGTTACTTAGAAGGCTGAGGTGGGAGGATTGCTTGAGTCCAGGAGTTCAAGACCAGCCTGGGCAACACAGCAAGATCCCATGTCTTAAAAAAAAAAACCAATCTACTGTGGACCCATACTTATGTAAAACACAATAAGGCTGGGCGCGGTGGCTCACGCCTGTAATCCCAGCACTTTGGGAGGTGGAGGCGGGTGGATCACGAGGTCAGGAGATGGAGACCATCCTGGCTAACATGGCAAAACCCCGTCTCTACTAAAAAAAAAAAAAAAAATACAAAAATTTAGCCAGGCGTGGTGTTGGGCGCCTGTAGTCCCAGCTACTTGGGAGGCTGAGGCAGGAGAACGGTGTGAACCCGGGAGGCGGAGCTTGCAGTGAGCTGAGCTCGCGCCACTGCACTCCAGCCTGGGCGACAGAGTGAGACTCTGTCTCAAAAACAAACAAACAAAAAACAAGCAAACAAAAAACACAATAAACTTAAATGATCAGAAAATAACCACATGCTTAGATATCAGAGCAAAGGCCCAGTCTCTCAATGCACCCTCTTACTGATGGCACCTGTCTTGTTATGAACAGGTAACAGTGCATCCACACTGGTCTGGACCAGCTCTCCCTTCTCCCTGCCTGGTGAACCCTCAGGGTCCAACTGTCACTACTGTCTCCACTATGTCTTCCTGATGTTCCACCCCCGGTCACATCCTCAATACATCTGTGACTTTCTTTTTAAAACGGCGTCTCGCTTTGTTGCCCAGGCTGGAGAGCAGTGGTGTGATCTTGGCTCACTGCAACCTCCACCTCATGGGTTCAAGCGATTCTCCTGCCTCAGCCTCCCAAGCGGCTGCGACTACAGGCATGTGCCCCCATGCCCGGCTAATTTTTGTATTTTTAGTAGAGAGGGGGTTTCACTATGTTGGCCAGGCTGGTCTGAAACTCCCAACCTTGTGATCTGCCCACCTGGGCCTCCTAAAGTGCTGGGATTACAGGCGTGAGCCACTGCGACTGGCCTTTTAAAACACCCATTATAACTTATGTTACTATAATTTTCTGTTAAATGTCAAAAAGCAGCAGGCTCTTTGAGGTCAGGAACGTGTTCAATTCACCTCTTCATCTGAGCCTTGTGTCTGTCATGTGGTAGCAGCTCAGAAATATAATCAGCAAATGAATGGGCTCAACACACCTTTGTGGCAACAAGCAATCAACCAGAACAACTTTAAACAGACCTTTAGTGACTGAGGTGTGGTTTAGGACTTCAAGGTTGGATGGCCCAGGCGGGAAACAGAGTGGAGAGCTCAGTAGGCCGTCTGAGACTGCTGCTGGCGGTAGCCACCGCGGCGCATGTAGCCCTCGTTTTTGCGGTAGCCGTCCTTCTGGTCTGTAGGAGAGAGATGGGAAGGAAGGGCAGGGAATGCCAGGTGAGAGGCGGTGAGGGCACCAGGAGTGGGCAAGGAGAGGAGCCGAAGTACTCACCTCGGAAGTAGCCCCCGTAGGTGCCCTGCTTGTGGTCAAACACCCGTTCGTTGTTCTCCACCAGGCTGCCCAGCTTCTCGGCCAGCTGCAGAGCCAGGTTCTGCTGGGCAGTGGGCTCAGTGCGGTGCATCACCACTGTCTGTGTTGGCTGGTCCAGGGAGGCCTGACAGGCGCCAAGGCAGAGGAGGGGACACGACACAGATCAGGCCCCTCTGCTCCAATCCCTCCATGGCTCCACCTGCCCGCTTCCCACCCCGGCCCCTACGCTCCAATCCCTCCATGGCTCCACCTGCCCGCTTCCCACCCCGGCCCCTACCATCAGCTCCTCATTAATGATCATTTTGCTGATGATGGAGTGCACAGTGGGCAGATCCAGCTCAAACATGTCTGACAGCGTCTCCATGCTGGGAAGAAAGAAGGCAGAGGGCAGGGGCAGTCAGGACACTTGCCCACAAGGCTGGGGCCCTTCTGTGTCCCCAGGGCCCCGCCTACCTGATGGAGTCATAGACACTGCTGTAGGTGAAGAGGTAGGTCCTCAGTGACTCTTCCTGGATCTTCCTGTGGGAAGAGGGGACAGAAGACACAACAGGGCCTCAGGGAAGGGGACCAACCAGTCTCTTCTTCCCCGACCCATCACGGCCTCTCTGTCTGCTCACCTAACCAGCATGGTGCGGACTTTGTCAGCCTCGGGGAAAAGGTCCCACACTTTCCCATTCATCTTCTCATTGATGATAAAACTGTGACAGGTCTTCCAGTCACCCATCTTCATGGCCTTGGAGGCAGCGACCACATGTTCCCGCATGGACTCAGGGGGACCTGAAAGGGTGGGAATGAGGCAGGGCCTAGGGAACTTGGGACAAGTTCCATTAGCACTCTTTAAGGAGGAACAGAGGCTGGAGGAGCAAACCATACTAGAGACTCTCCCCGCCTCTCCACCAAACAGCCACGTAGTCGCCCAAGCCACTCCATCTGCACAAATGTTTGAACTCAATCAGTCCATAGATGCACTTCAGGGGACTGCCGAAACCCTCAAAAATGTTGACAAATTGTGCACATGTCCTCATGTACATTCTTCCTAGGAAAAAGGCCCATGGCTTTCATCAGATTCTCGTAAGCTTCCTTGACCTAAAAACACCTCTTCCAGCCAGGCGTGGTGGCTCACACCTGTAATAATCCCAGCACTTTGGGAGGCCAAGGCAGACGGATCATCTGAGGTCAGGAGTTGGAGACCAGCCTGGCCAGCATGGCAAAACCTCGTCTCTACTAAAAATACAAAAATTAGCCAGGCATAGTGGCACACGCCTGTAATCCCAACTACTCGGGAGGCTGAGGCAGGAAAATTGCTTGAACCCGGGAGGCAGAATTTGCAGTGAGCTGAGATCTTGCCACTGCACTCCAGCCTGGGCTACAGAGCGAGACTCTGTCTCAAAAAACAAAACAAAACAAAACCAAACCACCTCTTCCAGCTCAACTGGAATGGAATTTACCAACCCTTCCTCACTCACATCACCTTCATGAATGGTGCCATGCCCATGCATCAATTACACTGTTGCCAGCTTATTATTCTTCCAAGCAGCTCACTTCTTTTCCTTAAAAAACTTAGCCCCGGTCAAAATTATCTCTAAAATCACAAGTTTATATATTAATTATGAACTCAGGCCCCCAAATACAATCCTAAGACAAGCCAGGAAGGTAAGACATGGTACGCCATAGTAACTGGAATTCAGGGTAGACAAAGTGCAAAAGTTCTACGGCTAGAAATGGGTGGCAGACAGTGAAACACAAACACGCAGACTCCACAGCAAGAACGGCAAGCTCAATGCGAACGGGGATCAGGTCCAAATGGAACCATAGGAGCAGGGCTAAGTGTTAAGAGTGTAAGGAGAGGCACACAGCCCTCCTGGATGAACCTCCATTTTAACCATATTAACACTTGCAAAAGGCAAGGTTGGTCTGGGCGCAGTGGCTCACACCTGTAATCCCAGCACTTTGGGAAGCCGAGGTGGGCGGGCCACCTGAGGTCAGGAATTCGAGACCAGCCTGGCCAACATGAAGAAACCCCATCTCTACTAAAAATACAAAAAATTAGCTGGACATGGTGGCGGGGGCCTGTAGTCTCAGCTACTCGAGAGGCTGAGGCAGCAGAATCACTTGAACCCAGGAGGTGGAGGTTGCAGTGAGCTGAGACTGCGCCACTGCACTCCAGTCTGGGCAACAGTGAGGCTCCGTCTCAAAAAAAAAAAAAAAGAAAGAAAGAAAGAAAAAGGCAAGTTTAGGGGCTCAAAGAATATTTCTCTATAGGCCGAACAACAGTGCAGGGCTGATGGAAACTGGCTTTTGGAACCACTGTAGGGAGAAATTGAGAGGCAGGGACTGTGGAGAAGCAGACAGCCCTTTCCCATCGCTGCTACTTCAGCTCCAGCCAAGGCTAGCTCTGCAGGAAGGCAGGGCCAGGAGCGACAGACTGCCAATATTCTAAGACATGAAAATTCCGATTTTCATGGGAAATTTCCCCACAAAGTAAATCTCACTACATAAGCCAAACAAAATGTGCCTAAGGGAACCTGCCCTTTAGCCCAAACATATACATGACCAGGAGAGGACAAATCTGTAGGGGGATGTGGCTGTGGACACTGGGCTCAGCTCACTCGTCAAGCCCTCCTGTGGGCCAATGTCACAGGAAGGGCGCAGCTCAATTCCTTTCCAGTGAGTCACCACTCACTGCAACCCTGCAGGATCTGTCTTTCAAAAGGGGCCAAAGGAATCAACGTTAGCCTCTTGAACGATAAGGCTCTATGATAGTTGGTTTGGCTGGAATATAATGTACATGAAGGGAAGAAAAGGGAAAGAAAGATCAGAGGTACACATGAGCTGCATTAAACTCGGGCAAGTCACTTAACTACTCTGTGCCTCAGTTTCTCCACTGGGAAAAAGGGTATTACTAGTACCTACCGGCATAGGGTTATTACTAATGCAGATTAAATAATTATTTGTAAAACACTTAGCACAGTGCCAGGCAGAGGAGGTGTCATTAAATCAGATGGAGTCGAGTGGTGGGAGAGTTACTCCCTTCACTTCTCTTAATCCTTATGTGTAATCAGGGAGCAAGGCAGCCTGCTGAACCCTGGAGCTCCACACTCACCCAGCAGGGGCTGTCGCTCGCCCACGCGCAGCTGGTGGTGGAACTGCTTGCTGATCATGCGTCGGCGGGCATCGCTCTCATGGGCGGCCATGTAGGGGATCTCCAGGAGCATGGCAGACACCAGGTAGACACACTCCAGCAGCTCCAGGTTGATGTGCAGGTGGAAGGGGACCTGACGGCGCCGCTCCACCTTCTCCTGCTCCTGGTTGCGCTCCTGCAGGCTGCGCAGCAGCAGGCCCTGGCCCAGAAGCTCCTTGGCTCGGCCACTCGACTGGATGTCCAGCAGGGCGTTGTGTGCGTCCTTGGTCAGGCCTTGGCGGAAGGCACAGATGCCCAGCTGCACCATGGTGCGGTTGTAAAGGATCTGGGGGCAAAGGGTCATAATGCACTCAGAGATGACAGCTGCAAGACAAGTCTTCATTTATTCCATAACTAAGCCGGGTGCAGTGGCTCACGCCTGTAATCCCAGCACTTTGGGAGGCTAAGGTGGGAGGATCACTTGAGCCCAGGGGTTCAAGATGGGCCTGAGCAACATGGAGATACCCCATCGCTAAAGATAAAAAACAAAAACAAAACTAAACAAATCTACTTCAAGTGCCTACTATGTGCTGAGCACTAGGCTGGGGAGGGAGAGCAAAACAGACAAGTCCCCAGTCTGCATGGAGCTTATGTCTAGGGGTGGGGTGTGGTGGGCAAGAGAGCTGCACTACAAGGATGGTGACTCATGCTGAGAAGAAAAATAAAGCAGAGGACGGAGCCAGGAAGGCAGTCTGCGCAGTGGTGGAGGCTCAAATGTTCATATAACTACAGAAGGCCTCATTGGGAAAGAATGTTTGAATAAAGACCTAAAGAGAGAGCAAGTCATGCAGGCATCTGGGGAAAGAATATCCTATAAAAAGGAAAAATAAACGCAGTGATCCTGTGGAAGAACCGGGCCAGGCATATTCAAGAAACAAGGGGCGCAACACAGCTAGGGCTGGGAAAAGATGCCACCACAAGCTGGGGGATGGGCGAGCACCAGCCATTTATGAGTTTTTTTTTTTTTTTTTTTTTGGAGACGGAGTCTCACTCTGTCACCCAGGCTGGAGTGCAGCGGTGTGATATTGGCTCATTGTAAGCTCCGCCTCCCGGGATCACGCCATTCTCCTGCCTCAGCCTCTCCGAGTAGCTGGGACTACAGGCGCCCGCCACCACGCCCGGCTAATTTTTTGTATTTTTAGTAGAGACAGGGTTTCGCCGTGTTAGCCAGGATGGTCTCGATCTCTTGACCTCGTGATCCACCCGCCTCGGCCTCCCGAAGTGCTGGGATTACAAGTGTGAGCCACCGTGCCTGGCCTTGTTATGAGTTTTAAGACAAGAAACCATGGGAAGGTTTTGAGCAAACAGGTAATATGATCTGACATAACTGAACAGGGTTAATCTGTATTATGAACAGAACAAAGGGACTGAAGGGACACAAAGGCAGATGATGGTGGCTTAGAGCAGAGGGTACAAGCAGAAGTGACAGAAGTGTTCTCATAATGGACTGTAAACAGGAATGGCTGGGGAATCAGATACAGTATATGAGGGAAAAGTTCAAATCAAGAATGACTCCAAGGTTTCTGGTCTAAGCAACTGGGAAGAGGGACTTGGCACTAATTAAGACAGGGGAGACGGTAAGTGGTACAAATCTTGGGGGAAAAGGCTAAGTGTAGCCATAACAACAAAAATGTGGAGATCAATACCAGTCATAAGCTTACATGCAAAAAGCCTTAAAAATGTTAGCGACAGAATCCAGCAATATATAATATAAAAGAGACAATATACATGACCAAACTGGATATACTTCAGGAATAAAAGGTTGGTATAAAAATGTAATGAACTCGGCTGGGCGTGGTGGCTCATGCCTGTAATCCCAGCACTTTGGGAGGCTGAGGTGGGTGGATCGTGGGGTCAGGAGTTCAAGAGCAGCCTGCCCAATATGGTGAAACCCCGTCTCTACTAAAAATACAAAAGTTAGCCGGGTAGTGGTGATGTGCACCTGTAATCCCAGCTACTCGAGAGGCTGAGGCAGGAGAATTGCTTGAGCCTGGGAGGCAGAGATTGCAGTGAGCCGAGATCGCGCCACTGCACTCCAGCTTGGGTGACAGAGTGACACCCTTTTTCAAAAAACAAAAAACACACAATAATGAACTCACAGTTATTCATTATATGAATAGAATGAAGGAGAAGTAACCGGGTATTTCTTTTCTTTTTGAGACAGTCTTGCTCTGTTGCCCAGGCTAGAGTGCAGTGGCGTGATCGTGGCTCCTGCAGCCTCGACCTCCTGAGCTCAAGCAATCCTACCTCAGCCTCCTGAGTAGGTGGGACTACAGGCGTGCACCACTATGCCTGACTAGTTTCTGTATTTTTTGTAGAGACAGGGTTTTGTTATGTTGCACAGCAATGAAGATAGTATGGGACTTGCATAAGGACAGACAAAAAGGTAAATGAATGGGACAGAGGGAATGACCTGAAAAACACCTACTCTTATAGGTAATGTGGTTTTTCATATTGTTTTCCACAAAGACACCAAAGCAATACAATAGGGGAAAGGAAGTCTTTTCTACAAATGATGCTAGAACAACTAGGTATCCATATGGAGGAAAAAGAAACCCTGATCCCAACCTCAGCAGATGCAAAAATCAAACCAAGACCAACTATAAGACTAAATGTAAAAGCTAACACCCATAGCAACTTACAAAAAAAAAAAAGAGAGAAATTTAAAAAGTCTTCATGAATTTCAGTTAGGCAAAGGTTTTTTAGACAGGATCCAGAAAATAATTACTATAAAAGAAAAAACTGGGCCGGGCGCAGTGGCTCATGCCTGTAATCCCTGCACTTTGGGAGGGTGAGGCGGGCGGATCATGAGGTCAAGAGATCGAGACCATCCTGGCCAACACAGATACTAAAAAATAAAAAAAATTAGCTGGGCATGGTGGTGGGCGCCTGTAGTCCCAGCTACTCGGGAGGCTGAGGCAGGAGAATTGCCTGAACCTGGGAAGCAGAGGTTGTAGTGAGTCGTCAAGATCGCGCCACTGCACTCCAGCCTGCCGACAGAGCGAGACTCCGTCTCCAAAAAAAAAAAAAAAAAAAAATTCTGACACAGGACTAGCTATCCAGGATAGATAAGGCACTCCTACAACTCAATAAAGTGAACAATCCAATTGTTTTAAATGGGCAAGAACTGACTAGATATTTATTATTTCATGAAAGATAAATGGCCAATAAACATAAAAAAGTAAAAAAGTAGCCAATATCAATAGTCACCAGGGAAATGCAAACTAACACCACAATGAGATACCATTAGACAACCAACTAAAATTTAAAAGACCTTTGAGTGGCCGGTTGCGGTGGCTCATGCCTGTAATCCCAGCACTTTGGGAGGCTGAGGTGGGTGGGTCACCTGAGGTTCAAGACCAGCCTGGCCAACATAGTGAAATCTTGTCTCTATTAAATATACAAAAATTAGCCTGGTGTGGTGGCACGTGCCTATAATCCCAGCTACATGGGATGGTGAGGGAGGAGAATGGCTTGAACCTGGGAGATGGAGGTTGTAGTGAGCCAAGATTGCACCACTGCACTCCAGCCTGGGCAACAGAGCGAGACTCTGTCTCAAAACACACACACACACACACACACACACCCCTAAAAGATACACACACACACACCCCCTAAAAGATACACACACAACCCCTAAAAGATACACACACACCCCCTAAAAGAGACACACACACACCCCTAAAAGATCTTTGAGACCAGCCTGGGCAACATAGTGAGACCCTGTCTCTACAAAAAATAAAAAATTAGCCAGGCATGGTGGCACATGCCTGTAGTCCCAGCTATGGTGGCACATGCCTGTAGTCCCAGCTACTATGGAGGCTGAGGTGGGAGGATCACTTGAACCTGGGAATTTGAGGCTACTGCGGGCCATGATCATGCCACTACACTCAGTCTAGGTGACAGTGCAAGACCCTGCCTCAAAAAACAAAAACAAAAAAAAGTTTAAAAGACCAATACCACCGCCGGCATGATGGCTCACTCCTGTAATCTCAGCACTTTGGGAGGCTGAGGCAGGCAGATCACTTGAGGTCAGGAGTTTGAGACCAGCCTGGCCAACATGGTGAAACCCTATCTCTACTAAATTACAAAAATTAGTCGGAAGTGGTGGCGGGCACCTGTAATCCCAGCTACTCGGGAGGCTGAGGTAGAATCGCTTGATCCTGGGAGGTGGCAGTTGCAGTAAGCCAAGATTGCACCACTGCACTCCAGCCTTGGCGACAGAGCGAGACTCCCTCTCAAAAAAAGACCAACACCACCAAAAGTTGACAAGGAACTCCCAAACACTAGCAGGAGTGTAAAATGGTATAACCACTTTTGAGTTTCTTACAAGAATGTTCACAGCAGCTTCATACATTAGAGCCAAAAACTGGAAATAAACTGGGTGTCCGCCAAGAGGAAAACAGACACAGTGATATGTTCATACCATAGAATAGAAACACAAACAGGAGGGCTGTTTAAAAACCAGCAGTACCCCCAGACAGGTTCACCAGGTGCTCTACACATAAACATTTCCTAGTTGCCTCAAATATACTTTTACATGATCTACACTTCCAGACACAGCTTTTTTTTTTTTTTGAACAGTCTTGCTCCATTACCCAGGCTGGAGTGCAGTGGCACAACCTCGGCTCACTGGAACCTCTGCCTCTTGGGCTCAAGCACTACCAAGCCTGGATAATTTTTTTTTTTGACACGAAATTATGTGTTTACATGCAGGAGGACTGCAGGATGCTGGCAACTGGGAAAGACCAAGTGTCTACTTAAATTTGCACCGGCCAGACAGGTGGCTGTTCTGGTTAAGCCAGTTTGCCAAGAGGCCAGGGGCCTGGCACTCCTTCACCTCCAAGGCCTCCCCATCCTACCTGCACTGGCGGGTCTGCATGCTGAATGTTGTCCTGCAAGTGGCTCATGAGCATGAGGTCGCGGGCCTGGTACCAGCGCGAGTGCAGAGCATGGTGGTAGATGTGGCAGAGGATGGCACATGTGCGGATCCGGTCTGTGCGGTCCTTGGCGTAGATGTACTTGCACAGTCTCTCCATCAACACAGCCGAGTCCTCGCCCTCATTTTCTGCCTGGTCTTGCTCAGACTGGGGAGGAAGGGAGGTTATTTGCAAAGGAGATCCAGCTTTAAAAGGCACAGGCTCTAGCAACTAAAGATGAGACTCTATCCAGTCTCATTCTAATACCTCAGTTTCCCTCCCTGCTCCACCTGCGGAAGTCTAGAGAGTAACAGATTTGCTGTCAAGTCCTGACAGAAGTGGAGGACAGGTGGACACACCCATTCCCCTCTGCCATGACTGCCACGTGCTCACCTTTGAGGAGCCCTCAGGCGGGGTCAGCTGTCGCTGATGGGCCTTGTAATCAAACTTGTAGTAGGTGTGCAGGATGCGCAGCAGGTAGATGCGGCAGACCTCCTCGGTAGTGCCCTTCTCCTCCAGGTAGCGCTGCACACGCTCGATGATGGCACACACCTGGGCCTCATCCTTCAAGTGCTCCACGTACTCTGGCAGGGAGAGCACCCACCCTTGTCTCAGCTGGGCAGCCAGGCTTTCCCATCTGTCCCCACTCATTCCAATCAACCCGTCCCTCTTCTGCACCCGTCAGAAAAGTCTAGTCAGTGTGCCCCAGAAAGGCCATCTCCCACTCCCAGGACCCAGAACCTTCCAGTCCCACAGCTTAGGAAAAAAATCCCAACTGCCAACCTCTGCCAATAAGGGTCTGCCAGGCCTGGCCCTTGCCTGGTCTCCCACGATTCTCCCTCTGGCTTCCTGTGCTGGAGTCCCACTGGCCTTTTTACTCCTGGAACATCAAGCTCGCTCTCTGCTCCTCCTGTCAGGCGCTGTCTTCAGCTGATTCTTCCCCTAACTCCTCCTCATTGGATCTCACCTCAGGTGGTCCCTACTTAAGGGTGCTTTCTCCAGCTGTTAGCTACAGCAGCCACCCCTCCAGCCACTTCTTACCACAGGGCCCTAGTTTAACTCTGAACTTTATATCATCTAGAATTATTATTATTATTTTTTGAGATGGAGTTTCACTCTTTCGCCCAGGCTGGAGTGCAGTGGTGTGATCTCAGCTCATTGCAACCTCTGGCCCGCTGGGCTCAAGGGATTCTCCTGCCTCAGCCTCCCACATAGCTGGGATTTACAGGCACCTGCCACCATGCCTGGATAATTTTTGTATTTGAGTAGAGCCAGGGTTTTGCCACGTTGGCCAGGCTGGTCTCAAACTCCTGACCTCAGGTGATTCACACACCTCGGCCTCCCAAAGTGCTAGGATTACAGGCGTGAGCCACTGCACCTGGCCCAGAATTATCTTAACATCATACTATTTTTTTTTTTTTTTGAGATGGAGTCTTGCTCTGTCGCCCAGGCTGGAGTGCAGGGGTGTGATCTCGGCTCACTGCAAGTTCCGCCTCCTGGGTTCATGCCATTCTCCTGCCTCAGCCTCCCAAGTAGCTGGGACTATAGGCGCCCAGCACCACGCCTAATTTTTTTTGTGTGTGTGTGTGTATTTTTAGTAGAGATGGGGTTTCACCGTGTTAGCCAGGATGGTCTCAATCTCCTGACCTCGGGATCCGCCTGCTTCGGCCTCCCAAAGAGCTGGAATTACAGACGTGAGCCACCACGCCCGGCCATATCTTACTACTATTATTTTTCAATCTGCCTTTCTCCATCCAGCACAAAAGGTAAGCTTTTGGCTGCCTTGTTAATCACTACACCCTTGACTTGATGGGCACATTCACACTTTTACTGAGTAAACTATGCTGCACTTTCACACCCCAATGCCTCTCATCCAAGCTAAACAAGAGAAGTGAATAGATGCCTTACCCCAAAGGTTCTCAAAGTATAGCCCTGAGACCAGCAACCTGGGAGCAGGCTAGAGGTGCAGGTTCTCAAGCCCCACTCAGACCTATGGAATCAGAAACGATGGGACTGGGAGCCAGCATCTCATCAGGCCCTTCCGTGTGAACGCTAGGTAAGTTGAAAGGCTGGCTTTTCAAGCACTCTGACTTAGTATAATCCTCACAAAGCTCTAAACCTAGTAATATTCCCCACAATTTTCCTCTCAGCAAAGCCCACGCTTGCTCAGGCTCACCTTGGGAGTGAGGGTCAGTATTTTGCATTATTTTGGTAAATTCTTCATCCATTCGTTCCACCAGAGTTAGGATGCAGCCACGGACACGCAGTGGCTGAAAAGGAAGGCGAAGGAGGAGTCAACAAATTAGCCCAGATCTCAGTCTCAAACCTCAACCCTCGGGTCCCACTGAGCCTTCCCAAAGCATAAAATACACACCTCCAGTTATCCTGCCAACTCCTCCCTTTACCTGGTCAGCGTTGTGCAGGTTCTCACTCTCTTCCAGAATATTCTCTCCAACAAAAATGTTGGGATTTGCAAACAGGATATCCATCAGCTCATTGATGCAGTCCAGGCACTTCCCCCACATCTCTGGCTGCCAAGATTTCAGGCCACATCAGAGTCAGAGGTGTGAAGGTAGAGTAAGCGGATGCCTCCCCCTTCAGCAGGAATCATGGGGCCTTCCACCACCAAGACTGCCTCCATAGCCCCTGAGTCTTAAGATGCTAGGTACCTTCTTCCCCCAACCCACCAGCGATGCCCTGAGATGAGCCTCTTCACTGCTCTCACCTTCATGTAGGTTGCCAGGTTGGGGTTGTAGTCATAGAGAGAGGCGATGATATTGAACTTGATCTTGACAATGACGCCCTCTCCCAGGTTGTTTTCCGCTGCAATCTGAACCAGCAGTTGCAGCAGCTCAATCTGGGCAGCACTAGAGGGCCAGAGAGCTGGGTGAGGCTTTGGAGACAAATCACAAAGTCTCTCCCAGCATGCCCGCTTCGGATAACGCGCCCTCCTCATCACCCATATCCCTGCTTCTCCTTTATAAATTCCAAACAGAAGCAACAATAATCCCAACCATCCTGGAATGCTGTGAAATGCTTCACACCTACCACCATCCTCTGTTACCTAATAACTAAAGAAGGTAAACACTCTTTTACTTTTTTAATCTTAAAAAAAAAAAAAGCCAGGTGTGGTAGCTCATGCCTGTAATCCCAGCACTTTGGGAGGCTGAGGCAGGCGGATCACTTGAAGTCAGGAGTTCGAGACATGGTGAAACCCCATCTCTACTAAAAGTACAAAATCAGCCAGGGATGGTGGCGGGTTCCTGTAATCCCAGCTACTCAGGAGGCTGAGGCAGGAGAATCGGTTGAACCCAGAAGGCAAAAAGGTTGCAGTGAGCCGAGATCGCGCCAGTGCACTCCAGCCTGGGCAACAACGAGACTCCATCTCAAACAAAAAAAAAAAAAAAAAAAAAAAGAGGAGAACATTATCTCATTGTATAGATGGGAAAACAGATCCAAAACGTTAAGTGATTGGTTTTAAGTCACAAGAAGAGTAAACAGCAGATAATGGACGGGGATGCCCCAAGCATACAATTCCCTCTACTACAGCCACACACAGACCCTCCCAACAATCCCTTCCCCCAACCTCCACCCTCTGCCACCCTGCAATCCCACTGCCCAGGCCCACGAATCTTACCGATCAGTTCCCTTCTTGCCTCGTGCCTGTAGGATCTCATTCAGTTTCTTGATAACAACAGCATGGGTGATCTCAGTTCCCTTGGCAAACATTTTTGGCTTCTCCTGTATCAGTACATATCCCGTCATGTACATGCCAGCGGGAAACTGTCCTTGCCTTTTCCCCACAAGGGGACCTTTATGTCCTCCCAAACTGTTCCCCAATTCATTTTACCTCTGAAACCCTCACCTTAACCAACGGCACTCCGCCCCGGACCCTTTCCCACTCCCCGCCTTCATTGTCCTCCTCCTCCTCCTCATCCAGGCGCTTGGATTTCCTGTCGTGCTTCTTCTTAGCTTTGTCCTCCCGTTTCTTCTCGGCTGCCTTCTTGTCCTCATCTGTGGTGGGTGCCCTGCCGACAGACATGGGAGAAGATGACAGATCAGCCCCTCCCCACCTCTAAGGCTTCTTCCTCCCATCAACTTCCTCTTTTCCTCCAGCAGCTCCTGGGTCCAAGTTATGCTCTACAACAATGACCTAGAGGGCACAGTGAACCATAACCATAGCCATCTCTAACAAGACAGAGTACTAACCAGGCCACTGTAGACATATTAATAGAAACAACCTGTCAGCTAAGCATGGTAGATCACTTGATGTCAGGAATCCAAGACCAGCCTGGGCAACATGGTGGAACCCCATCTCTACTAAAAGTACAAAAATTAGCCAGGCATGGTGGTGCACGCCTGTAGTCCCAGCTACTTAGGAGGCTGAGGCACGAGAATCACTTGAACTTGGGAGGCAGAGAAGGCTGCAGTGAGCCACAATCATGCCACTGCACTTAAGCCGGGGTGACAGAGCAAGACTCAGTCTCCAAAAAAACAAAACAAAACAAAACAAAAAAAAACCAACCTGTCATTTTGCTCCAAAGCTAACATCTACAGTTTTCCAAAGAATCCACAAACAACTTATTTTCTTTGATACCAGCTGCTTTCTCCAGACTGACCAACTAATCAATGAATCAGTTCCCCCAAATATATAAAAACATTTTTTTCTTTTTTACTATTCCTAAACTGTTTTATCGCTTTCTCTCCTCTCTTGACAACCGATTAATCTAAATTCTGAATTTTAAAAAAATGTTCATTACAAAAAAGGTCCCCACAAAACAGAAAAAGATCACCAGCTACCTTAAAATGGTCTTAGGCTACTGGATGTTGCCTGAAACCATCTCCAGACTTGAGTATGTATTTATGTAACAAAATACAAACCAAATGGCAAAGACAAATTACTTCAAACTTTGCACAGATACTGAAGAATAAATCTTTCCAGAAAGACTCAACATTTTTGAAAACTCATATGTAATAACCATAATCTACCATTTGAACATTTATAAATAAATTTCATTTTCACTGCTTAAAAGGTTTGAATATGTTTTTGGAATAGTCTATAAGTTTACCAGTTAAATTAAGTCTTCCCTTGCCAGAAGACCAATGCCATAACTCTCAACAAAAGTGTATGGACTGGCCAAGCACGGTGGCTCAAGCCTGTAATCCCAGCACTTTGGGAGGCCGAGGTGGGCGTATTGCTTGAGCCCAGGAGTTTGAGACCAGTCTGGGTGACAAGGTAAAAAGCCCGTCTCTATTAAAAACAACAACAACAACAACAACAACAACAACAAAAGCTTATGGATCTTTCCCCTGTACCACTGCAAGACTCTAATGATGACTCACTTTATAGGTAAAATCCTTTGCAAATATGCAAAGCATGTTCATTAAACTAAAACCTCTTGGTCCAAACCATCTGTATAGCTCTGAGATCAGAAGAACTAAAGCTATTTTTTAAAATGAATGCTTCAAAAGAACTTAAACTTCCTTGGCTAAAGTATTACTTCTAGCACTAAAGATAGTATGATACACACCTCAAAAGGGAAATGTACTATTGTATGAAATTCTAACTGAAAGACCTAAGACTTGGCTTGACCTCTCCTATGACAGATTATACTCTGGTATATTCATATCTTGTTAGAAATTATCAGATAACAAATGTTTATATCCTCAGCTATATAATCAACAGATAAAAGCAACATTTCTAAACGAGTATTACCTCTACTTAATACATAGTTAAGAGACTAAAAACTCATTATTGAGAGACACCAACGGAAGTCAGGCCTAACTACACTGCAGAGGACCACACCATTTTCCCATGCCTTCCCAACCACAACTACTGATGGAAAGCCCTAGATGTATACCCTTGCTTAGGATCCTAACTCGGACATTCAGTCTCACTAGAGATCCTGGGGTTCACTTAAAAAACAAAAACAAAAACAAAAAAACGCCTCCAGAATCAGGTAACTCTTAGAAGTAGACAGCAGCTCTGTAAGAGTTCACAGGTCGCTGGGCGCAGTGGCTCACGCCTGTAATCCCAGCACTTTGGGAAGCCGAGGCAGGCAATCAAGAGATAAGGAGATCGAGACCATCCTGGCTAACACGGCGAAACCCCGTCTCTACTAAAAATACAAAAAATTAGCCAGGCGTGGTGGCACGTGCCTGTAATCCCAGCTACTTGGGAGGCTGAGGAGAACTGCTTGAACCAGGGAGGCGGAGGTTGCAGTGAGATGAGATTGCACCACTGCACTCCAGCCTGGGCAACAGAGCAAGACTCCATCTAAAAAAAGAAAAAAAGAAAAAGAGTTCACAGGTCAATCATGACATCAGGTATAGATGAACTTCCCCCTAATACCTTCAGATCACCATAAGACAACAGATGGCCTTATCCCACATCAAAGAGGCTGAAGCTCATGAGAATAAACCCACTCCTTTACAAGCTTGTTTTGACCAAAAGATGAAGGCTGAGAAATGCTGATGATGGAAAGGGTATATTTAGACTGGCTGAATCTGGAGTTGCTGAAAACCCTTACTGGCAGAGGGCCTATCGTGTTTTCTAGAGCATCCACCAACCCTGGGTGGCATACTCAAGGAGAGTTAATATCAGAGTTTACACAGAAAAACGGGCAAACAGAATCCACTGTTCTGTGGTTTTGCCCTCTCTCCTTGTTCCTCTTTCTCCTATATAAATCCTGCTTTTGCTCGGTTGGAAATTAATCTGAAAATCTGTCTCCCTTGTTACACAAGTGAAATAGTGTCTGTGAATTATTCTTCTACACTACAAAGCCACAAACTCTCAATGTCAAAAAGATTCTGACACTTGAAATTCTAACTTTATTTTCTCAAGGGTTTTCCTCAGAACATTGATTCAACTAATTTTAGACTATTCTGATTAGGTATACAAGTTAGTTTACAGGTTAACAAAAAAAAATTTGGCTGGGTGCGGTGGTTCACGCCTGTAATTCCAGCACTTTGGGAGGCTGAGGTGGGCAGATCACGAGGTCAGGAGATCGAGACCATCCTGGCTAACACAGTGAAACCCCGTCTCTACTAAAAATACAAAAAAATTTAGCTGGGCATGGTGGCAGGTGCCTGTAGTCCCAGCTACTCAGGAGGCTGAGGCAGGAGAATGGCGTGAACCCGGGAGGCGGAGCTTGCAGTGAGCCGAGATTGCGCCACTCACTGCATTCTAGCCTCGGCAACAGGCTAGTGTCTCAAAAAAAAAAAAAAAAAAATTCAAGAATAACCTCTAAAAGCATAGCACGTCTAACTCCCAAACCAGCAGAAAAAAACAAAATGAATAATAAGAAAATATATATAACTAGAAACGGGGAAAAAAAAAAGAGGATGAGAAAATACATGTAGGCTAGGTGTGGTGGCTCATGCCTGTAATCCCAGTACTCTGGGAGGCTGAGGCGAGCGAATCATCTAAGGTCAGGAGTTCAAGACCAGCCTGGCCAACATGCTGAAACCTCATCTCTACTAAAAATATAAAAATTAGCTGGGCGTGGTGGTGCTCACGTGTAGTCCCAGCTACCCAGGAGGCTGAGGCCTGAGAATCACTTGAACCCAGGAGGCAGAGGTTGCAGTGGGCCAGGATTGCACCGCTGCATTCCAGCCGGGGCAACACAGTGAGACTCCTTCTCAAAAACAAAAACAAAAAACACACAAATAAAAGAAAAATAAAATACAGGCTGAATATCCCTTATCTGAAATGCTTAGAACCAGAAGTGTTTCAAATTTCAAATAATTGCATATATATAATGGGGTATCTTGGGAAGGGCTCCAAGTCTAACTATGAAATTTGTGTGTTTCATCTACACCTTATACAAACAGCCTGATGGCAATTTTACATAGTATTTTAAATAATTTTGTGCATGAAACAAAGTTTTGACTGCAACCTGTCACATGAGGTCAGATGTGGAATTGTCCACTTATGGTGCTCCAGAAGTTTCAGACTTTGGAATTAGAGATGCCCAATCTTTAGAAGACAGAATGAATTTCAAAATAATTATGATTAAAGAAACTACCCCCTCCAAATTATATACCGTTGATTCCATTTACATAAAATTCTAGAAAATGCTAACTTACCTAGTGACAGAAAGCAAATTAGTGGTTGCCCAGGGATAGGGTGAGGAAACTGAGGCAGGGAGAAGTATTACAAAGGGGAAGGTGGAAATGTTTAGGTGTGAAATTTTTAGGATATTATGTTTTGATTGTGGTGAGTTCTATGGGTGTAAACATATGTCACAACTTATTAAATTTAACTTTAAGGCTGGGTGCGGTGGCTCATGCCTGTAATCCCAGCACTTAGTGGAAGGCCGAGGCGGGTGGATCACGAGGTCAGGAGATCGAGACCATCCTGGCTAACATGGTGAAACCCTGTCTCTACTAAAAGTACAAAAAATTAGCCAGGCGTGGTGGCGGGTGGCTGTAGTCCCAGCTACTCAGGAGGCTGAGGCAGGAGAATGGTGTGAACCCGGGAGGTGGAGCTTGCAGTGAGCCGAGATTGCACCACTGCACTCCAGCCTGGGCGACAGTGCAAGACTCTGTCTCAAAAAAAAAAAAAAAAAAAAAAACTTTAAACAAGTGCAGTTATTGTATGTCATGTACACCTCAATAAAGCTATTACAAAATTTAAAATAAAGAGGATAAACAGAAAGTATAAGATACCATAAAATGGTAAGAATAAATGCATTGATAACCACAATAGGCTGGGCGCAGTGGCTCACGCCTGTAATCCCAGCACTTTAGGAGGCCCAGGCAGAAGGGTTACTCGAGCCCAGGAGTTCGAGACCATCCTGGGCAACAGGGCAAGACCCCATCTTGATAAAAACTAATTATGTAGACACATATATAAATAACCATCATATATATGTAAATAACTATAATAAACGTAAATGAACTAAATTGCCAGAGAAGCAGAGATCAAGTTCTGGCGGTCATTGCACAATGTGAACGTACTAAATGCCACTGATTTGTATACCTGAAAATGGTTAAAATGGGAAATGTTATGTATCACAATAAAAGAAAAAAAAAGCAGAGATTTTATGAGATTAAAAAAAAAACAAACCAAAAACCTAGCTGTGCTTAAGAGACACTCTTTTTTTTTTTTTTTTTTTTTTTTCCTGAGACGGAGTCTTGCTCTGTTGCCCAAAGCTGAAGTGCAATGGCGCGATCTCGGCACACTGCAACCTCCGCCTCCCGGGTTCAAGCAATTCTCCTGCCTTAGCCTCATGAGTAGCTGGGACTACAGGCGCAGGCCACCACACCGGGCTAATTTTTTTGTATTTTTAGTAGAGATGGGGTTTCGCCATGTTGGCCAGGCTGGTCTCGAACTCCTGACCTTGTGATTTGCCTGCCTCCGCCTCCCAAAGTGCTGGGATTACAGGCGTGAGCCACCACGCCCAGCCAAGAAACACTCTTAATCATACAGCATGGCAGAGTTAAAAATAAAAGGACAGGAAACGTCCTTTTCATAAACATCCTTTATCAGGTAGAGGGAAGCTCCCTTCTATTCCTAGCTTCAGTCTTTTATCATGAAAGAATATTAGGATTTTTTTCAAATGCTTTTTTTTGCATCTGCTGAGATGACTCTACGGCTTTTGTCTGTTATTCTATTGATATAGTATATTAGTTGATTTTCATATTAAAACATCCTTCTATTATTGGGATAAATCCTCCTTGTTATTAAATTTTTTTTTAAAACTTTTTTGGGAGATGAGCCCACCCATCCTCCATCCCCCTACAGGCAAGGAGGGGGTGCTCCCATATAATCCTTATTGTATGTTGCTGTGTTTGGTTTTCTACTATGTTGTTAAGAACTTTTGAGTCTGTATTTATAAAAGTATAGCTTTATAGTCTTAGAGTTTTTTTTGTTTTGTTTCGTTTTCTGAGACAGAGTCTTGCTCTGTCGCCCAGACTGGAGTGCAGTGGCACGATCTCGGCTCACTGCAACCTCTGCCTCCCAGTTCAAGCGATTCTCCTGCCTCAGCTTTCCGAGTAGCTGGGACTACAGGCGCCTGCCACCATGTCTGGCTAATTTTTTGTATTTTTAGTAGAGACTGGGTTTCACTGTGTTAGCCAGGATGGTCTCGATCTCCTGACTTCGTGATCTGCCCGCCTCGGCCTCCCAAAGTGCTGGGATTACAGGCGTAAGCCACCGTGCCCAGCCTTGATGTCTTAAGTTTAATTTTAGGCCCCATTTGCTCCCTCAGACAGGAGCCTTTGTGTAACACACATGTGCAGTGCACATCACACACCGGAGTCCACACAATGGGAGACTTCAATACACAATTATTCAAAGACAAAAACACAAAGTACAGTAGATATAAAAGACCTGAACCAATAGTAACGCTGATAGTTCTGTAAGATGTCAACAGGTTAAAAAAACGAGTTTCATGATCAAGCAAGTTTTTGAGATGGTTAATAAAACAAAGTTAGGTATATTTATTCTCATGGAACTTTCCAGAGGTGGTTGTAAACCCTCCAAGAAGGGGTGTGATAGACAATGTGGCCCAGACCTTGACCAGTGTTCCCTGAAGCACTGGACAAAAAAGGCCTTCTCAACAAAATGCCCACCAAGTAAGTTGTTCAGCCTCTCTAGACCTCTAGAGGGCTGGAAACTCACTACCTCCCTAAAGCAGCACGACCACAACTTTTAAACACAGGAAAGCAACCTTGAGAGCAATAATCTTCCCATTAAAAGGGTACTATTTGTCTGGGTGCAGTGGCTCACGCCTATAACCCCAGCACTTTGGGAGGCTGAGGCGGGAGGATCGCTTAAGCCCAGGAGTTCAAGATCAGCATGGGTAACATGGTGAAATCTTGTCTGTATTAAAAACACAAGAATTAGCCGGATGTACTGGAGTGTACCTGTAGTCCCAGCTACCCAGGAGCCTGAGGTGGGAAGATCACCTGAGCCCAAGAGGTTGTGGTTGCAGTGAGCCAAGATTGCATCACTACACTCCAGCCTGGGAAGAGTGAGACCCTGTCTCAAAAAAAGCACTTTTTATCTGTAGTTTGTGCAAACTGGCTAAGAAAAAATAAATAAAAGCACTATTTTTAGTGAGCTTGAGATTTCACTCCCATGGGATACAAAAGAGCAGGTATCACTTTTACTTCAAAGGGAGAAACTAAGACTTAAGGTCAAGTAACTTATACAATGTTGTACAGCTGATAAAGGCTGGGAGACAGAATCCACACTGGGATCCTCCCCTATTCTGACTGTCCCAGTAAAGGTCATGAACACTTGCGGCAGTCTGTATGCTGTATGTGTACTAAGAAGTTATCAGGAAGGGTAACACAGTAGCAACGCACACTGAGGGCTCACCACACGTCAGTCCTAGATGAACTACTTTCTTACATCACACCTCCCTGTATTCCTGCAGCTATTCTGGAAGGGAGGGTTCCCTGCCTTATTTTACAGATGAGAAAACTGAAGATTAGACAGGCTAAGTAGTTTGTCCAATGTCACACAGGTATCGGGTGCCAAAGTGAGATTTGCACCCAATCCACACGCAGTGAGTAAGGCTGTGGGTAAATATTTGGACTCTGGAGCCTTCAATTCTCATCTTTAGGACACATTAGCTTCGTGACTTTAGCCAACTAATGTACTTGACTCTCTGATCCTACTGTAAAATGCTAACAGTTGGCTGCTCCAACCTAAAAGGACTCCATGGAAGAATCAATAACCTTCCAGACAATTAAGAGCTTTCCACCAGTTCCAGTGTAACCCTAGGTCCCACTACTTTCCTTACTTTTTAAGAAATCTTGAGGCCAGCGCGGTTTGTTTCCCTTCTTCCTCCTCTGAGTCGGAATCGGAAGATGTGGAACCTGTGTCCCAGTCTTCATCATCTTCGGAATCTTCTGAGTCCTCATCTTCATCCTTAGAGGGAAGAAAAGAGGATCAGCAAGAAGACAGGGAGATTGACTGGTGTCTCCTCCTTACTAACGCATGTTCGAGATTTATTTACATGAGTAGAACAAGAGCAGCTACTCATGGAATCAAGATACCAAGGGCTGGGACTCACCATCAAGTCCCAGAGTGATGCTGCAATTTGGCCGCAGGAACACACACAGCTTCCCCTGGCAGAGCTGGGCCCAGATCCCTGTTTGCCCACTGCTCTGATGTAAGAGGAAGCTTGTTCTCAACTCCACTAAATTCCACCCCTCCCAACCCTAGGGGTTTGAGTCTTGTCTTTTTCCCCCAGGGACTCAGGAACTACCTCTGGCAGGAAATCATCCATCTAACCCTGGCTCTTACATCCATCTTTTTGAGGAACTTGCGACTCTCCCCAGAAGGAGCTTCTGATTTCTTCTTCAAGAAAGTTGCAGCACTGACTCCGTCCTCATCCTCATCCTCATCTGAAGAGCCTAGTGGTAATGGAGGGAGAAAAAGATCCTGAATGTTGAAAAGCCAGACTGGAGGGCAGCCAAGAAACCAGGCGAAGGGCAACACTAACTCTGGACTTCCTATTTGCAACAAAGGTTCTTTGGCTCACCTTCTGAATCCTCCTCATTTTTCTCAGCATCTTCATCCGCAGACTGCTCGGGGTTCTGGACAGAGAGGGAAGTGAGAGAACAATCATGGACGCTGTCCAGCCATCAGCCCACCCCACCCCTCCACCCCAGACAGTTCTGTCATCTTCCTGCTCCAGTCACACCTCCCACTAGCAATTCCATCTTTGGGCCTCAGTCACGGGGTCACTGTTCCCAGTTCAGTAAGTGTGCCTCTAGCCTCCCCACCTGCTTGTAGCTTGTGATATGGGACTCGAAATCACGGTTGTATTTTCGGATCTTCTGACGCAAGGTGCTCAGAGCCTTGGCATTGTTCTTGTTCATCTTCTTCTTCCCTTCCTTATCTTCCCAAAGCTAAAGGGAAGAAGAGGAAAGAAACAGAGAACAGTGATTTGAAACTAAGTAACATTTCCTAAACTCCAGGCTTCTTCTCCACTTTTGAGTCTTGCTATTGGAACACCACTGGTACTACTTATTAACTACATCTGTTAGCTTATTTTTAAAAGATCCTATACATCCCACCACTAAAAGTACAAAACCATGAATAAGTGGTGGTAATAAATATAGGCATCACACCTCATTAAGATAGTCCTCTAGGTCAGCCAGGATGCGGATATAGAACCGGGGGACACCTTCTTTGTCCACAATGCTTTTGGCCTTCCCATATGCTTTTCCCAGGAGCTCAAACTCTTCCAGGCACTTGGTGACATCACGAATCTTCATGGCATTACGGATGGTCCGGATAAGGTTGGTCAGCTCCTCAAACCTGGGTTGGGAGCCCGATACCACATTGAACGTGCCCACCGAGGGAAAACTCACCACTGCTCCCAGAGACTCCTATCACCCAGCCTCCCCACAGCTTCATTGCTCCCAGAGACTCCCATCACCCAGCCTCGCCATGGCTTTACCTCTTGTCCTTGGCACTGCGGACAACTCTCTTGGTATCTTCTTCATCCTCGCTCAGCAACAATGGCCTGTTTGGAAGGAACAGAGGCCATTAACCTCCTTTCCCAGTCTTTCCAAGAGATCCGTATTTCCCTACTCAGGACAGGTAGAACTAAGTAATCCAGGCCATCCACACCACACCCATCCTCTTTTTGACTCCTCCTCAGGGCCACTTCATATACAACTCAATCTTTTAAGTGTACACTAAGTAAGGCCTTTTGCTCAGTGTTGTAGCAACACAAAGATGACATTCACTATCCTCTCAAAAACAAATGAAAGTGCTAATTTACTGTGTAACTAATGACATAGAGACACAAGTCACCACAGAAGTAATGAATAAAAAAAGAGGTAGAGAAAAATGATACTTGAGCTATAATGAACAGAAAAGGCTTTAGGGAGGTGGTACCTAAACTAGATCTTAGCAACATTTCCCAAAGTATGAGAGGCCAACAGCAAGGAGAAAGTCTCAATGGTATTAACACCTCCACTGCTAGTATTTTTCTACGATAATAAGACCAGACCACAGGCTCACAGTCAGCAACAGTATCTCTACTCTTTTTGTTTGTTAAGAGATAAGGTCTCACTATGTTGCCCAGGCAGCCTCCAACTCCTGAGTTTCAAGGGATCCTCCCACCTCAGCCTCCAGAGTAGTTGGGACTACAGGCATGCACCATCTTGCCTGCCTCTTTTCCCTTTTTATTATTTTTTGGATTATTTTAGCGGTGTTTTTTGAGGTGGAGTTTTGCTTTTATCGCCCAGGCTGCAGTGCAATGGCGCAATCTCGGCTCACTACAACCTCCGCCTCCAAGGTTCAAGAGATTCTCCTGCCTCAGCCTCCTAAGTTGCTGGGGTTACAGGCATGTGCCACCACAACCGGCTAATTTTTGTATTTTTAGTAGAGACGGGGTTTCACCTTATTGGCCATGCTGGTCTCAAACTCCTGACCTCAAGTAATCAGCCTCCCAAAGTGCTGGGATTACCGGCTTGAGCCACCTGCCCAGCCTGGATTATTTGGTATTTTATGGCAAATGACACTGGTTTCCACCTGTGGAAGTGATACGAAACCATATGCATATTGGCATATACATGTGCAATACATACTTTTAAAACAGTAGCACAAACGTGGCAGATGTTTAAGAAACACCATTCCAGTGGGGCACAGTGGCTCATTCCTGTAACCCCAACACTTTAGAATGCTGGGCGGGAGGTTCACTTGAGCCCAGGAGTTCAGAACCAGTCTAAGCAACACAGTGAGACACCTTCTCTACAAAAAATTAAAAACAATTAGCCTGCTGCGATGGCGTGCACCTGTAGTCCCATCTACTTGAGAGGCTGAGGTGGGAGGATCGCTTGAGATCTGAAGGTCGAGGCAGCAGTGAGCTATGACCCCTCAAAAAAAGAAAAAAAAAAGGAAAAAGAAAAACCATTCTATTGTTCCAAAGGGTAAAAAAAAAAAAATTAATGTACAGAAATGGCGGATGGGTATTTACGTAGAGGTGAACAGGCATATAAAATGTTTAAGCACCTGCGTACACAGCAGGTGACCAGACTTCAGAGTCGCATCAGGGGGCTCCCAGATACCAATCAAGCATTTTGCATTTCCTTCTGTGAGCAGTGAGAAGTCACTAAGGACTTCTCGGCGGTAAAATGAGAGGAGACAGGTAGAGGCTGTAGACTTAAGGCCAGTTAAGAAGCTGATGCAACAGATCTGGCTTGGGAAACCTCTGTGATTCTATCCCTTGTGCCTGGTGGGTGGCTACCGGCTATCACAGCCCTCTAAGGCTGTCTCTCTCCAACACCGCTCCGATCCTGCAAACTCTGGTCATTGTCCAAACCCACTCTCCCCGCCCTCACCTCCATCCCCTCCCATGTGCACTGCGTTCCACAGCCTGCCTAACCCCGCACTCCCAGAATGGTCACAGCCACAGCCCCCGCAACTCACTGTTTGCCATAGTTGCCTCCGACAGGTTTGGTGACGAGCTCCTCCCCGGACAAGGACGACTCGGACTCGCTGTCCGAACCGGTGGTGAAAAACCGCGACATGGCGACGGCGCGGAGGTGCTACGGCCGGACCTGCGGGGGAGCCAAGGCGTCACCGGCCACGCGAAGAGGCCCGAGCCAACACCTCCCGACGCCCAACCCCTCACCGGCCCCACCCGGACCTCGACCTGGGTCTCCCACCACGAAGCACGAGGCCCAAAAAATACCAACCAGCTGAGCCCGCGAGTCACACCGCAGGGCCCTGACAGCGGAAACGCCGAGAGAGAAGGCGGGTCCTCGCGTCACTTCCGGGAAGCGCCGACTAACTACACTGGGAGACTACAACTCCCAGTGGCCTTCGCGCCATAAGGGGGCGGGGACAAGCCTGAGGGAACCGGGCGCTGAGACCTTGGCTGCAGGCGTCGCGAATCCTACCGCGCGTTGGTGTCGGGATTTAAAACACGAAGATCGGCGGGGCGCAGTGGCTCACGCGTGTAATTACAGCATTAATAGGCATTAATAGTATAGAAGTAGATAATCCTGCCGGGTGCGGTGGCTCACTCACGCCTGTAATCCTAGCACTTTGGGAGACCGAGGCAGGCGGATTACCCGAGGTCGGGAGTTCGAGACCAGCCTGACCAATATGGAGAAACCCCATCTCTACTAAAAATACAAAATTAGCCAGGCGTGGTGGTGCATGCCTGTAAGCCAAGCTACTCGGGAGGCTGAGGCAGGAGAATCGCTTGAACCCGGGAGGCGGAGGTTGTGGTGAGCCGAGATCGAGCCACTGGACTCCAGCCTGGACAACAAAAGCGAAACTCCATCTCAAAAAAAAAAAAGTAGACAATGCTAGCCAGGCACAGTGGCTCACTCCTGTAATTCCAACACTCTGGGAGGCTGAGGTGGGTGGATCACCTGAGGTCAGGAGTTCGAGACCAGCCTGGCCAATATGGCAAAACCCCGTGTCTACTAAAAAATACGAAAATTAGCCTGGCACAGTGTCACCTGCCTGTAATCCCAGCTACGTGGGAGGCTGAGGCTGGAGAATCACTTGAACCCAGGAGGAAGAGATTGCAGTGAGCAGAGATCACACCACTGCATTCCAGCCTGGGTGACAGAGCAAGACTCTGTCTCAAAAAAAAAAAAAAAAAAAAAAAAAGTAGACGATGCTAGATCTTGCAGGTCTTTATAGGCCTGTGGTTTGGAGCCGCCATCGGCAGAGGTTTTAGTGCAAGGGACTGTGTTACATTTTTCAAGGTGGTTTTGATATGGGAGCGGGACAGGGAAGTGCTGGGAAGGGAAGAGCATGCTCTTCCAAAGTGCTGGGATTATAGGCATGAGCTACCACACCTGGCCGTTTTGTTTTTTATTGTGAAATATTTCAACAGACAAGAATAAAGACTATTCCAATGGACATCTATGTACTCACAACCCACCCAGCACCGTCAAAACTTAATATGAGGCTGGGCATGGTGGTTCATGCCTGTAATCCCAACACTTTGGGAGGCAGAGGTGGGCAGATCACTTGAGGTCAGGAATTCGAGACCAGCCTGGCCAACATGGTGAAACCCCATCTCTACTAAAAATACAAAAATTCGCCTGGCATAGTGGCAGATGCCTGTAATTCCAGCTACTCAGGAGGCTGAGGCAGGAGAATTGCTTGAACCCTGAAGGTGGAGGTTGCAGTGAGCCAAGATCGTGCCACTGCACTCCAGCCTGAGCGACAGAGCAAGACTCTGTCTCCAAAAAAAAAAAGTTAAAAAAAAAAACCAAGGGGTTCATTGTACGTCTGTAAATCCATAAATATCTTTTTTTTTTTTTTTTTTGAGATGGAGTTTTGCTCTTGTTGCCCAGGCTGGAGTGCAATGGTATGATCTTGGCTCACTTCAACCTCCGCCTCCCAGTTTCAAGCAATTCTCCTGCCTCAGCCTCCCAAGTAGCTGGGATTTACAGACGTGCACCACCACATCCAGCTAATTTTTGTATTTGTAATAGAGAAGGGGTTTCACCATGTTGTCCAAGCTGGTCTCGAACTCCTGACCTCAGGTGATCCACCCGCCTCGGCCTCCCAAAATGCTGGGATTACAGGCGTGAGCCACCACGCCCAGCTCTCTTTATTTTAAATAATATGTGTACATTTTTACAAAATGAAAATGGTACAACAGAATACACAGGAAGAAAAAATATACAGGAAAAAATGTTTCCTTCCTGCCCTGACCTCATGTTCATCAGCTTTTCTCTCTAGAAGCAAACACAATTGTCAGTTTATAGCGTTATCTTCCAGATGTCACTTTGTGCCCTCTCTCTCCGTATCTCTCTTTGTGTATACACACACACACACACACATACACACACACACACAGAGTTGACTCTTGAAGAATGTGTAGGTCTACGTATATGTGGATTTTATTCAATAAATACAGTCAATCCTCCATACAGGTGGGTTCCACATCTGGAACGAAATGTCAATCAAAAATAACAGTATTCACTGGATTTGAAACCCATGTATACCAAGGGCCCAAATTTTGTAACTACAGGTTCCACAGGGGCAACTGCGGGACTTGAGTATGTACAGGTTTTGGTATCTCCCAGGAATCCTAGAACCAATCCCTTGAGGATACCAAGAAATGACTAGATAGAGACAGAAAGGATATAGATAGATGTATTGTATGTGTGTATGTATATATATATGTGTGTGTGTATATATATATATTCAATATATGTATATGAATTATATAGATCAGGGTATGTGTGTGTGTGTGTGTGCGTCTACCTGGAACATATCTGTCTCTACCATTGTTTCCTGCATCTTATTTCATTATTCATCATATATCTTGCAGCTCATTCTGTATCAGTGCATATGGCTCTGTCTCATTCTCTTTTTTTTTGTTTGGTTTTTGAGACAGAGTCTTGCTCTGTCGCCTAGGCTGGACATAATCTTGGCTCACTGCAACCTCCGCCTCCTAGGTTCAAGCGATACTTCTGCCTCAGCCTCCTGAGTAGCTGGGATCACAGGTGCCTGCCACCACACCTAATTTTTGTACTTTTAGTAGAGATGAGATCTCACCATGTTGGCCAGGCTGGCCTTGAACTCCTGACCTCAAGTGGTCCGCCTGCCTTTGCTTCCCAAAGTGCTGGGATTAAAGGCATGAGCCACCACACCCAGCCTGATTGCCTTTTAAAAGTATTCATAATAGGCTGGGTGTGGTGGCTCACACCCGTAATTCCAGCACATTGGGAGGCTGAGGTGGGTGGATCACCTGAGGTCAGGAGTTCGAGACCAGCTCGACTAACAATGGTGAAACCCCATCTCTGCTAAAAATACAAAATTAGCTGGGTGTAGTGGCACATGCCTGTAATCCCAACTACTTGGGAGGCTGAGGCAGGATAATTGCTTGAACCCAGGAGGTGGAGGTTGCAGTGAGCCGAGATCACGCCATTGCACTCCAGCCTGGGCAACAAGAGTAAAACTCCATTTAAAAAAAAAAAAAAAAGCATAATAACCCCAGAAGGCAGGCCACACTGTTCCACTTTAGAGAGGAGAATGTTGATGTCCTAAAAGGTCAAGTGACCTGTCTAAGGTCAAATCGATAGTTTGCATTCCAACCCAAACATTATTCCACAGCTATCTAAACTGTTGAGAGATGTGTTGTTTTAGAGCCAGACTCCAACAATTTTTGAGTGAATTCAACTTAGTCTTTTTTTTTTCTTTTCGAGACGGAGTCTTGCTCCATCACCTAGGCTGGAGTGCAGTGGCGCGATCTTGGCTCACTGCAAGCTCCACCTCCCGGGTTCATGCCATTCTCCTGCCTCAGCCTCCCGAGTAGCTGGGACTACAGGCAACTGCCACCACGCCCAGCTAATTTTTTGTATTTTTAGTAGAGATGGGGTTTCACCGTGTTAGCCAGGATGGTCTTGATCTCCTGACCTTGTGATCCGCCCACCTCAGCCTCCCAAAGTGCTGGGATTACAGGTGTGAGCCACCGCGCCCGGCCTTTTTTTTCTTTTTTCTTTTTTCTTTTTTCTTTTTTTGCAATTTCTGCTGCCCAGGCTGAAGTGCAGTGGTGTGATTACGGCTCACTGCAGCCTCAAACTCCTGGCCTCAAGCGATCCTCCCACTTCAGCCTCCTGAGTAGCTGAGACAACAGGCACACACCACTACACCCAATTAATATTTTTACTTTTTGTAGAGATGGAGTCTCACTATATTGCCCAGGCTGATCTTGAACTCCTGGCCTTAAGCAATTCTCTAGCATTGGCCTCCCAAAGCTCTGAGATTACAAGACTAAGCCACTGTGCTTGGCCTCAACTTCATTTTGTAAATAGGAAAAATGGGAATGAAGGCAGCTGACTTAAAGAAATCCTAGGTCGGGCATGGTGACTCACACCTGTAATCCCAGCACTTTGGGAGGCCGAGGCGGGTGGATCACCTGAGGTCAGGAGCTCGAGACCAGCCTAGTTGACACCGTGAAACCCCACCTCTACTAAAAATGCAAAAATTAGCCGGGCATGGTGGTGCACGCCTGTAATCCCAGCTACTTGGGAGGCTGAGGCAGGGGAATCGCTTGAACCCAGGAGGCAGAGGTTGCAGTGAGCCAAGATCTTGCCACTGCACTCCAGCCTGGGCGACAGAGCAAGACCTTGTCGCCAAAAAAAAAAAAAAAAAAAAAAAAAAAAAAAAAGGGAAAGAAAACCTAGTAATTTACCTAATAATTTCTTCCTTTATGAGTGTAGTAGGCTCTGTGACTGGAGACAAACGTAACATGGGTGTATTTAATAGGTGAATTTTGTTAATACCCAGATTCTGATGGGGTCCTTAATGGTCCCAGAGTGGGAACGACACCCTGGAAGAGCTTTGATCAGTCTGGTGTCTCCAGTTCATGTGGGCGTACGTATTTCTCACAGCAGATTGACTCTCTTCATGTGCCTGTAATAACACAGCCAGCAAGCAGGAAGATGATAACCATAACTGGCATTTGAATAACAATTTCAAATGCATAGAGGTGCTTGAAACTCATGAAAACTTATAGGTGGGCAGGAAAAGCAGCTATTACTAACCTCATTTTACAAATGAGAAAAGCAGGACTCTGCAGTGCGGGGGAGGGCTCTGTTGTGACAGCATGAGATTCTGAAACCAGGTCCTCTAACTCGCAGGTCACAGAAGACGCTTCCAAGTATATTATTTTATTGCAGAAGGGGAATGAACTGAGCGGAAGGAGAGGACAGAGCGTGGGAAAAGGGGAGGGAGTGCCATGGGAACCCCTCTGTGGGACAAAATGCTGGGTACCACACTCCCCCTCACTCACGCAACTCCAGCCACTGATATCCCCCCTTTTTCTTTTATTTTTTCCTTTTCTTTCTTTTTTTAATCTTAAAAATTATTATTATTACTATTTGAGAGAGGGTGTCACTCTGTCACCCAGACTGGAGTGCAGTGGTGTGATCATAGGTCACTGCAGCATCAAACTCCTGAGCTCAAGTGATCCTCCCATATCAGCCTCCCGAGTTGGGACTACAGGTGCACGCCACCACGTTGGACTGTTATTTATGTATTTATTTTGAGACAGGGTCTTGCTCTTTCACCCAGGCTGGAGTGCAGTGATACAATCATTGTCCTGGAACTACAGGCGCCCGTCACCACACGAGACTTATTTATTTTTATTTTTTATTTTTTGAGATAGAGTTTTGCTCTGTTGCCCAGGCTGGAGTGCAGTGGTGTGATCTCGGCTCACTGCACCCTCCACCTCCTGGGTTCAAACGATTCTCCTGCCTCAGCCTTGTGAGTAGCTGGAATTACAGGCATGCACCACCACATCCAACTAATTTTTGTATTTTTAGTAGAGACAGAGTTTCACCATGTTGGTCAGGCTGGTCTTGAACTCCTGACCTCAAGTGATCCACCCACCTTGGCCTCCCAAAGTGCTGGGATTACAGGCGTGAGCCACCGTGCCTGGCTGAGATTCATTTTTTAAATTTTTTTAGAGATGGATTCTCGCTATGTTGTCCAGGCTGGTCTCAAACTCCTGGGCTCAAGTAATCCTCCTGCCTTGGCCTCCCAAAGTGTTGGAATTACAGGTGTGAGCCAATGTGCCTGGCTTCAATATCCCCTTTCTAAAATAAATGTCTCAAAAGACTTTGAAATTCAGGCTGGGCATAGTGGCTCATGCCTGTAATCCCAGCACTTTGGGAGGCCGAGGTGGGAGGATCACGAGGTCAAGAGATAGAGACCATCCTGGCCAACATGGTGAAACCCCAACTCTACTAAAAATACAAAAATTAGCTGGGAATGGTAGCGCGTGCCTGTAGTCTCAGCTACTCGGGAGGCTGAGGCAGGAGAATCGCTTGAACCTGGGAGGCGGAGGTTGCAGTGAGCCGAGATCACGCCACTACACTCCAGCCTGGCGACAGAGCGAGACTCCATTTCAAAAAAAAAAAAAAAAAGAAAAGTCAAGACTATGAAATTCACAGATAATATAACTTTCTGATACACACAATTTTATTGTATTTTGCTTTGTGTTTAATTTTCTCAAATAGACCTCAAGTACCTTGAAGACAGGAATGTCTTAGTATCCCCTCAGTGCATTTCACATAGTACATGTTCAATGATATGTTTCTATTATTATTATAAATTTTTCGTTTGGAAACAGAGCCTTGCTGTGTCGCCCAGGTGTGAGTGCAGTGGCACGATTTCTGCTCACTGCAACCTCCGCCTCCAAGGCTCAAGCAATTTTCCTGTCTCAGCCACTGGAGTAGCTGGGATTACAGGCATGCACCACCACACCCAACTAATTTTTATATTTTTAGTAGAGACAGGGTTTCACCATGTTGGCCACGCTGGTCTCAAACTCCTAGCCTCAAGTGATCTGCCTGCCTCGGCCTCCCAGGATGCTGGGATTACAGGCATAAGCCACCACACTCTGCCTATTATTGTAATTATTAAAAGACAACATACATATAGCTAAATGAATCAGCTGCACTAATCAATCACTGGTTTGGTGTCTATCATCATCTATTAGTTTTGCCTGTTTTTTGATTTTTTTTTACTAGAGACAAGATCTCACTCTCTTGCCCAGGCTGGTGTGCAATTGCAAGATCCCAGCTCACTGCAGCAGCCTTGAACTCCTGGGTTTAAGGGATCCTCCTGTCTCAGCCTCCCAAGTAGCCGGGACCACAGGTGTACACCACCGAGTTCAGCTAATGTTTTTTGTGGGGTTTTTGTTTTTTGTAGAGACGGGGGGGGCCTCACTATGTTCCCAGGCTGGTCTCGAACTCCTGGCCTCAAGCAATCATCCTGCCTCAGCCTCCCAAAGCATGGGATTACAAGCATGAGCCACCACGCCTGGCCAGTTTTGCCGGTTCTTGAGCTTCATATAAATAGAATCATAAGGCATATCCTTTTTTGTACCTGGCTTCTATTGTTGACCATAATACTTATTATGAGATTCATCCGTGTTAAGTGCACCAGTATGGTAGGACATTCTTTTTTGTTTGTTTGTTTGTTTTTTGAGATGGAGTTTTGCTTTTGTTGTCCAGGCTGGAGTGCAATGGCGCAATCTTGGCTCACCGCAACCTCTGCCTCCCGGGTTTAAGCGATTCTCCTGCCTCAGCCTCATGAGTAGCTGGGATTACAGGCATGCACCACCACACCTAGCTAATTTTACAATTTTAGTAGAGACTGGTTTTCTCCATGTTGGTCAGGTTGGTCTCGAACTACTGACCTCCGGTGATCTGCCCACCTTGGCCTCCCAAAGTGCTGGAATTACAGGCGTAAGTCACCGCGCCCAGCCCAGTCATTCTTTTTAAATTCCTGAATGGTTTTCAATTGAATGACGATCGATACCACAATGTATTCATTCTCCTGTAGATTTTTTTTTTTTTGATGGAGTCTCATTGTGTCCTCCATGATGAAGTGCAGTGGCATGATCTTGGCTCACTGCAACCTCCGCCTCCCAGGTTCAAGAGGTTCTCGTGCCTCAGCCTCCCAATTAGCTTAGATTACAGGCGTGCATCATCACACCTGGCTAATTTTTGTATTTTTAGTAGAGATGGGGTTTCACCATGTTTAGTAGAGACCAGGCCAGGCTGGTCTGGAAATCCTGACCTCAGGTGATCCTCCCACCTTGGCTTCCCAAAGTGCTAGGATTACAGGTGTGAGCCACCATACCTGGCCATATTATAAATAAAGCTTGTATCAACATTTTTTTCAATATTTACATCATATGTTTTAAATTTTTATTATTAGGTACAGAGTAGTTTTTGTTATACATCCCTGTTAAATTGAATATTTTATTTTATTTTTTATTTATTTTTTGAGATGGAGTCTCACTCTGTCACCCAGGCTGGAGTGCACTGGCACAATCTCGGCTCACTGTAACCTCCACCCCCAAGGTTCAAGTGATTCTCCTGCCTCAGCCTTCCAAGTAGCTTGGATTACAGGAACGTGGCACCACACCCAGCTAATTTTTGTATTTTTTAGTAGAGACGGGGTTTCGCCATGTTGGACAGGCTGGGACTATTTTATTATTATGAGATGACACTCTTTATCTGCAGTAATACTTTTTGTGAGTCTATTTTTTCTGATACTAATATAGCTTTCCAACTTCATTTTAGTTGGTTTTGGCCTGATGTATTTTTTTATTAATTGCTTTTCAATATTTCTGTATAATAATGATATTTATATACATCTTGAAATAGCATATAGCTAGTAGCTAGTTTTTTTTTTTTTTTTTTTTTTTGAGATGGAGTTTCACTCTTGTTGCCCAGGCTGGAGTGCAATGGTGCAGCTCGCTGCAACCTTTGCCTCCCAGGTTCAAGCGATTCTCCTGCCTCAGCCTCCCAAGTAGCTGGGATTACAGGCACACACCATCATGCTAAGCTAATTTTTGTATCTTTAGTAGAGACAGGGTTTCACCATGTTGGCCAGGCTGGAATCGAACTCCTGATCTCAAGTGATCTGAGTGCCTCAGCCTCCCAAAGTGGTGAAATTACAGGCATGAGATACTGTACCTGGCCTATACTTAGCATTTTTATACTTAGAATCATGGTGACTGAGGCACTGCAGTGCAGCTGGTAAGCAATGGATTTTAATGTGTGTGTTGCCTTCAGTAAAGGAATTGTCCAAGTACAGCTCTTGGTAAAGATCCCAACGAAGCAAAATACATCTTCCTTCAATGACCTGAGATTTTAGTCAGCTCAGGCTGCTATAACAAAATACCATAAACAGGGTGGCTTAAAAAACAATATTTATTTTTCACAGTTCTGGAGGCTGGGAAGTCCAAGATTAAGGTGCTGGCAAAACCGATTTGGTGTCTGGTGAGGGCTCTGTTTCTGGTTTGCTCACAGCTGCCTTCTTGCTGTATCCCCACTTGGTGGAGAAAGAGATTGCTTGTCTCGTTCTCTTTCTGTGAGGGCATTAATACCATCATGAAGTCTCCCACCCTCATGACGTAATCTAGCCCCAATTACCTTCCAAGGGCCTCACCTTCTCACCTTCAAATGCTATGACATTGGGGATTAGGGCTTCAACATATGCATTTGGCAGGAGAACACAAACATTTAGTTCATACTAATACACGATAGTCGAATTCTTGAAAAATTCAGTGTATATTAAAACCAAGCAAGAAATACTTTGGGTTTAGGCTGGGCGCAGTGGCTCATGCCTGTAATCCCAGCACTTTGGGAGGCTGAGGCGGGCAGATTACCTGAGGTCAGGAGTTCGAGACCAGCCTGGCCAACATGGCGAAACCCTGTCTCTACTAAAAATACAAAAATTAGCTAGGTTTGGTGGTGCATGCCTGTAATCCCAGCTATTCAAGAGGCAGAGGCAGGAGAATCGCTTGAAGCTGGGAGGCGGAGGTTGCAGTGAGCTGAGATCGCGCCACTGCACTCCAGCTTGAGTGACCAAGCAAGACTCTCTATCTAAAACAAAACAAAACAAGCGACTTTGGGTTCATATGTAAAATGAAGTTAGATTCTTAGCACATATTGTTGGATGTCTGGCGGGGATATTAAAAAAACCACTCAAACGTAGAAGAATCTCTCTTCATCCAGGACCATACTGTGCATGGCAGGATGGCTTTGCTCTCTCCCTCTAAGGACATTGTCACATTCACAGTGAGATCAAAGCCCCCACAAACAAGCTTCCAAAATGGCCCTAGGGGGCAGTACTACCTCACTGAGAACCACTGTTCAGGGAGTTAGCTGGGTCGCAGAGGCAAAATGTTGGACTACAGCGTGTGGGGCCACACTGAGCGATGATGAAGAGGAGAGGCATCCCAACACCCACCGGGCTAACCTCTTCCGCTGGCAGCACCAAGCCCGGGTGGAGCTCATGGAGCAGTTCCAGAAGGAGAAGGAGGAACTGGACAGGGGCTGCTGGGAGTACAAGTGCAAGATGGCCGAGTGCCAGAGGAAGCTGAAGGAGCTGGAGGTGTCAGAGGGTGCCAGGGTGGAGGTGGAGTGGCTACACGAGGAGCTGAGCTGGGAGCAAAAGCTGGAGGAGATGCCCAAGAAAAAGAGCATGACCTGGAACGTGGACACGCTCAGCAAAAGCAGTTTCAGGCTGGGTGCGGTGGCTCACACCTGTAATCCCAGCACTTTGGGAGGCTGATGCGGGGCGATCACTTGAGGTCAGGAGTTTGAGACCAGCCTGACCAACATGGCGAAACCTCGTCTCTACAAAAATACAAAAAGTAGCTGAGCGTGGTGGTGGGCGCCTGTAATCCCAGCTGCTCGGGAGGCTGAGGCAGGAGAATCGCTTGAACCCGGGAGGCGGAGGCTGCAGTGAGCCAAGATCATGCCATTGCACACCAGCCTGGGCGACAGAGCAAGACTCCGTCTCAAAAAAAAAAAGAAAAGACGGCTTTAGCAGGAGCATGGTGAACACCAAGCCTGATGAGAAGATGGTCAACTACCTGGTCATCTGGTGTGCTGATCTAGAGGTGCAGGAGAAATGCGCCCTCATGGAGCAGGTGGTCCACTAGGCAATTGTCACGCAGTTCAACCTGGTGTTGGTCAGGAGCCGGAAGGGGTCCCCCGGGTCTGCTTCTGGCAGTTCTTCACTGAGATTCAGACGGCTGACTGCTAGTGCATGGAGAGCTTCAAGGACGAGCTGGAAGCCTCCACGGAGCCTGTGTGGGGCTGCGCCAAGCTGCGCGTCTAGAAAGCAGGTGGTGCAGGAGTACTAGGAGGAGGAGCTCAAGAAGCAGCTTGGCCCTGGTGGCCTGGAACCCGTGGAGGTGACGAGTTCCCCCTGAGGAACTCCAAAAGGGCTTCAATGCGAAGGACGCGCAAATGCAGCAAGATGGACCCCACCAAGGCCAAGTTCCCCATGCAACAGTGTATCGACGCCGGCCTCCGGGTCCCCAACTCTGAGGTCAGCGAGGCCAAGGAGGGAGAGGAGGAGTGTTCAGGGACCGGCTGCTGGAAGCTGTTCCCAAGACAGGCGGGGATGTCAGTGCGTGACCCACCCCAGCTGCAGCTGCCACCTGTGTGCAAGCCCCTAGGCGCCCCTTTTCAGAAAACAAAAATAGACACCATCTCCCCAGCTCCTGGCTTCCTCCACTTCCGCTGCTCCCCCTAGCCCTGGGGGCCTGCCAGGCCTTCCCTGCCCTCTCCCCCTCCCCGCCCTCTCCACTGTCCCCACTCTCCAGCACCCATTCAAGTCTCTGCTTTGAGTCAAGGGACTTCACTGCCCACAGCGCCCCATCAGCATCATGCCAAAGGCCCAGGGGCCCGGGGAGGGGCAGAGGTCGCCAGGCTGGTCCGCCAGGTAGAGGGGAGGGTCCCCAGCCACTAGGTGGCTCAGGTCACCGGGTTCTGTTTCCACTGTTCATCTGCTGTCTGTGTCTTCTATTTGGCAAACAGCAATGATGTTCTAAAAAGGATTTTAGATATTAAAAGAAAAAAAAAGAGGCTGGATGAGGTGGCTCACACCCGTAATCCCAGCACGCTGGGAGGCTGAGGAGGGTGGATCACTTGAGGTCAGAAGTTGAAGACCAGCCTGGCCAACATGGTGAAACCCCATCTCTACTAAAAATACAAAAATTAGCCGGGCATGGTGGCACCTGCCTGTAGTCCCAGATACTTGGTAGGCTGAGGCAGGAGAATCACTTGAACCTGGAAGATGGAGTTTGCAGTGAGCTGAGATAGTGCCACTGCACTCCAGTCTGAGCAACAGAGCGAGACTCCGTCTCCAAAAAAAAAAAGTTGGAGGATTCACATTTCCTATTTTCATGCCCTCTCCCTCTCCCTCTCCCTCTTCCTCTCCCTCTCCCTCTCCCTCTCCCTCTCCCTCTCCGTCTCCGTCTCCATCTCCGTCTCCCTCTCCCCACGGTCTCCCTCTCATGCGGAGCCGAAGCTGGACTGTAGTGCTGCCATCTCGGCTCACTGCAACCTCCCTGCCTGATTCTCCTGCCTCAGCCTGCCGAGTGCCTGCGATTGCAGGCACGCGCCGCCACGCCTGACTGGTTTTGGTGGAGACGGGGTTTCGCTGTGTTGGCCGGGCCGGTCTCCAGCCCCTAACCGCGAGTGATCCGCCAACCTCGGCCTCCCGAGGTGCCGGGATTGCAGACGGAGTCTCGTTCACTCAGTGCTCAATGGTGCCCAGGCTGGAGTGCAGTGGCGTGATCTCGGCTCACTACAACCTACACCTCCCAGCCGCCTGCCTTGGCCTCCCAAAGTGCCGAGATTGCAGCCTCTGCCCGGCCGCCACCCCGTCTGGGAAGTGAGGAGTGTCTCTGCCTGGCCGCCCATCGTCTGGGATATGAGGAGCCCCTCTGCCTGGCTGCCCAGTCTGGAAAGTGAGGAGCGTCTCCGCCCGGCCGCCATCCCATCTAGGAAGTGAGGAGCGCCTCTTCCCAGCCGCCATCACATCTAGGAAGTGAGGAGCGTCTCTGCCCGGCCGCCCATCGTCTGAGATGTGGGGAGCGCCTCTGCCCCGCCGCCCCATCTGGGATGTGAGGAGCGCCTCTGCCCGGCCGAGACCCCGTCTGGGAGGTGAGGAGCGTCTCTGCCCGGCCGCCCCGTCTGAGAAGTGAGGAGACCCTCTGCCTGGCAACCACCCCGTCTGAGAAGTGAGGAGCCCCTCCGCCCGGCAGCCGCCCCGTCTGAGAAGTGAGGAGCGTCTCCGCCCGGCAGCCACCCCATCTGGGAAGTGAGGAGCGTCTCCGCCCGGCAGCCACCCCGTCCGGGAGGGAGGTGGGGGGGGTCAGCCCCCCCACCCGGCCAGCCGCCCCGTCCGGGAGGTGAGGGGCGCCTCTGCCCGGCCGCCCCTACTGGGAAGTGAGGAGCCCCTCTGCCCGGCCAGCCGCCCCGTCCGGGAGGGAGGTGGGGGGGGTCAGCCCCCCCGCCCGGCCAGCCGCCCCGTCTGGGAGGTGAGGGGCGCCTCTGCCCGGCCGCCCCTACTGGGAAGTGAGGAGCCGCTCTGCCCGGCCAGCCGCCCCGTCCGGGAGGGAGGTGGGGGGGGTCAGCCCCCCCCGCCCGGCCAGCCGCCCCGCCCGGGAGGTGAGGGCGCCTCTGCCCGGCCGCCCCTACTGGGAAGTGAGGAGCCCCTCTGCCCGGCCAGCCGCCCGGTCCGGGAGGGAGGTTGGGGGGTCAGCCCCCCGCCCGGCCAGCCGCCCCGTCCGGGAGGGAGGTGGGGGGGGTCAGCCCCCCTGCCCGGCGAGCCGCCCCATCCGGGAAGTGAGGGGCGCCTCTGCCCGGCCGCCCCTACTGGGAAGTGAGGAGCCCCTCTGACCGGCCACCACCCCGTCTGGGAGGTGTGCCCAACAGCTCATTGAGAACGGGCCAGGATGACAATGGCGGCTTTGTGGAATAGAAAGGCGGGAAAGGTGGGGAAAAGATTGAGAAATCGGATGGTTGCCGTGTCTGTGTAGAAAGAAGTAGACATGGGAGACTTTTCATTTTGTTCTGCACTAAGAAAAATTCCTCTGCCTTGGGATCCTGTTGATCTGTGACCTTACCCCCAACCCTGTGCTCTCTGAAACATGTGCTGTGTCCACTCAGGGTTAAATGGATTAAGGGCGGTGCAAGATGTGCTTTGTTAAACAGATGCTTGAAGGCAGCATGCTCGTTAAGAGTCATCACCAATCCCTAATCTCAAGTAATCAGGGACACAAACACTGCGGAAGGCCGCAGGGTCCTCTGCCTAGGAAAACCAGAGACCTTTGTTCACTTGTTTATCTGCTGACCTTCCCTCCACTATTGTCCCATGACCCTGCCAAATCCCCCTCTGTGAGAAACACCCAAGAATTATCAATAAAAAAATAAATTTAAAAAAAAAAAAAAAACTCAAATAAAGTTTGCACTTTAGGAATGCAAAAAAAAAAAAAAAAAAAAATTAGCCAGGCGTGGTGGCGCATGCCTGTAATCCTAGCTACTCAGGAGGCTGAGGCAGCAGTATCTCTTGAACCAAGGAGGTGGAGGTTGCAGTGGGCTGAGATCACCCCATTGCGCTCTAGACTGGGCAACAGGAGTGAGACTCTGTCTCAAAAAAAAAAAAAAAGATAGTAGTGTGCATGCTATAAAAAAGAATCCCAGCCTCTGTGCGGGGTAAAAAACCCAAACCATTCTTTCTGGGGTGTGGTCTCTCAAGTGGTGCCTTAACTGAGTCTTTATTTTTTTGAGATAGAGTCTTGCTCTGTTGCCCAGGCTGGAGGGCAGTGGCATGATCTCGGCTCACTGCAACCTTCACCTCCCAGATTCAAGTGATTCTCCTGCCTCAGCCTCCAGAGTAGCTGGTATTACAGGCATGCGCCACCACGCCTGGCTAATTTTCATATTTTTAGTGGAGATGGGGTTTTACATGTTGGCCAGGCTGGTCTCAAACTCCTGACCTCAAGTGATTTGGCCTCCCAAAGTGCTGGGATTACAGGTGTAAGCCACCACATCTTGCCTTAACTGAGTCTTTAATACATCATTGCACCACACTAGGGGTCATGTTGATTTCTTCTGCTGTCTAAAGATACCACATGTGAGGCAGCAGCTGCAATTGGAGTCACCATCTAAATGAGTTTCCCATAGTCCACAGTCATTCTCTAAGATCCATCCAACCAGCATATGCTAAACGCCTGCCCATTCAAGTCTTTTTTTTTTTGACACAGTTTCGCTCTTTTGCCTAGGCTGGAGTACAGTGGTATGATCTCAGCTCACTGAAGCCTCTGCCTCCCAGGTTCAAGGGATTCTCCTGCCTCAGCATCCTGAGTAGCCAGGATTACAGGCACCTGCCACCACACTCGGCTAATTTTTGTACTTTTAGTAGAGATAGGGTTTCACCATGTTGCCCAGGTTGGTCTCGAACTCCTGACGTCAGGTGATCCACCCGCCTCAGCCTCCCAAAATGCTAGGATTACAGGCCTGAGCCACCCCACCTGGCCCCTTGCAAGTCTTTGAGGGTGGCACTAGTCTCTGCGACTCTCCAGGGATGTGATAATGCTTCTGGTTAACTGTCTTTTTAAAATTTTTTTTCTTTGAGACAGAGTCTCCCTCTGTTGCCCAGGCTGGAGTGCAGTAGGATGATCTTGGCTCACTGCAACCTCTACCTCCTGGGTTCACGCCATTCTCCTGCCTCAGCCTCTTGAGTAGCTAGGACTACAGGTGCCCGCCATCACGCCTGGCTAATTTTTTGTATTTGTAGTAGAGATGGGGTTTCACCGTGTTAGCCAGGATGGTCTCAATCTCCTGACCTCGTGATCCGCCTGCCTTGGCCTCCCAAAGTGCTGGGATTACAGGTGTAAGCCAGTGCGCCCAGCCCTCTGGTTAACTGTCTTGACAGGAAGTGGAAGTTACAGGGACTTTCCCTTAGCCCTTTCCACCATGATTCTCTCACTCCATGGGTGGGAGAGCCAGTGTGGAGATTTGTCAGTTGCCATAGATGGCTATTCCTATTATACTCTCAGGAATTTGGAAATAACCACAGGGTGGGACCATAGATCAACGGAGCCCTCTGTGAGTTGGGGCTGAGCTAAGACTCCATCTAGCACCTGACCATCTATCTTTAAGCCCCTACTTTTAGTGATGAGCCACAGTGGCATTTTGGATCCTCAGGACTTGGCGTTAATTCAGAGCCAATGTCTAGGAATCCTCAAAAGGTTGGGTATTTTCTTCTCCCTGATGCACACTCTAGTAAACAGGGCATGTTCCTCTCTCAGGGAGAACCAAACTTCTCTCCAATTAAGTGACTCTGGATCTATGCTGACTTAGGTCTAAAATCCAGGCGAGAGACTACAACTCTTCACTATGGCAACTCAACTTAGGTTTTTGGCTACTAGAGCAAGTTTTTTGTTTATTTTTTTGAGATGGAGTCTTGCTCTGTCAACCAGGCAGAAGTACAGTGGTGTGATCTTGGCTCACTGCAACCTCTGCCTCCCGGGCTCAAGCAATTCTCCTCCCTCAGCCTCCCGAGTAGCTGGGATTACAGATGCACGCCACCACACCTGGCTAATTTTTGTATTTTTAGTAGAGATGGGGTTTCACCATGTTGGCCGGGCTGGTCTCGAACTCCTGACCTCAGGTGATCTACCTGCCTCAGCCTCCCAAAGTGCTGGGATTACAGGTGTGAGCCACTGCGCGCAGCTTATTTATTTATTTATTTTTAACAAGGTCTTGCTCTGTTGCTCAGGCTGGAGTGCGCTGGTGCAATTATAGCTCACTGCAGCCTCGGACTCCTGGGCTCAAACCATCCTCCCACCTCAGCCTTCAGAGTAGCTGGGACTACAAGTGTGCACAACCATGCCCAGCTAATTAAAAAAAAAAAACCAAAAAAACCTTTTTTTGGTGGAGACATGGTCTCACAATATTGCCCAAGCTAGTCTCAAACACCTGGCCTCAAGCAAATCTTCCTGCCACAGCCTCCCAAAGTGCTGGGATTACAGGCATAAGCCACTGTGTCCAGCCAGAATTTGATGTTTTGACATATATTTTATATCTATAGCCGTGAAGTCATTACCACAATCATGATAGCGAAGGTATGCATCACGCAGAAGTCTCCTTGTGACTGTAATCTCTCCCACCTGCCTCTCTCTGACCCCTCATACCCAAGAAACCACTGATCTGCTTTCTGTCACGATAGGTTGATTTGCATTTTCTTTTTTTCTTTTTGAGATGGAGTTTTGCTCTTGTCACCCAGGCTGGAGTGCAATGGTGCAGTCTCAGCTCACTGCAACCTCCGCCTCCCAGGTTCAAGCAATTCTCCTGCCTCAGCCTCCCAAGTGGCTGGGATTACAGGCACCCACTACCACACCCAGGTAATTTTTGTATTTTTAGTAGAAACGGGGTTTCACCACATTGGCCAGGCTGGTCTCGAACTCCTGAGCTCAGGTGATCTGCCTACCTCAGACTCCCAAAGTGCTGGGATTATAGGTGTGAGCCACCATGCCTGACCTGATTTGCATTTTCTAGAGCAGGGGTTGGCAAATGTTTTTTGTAAAGGGCCAAATAGTAAATATTTTAGGTGTTGTAGGACAACAGATAAAAAGTAGTATATTATGGCAGGGCACAGTGGCTCACGCCTGTAATTCCAGCACTTTGGGAGGCCGAGGCGGGCAGATCACTTGAGGCCAGGAGTTTGAGACCAGACTGACCAACATGGCAAAACCCAGACTCTACTAAAAATACAAAAATTACCCAGACATGGTGGCGCATGCCTGTAATCCCAGCTACTGGAGAGGCTCAGGCATGTGAATTGCCTGAACTCAGGAGGCAGAGGTGGCAGTGAGCCGAGATCACACCACTGCACTCCACCCTGGGTGACAGAGCGAGACTCTATCTCAGAAAAAAAAAAAAAAAAAAAGAACAAAGTTAGTGTTCCCTATCATCAAAGTCTATGACAAATGTTTATCTGTTAATTCTAATCTGTAATGAGATTTGGCAAAAATAGTTTTTCCTGAAGATAGGTATTGCCAAATACAGATAGCAATCCACAAGCATATGATGTCACGAGCACATTCATCATTTGAAAGGCATTTATAGAATTCTATTTGGACTCTGGCCAGGTGCGGTGGCTCACTTAATCCCAGCACTTTGGGAGGCCGAGGTAGGTGGATCACTCGAGGCCAGGAGTCCCAGACCAGCCTAGGCAACACGGCAAAACCCCCCTCTCTACTGAAAATACAAAAAAATCAGCCAGGCCTGGTGGCGTGTGCCTGTAATTCCAGCTACTTGATGCTCAGTATCATTTGAACCTGGGAGGTAGAAGTTGCAGTGAGCTGAGATGGTGCCACTGCACTCTGGCCTGGGCACCAGAGCAAGACCGTGTCTCAAAAAAAAAAAAAAAAAATCTATTTGGATTGGATTTTTCTCTTGCTATCTGCCTTTTAGCATGTCACTACATTATGGTTTAATCACTTGAGATGTGTCTCAATTTCACTGAAGTCCTAAAAATGCTACTGGAACTGCAGTTTGAGATTGGAAATGTAGCTCCTAAAAATTTATATGGGAATGGACATCTTGCTCCTTGTTTTAACTTTGATATTATGGGCTGTGTATAAGGCAGCTTGACATCGCTTGTGATTCAAACAATATACCATCAATGAAGTTACTTTACAGCAGCATACGTTAAACATATACGTGCTGTTTTGCCTTATAATTTTAGGTTGAATTATTAAGAGATATTATCAAAACTGCTTCAAAAGCTAGCTAACAAAGCCTCTCAGTGTTTGATAGCAGTGGTTATGTGTGGTTCTTCTTTGTTGTTGTTGTTGTTGAGACGGAGTCTCGCTCTGTCACCCAGACTAGAGTGCAGTGGCATGATCTAGGCTCACTGCAACCTCCACCTCCCCAGGTTCAAGGGATTCTCCTGCCTCAGCCTCCGGAGTAGCTGGGACTACAGGTGCCCACCACCAAGCCTGGCTAATTTTTTGTATTTTTAGTAGAGACGGGGTTTCACCATGTTAGTGAGGATGGTCCTCAAGTGATCTGCCCACCTCGGCCTCCTAAAGTGCTGGTAACACAGGTGTGAGCCACTGCACCTGGCCCGGTTCTTATTTAGAAAAATTTCAGGCTGGGTGCAGTGGCTCAAGCCTGTAATACCCGCAATCTGGGAGGCCGAAGCAGGTGGATTACCTGAGGTCAGGAGTTCGAGACCAGCCTGGCCAACACAGTGAAACCCCGTCTTTACTAAAAATACAAAAAAAAATTAGCCAGGTGTGGTGGCGGGCACCTGTAATCCCAGCTACTTGGGAGGCTGAAGCAGGAAAATCCCTCGAACTCGGGAGGCAGAGATTGCAGTGAGCTGAGATAGCACCACTGCACTCCAGCCTGGTTGACAGAGTGAGACTCAGTCTCAAACAAAAAAAGAAAAGAAAAGAAAAAAAAATTCAATCTCAGCCCGGAGTTAAAAACCATATGGCTGTGTGTGGTGGCTCATACGTATAACCCCAGCACTTTGGGAGGCTGACACAGGCAGATTACTTGAGCCCAGGAGTTCAAGACCAGCCCGGGCAACATGGCAAAACCCTGTCTCTGCAAAAAATGCAAAAACTAGCCAGGCGTGGTGGCACATGTGTGTAGTCCCAGTTTCTTAGGGAAGTAACCTTAGGTGGAAGGGTCACCTGAGCATGAGAGGCAGAGGTTGCAGTGAGCCAAGATCACACCACTGCACTCCAACCTGGGTGACAGAGTGAGACCCTGTCTCAAAAAAACAAAACAAATCAAAACCATAAAATTTAGCACTTCCAAGACATCAAACTACTGTATGGCATGGCAAGTCAGGATATTCAGCTTGTATTTCTAACAAAAATTTATGGAACTGACAGTTAAATCCACACAAGCAAATGAAGTTCACAATTGACAGTACTGGTTCAATATCTTATGACAGATTCAAAAATGTGTGCAAAGTACCTGCTGATGAATCATACAGTTAATAACCATAGGCTTTTTTTTTTTTTTTTTGAGATGGAGTCTCCCTTATCGCTCAGGCTGGAGGGCAGCGGCGCGATCTCCACTCACTGCAACCTCCGCCTCCTGGGTACAAGCGATTCTCCTGCCTCAGCCTCCTGAGTAGCTGGGATTACAGGCATGTGCCACCATGTCCGGCTAAATTTTGTATTTTTAGTAGAGATGGGGTTTCATCATGTTGGCCAGGCTGGTCTTGAACTCTTGACCTCAGGCAATCTACCCGCCTCAGCCTCCCAAAGTGCTGGCATTACAGGCGTGAGCCACCGTGCCCAGCAACCATAGGCTTTAAACACCTTACATTTGCACAAGCTTTGTAAATTCGTCCAACAAAGGCTTTTTCTGCTCCATATATATATATAATATATATATTATATATATATATATATTTTTTGAGACGGAGTCTTGCTCTGTTGCCCAGGCTGGAGTGCAGTGGCACTATCTCGGCTCACTGCAAGCTCCGTCTCCTGGGTTCACGCCATTCTCCTGCCTCAGCCTCCCAAGTAGCTGGGACTACAGGCGCCCGCAACCACACCTGGCTAATTTTTTTTTTTTTTTTTGAGATGGAGTCTCACTCTGTTGCCCAGGCTGGAGTGCAGTGGTGTGATCTCGGCTCACTGCAAGCTCTGCCTCCCAGGTTCACGCCATTCTCCTGCCTCAGCCTCCTGAGTAGCTGGGACTACAGGCACCCGCCACCACACCCAGCTAATTTTTTTGTATTTTTAGTAGAGACAGCGTTTCACCGTGTTAGCCAGGATGGTCTCGATCTCATGACCTCGTGATCTGCCCACCTCGGCCTCCCAAAGTGCTGGGATTACAGGTGTGAGCCACCACGCCCAGCCTATTTATTTTTTTTTGAGATGGACTTTCACTCTTGTTGCCCAGGCTGGAGTGCAATGACAAGATCTCGGCTCACTGCAACCTCTGCCGCCTGGTTCAAGCAATTCTGCCTCAGCCTCCCAAGTAGCTGGAATTACAGGCGCCTGCCACCAGGACTGGCTAATTTTTTGTATTTTTAGTAGAGGCAGAGTTTCACCATGTTGGCCGGGCTGGTCTTGAACTCCTGGGCTCCAGTGACCTGCCTGCCTCAGCCTCCCAAAGTGCTGGGATTACAGGCATGAGCCACTCCGCCTGACCCAGATATTATTATTGTTTTTGTTACTCTTATTATCGCAAAGACTCTCTCCCAATTTATGGCTTATCTTTTCATTCTATTAAGTGCCTTTTTTCCCCCAAGATGAAGTCTCGCTGTGTTGCCCCAGCTGGAGTGCAGTGGTATGATCTCAGCTCACTGCAACTTCTGCCTCCACGGTTCAAGTGATTTTCCCACCTCAGCCTCCTGAGTAACTGGGATTACAGGTGCCTGCCACCACGCCCAGCTAATTTTTGTTTTTTTAGTAGAGACTGGGTTTCACCATATTGGCCAGGCTGGTCTCGAACCCCTGACCTCAAGTGATCTGCCCACCTTGGCCTCCCAAAATGCTGGGATTACAGGCGTGAGCCACCGTGCCCAGCCCGGCCCACATGCATTTTAGAAACAGTACATTGATTTGTATTCTACTCCCTTTCTAAAATCACTTATCAGTTCTTGGAACTTTTTTTTTTTTTTTTTTTTTTTTGAGACGGAGTCTCGCTCTGTCACCAGGCTGGAGTGCAGTGGCGCGATCTCGGCTCACTGCAACCTCTGCCTCCCAGGTTCAAGCAATTCTCCTGCCTCAGTCTCCTGAGTAGCTGGGACTACAGGTGTGCACCACCACGCCCAGCTAATTTTTTAGTAGAGGTAGGGTTTCACCGTGTTGGCCAGGATGGTCTCGCTCTCCTGACCTTGTGATCCACCCACCTTCACCTCCCAAAGTGCTGGGATTATAGGCGTGAGCCACCATGCCTAGCCAAGCCTGTGGTTTTCTTTCTGGAAGTGACGCAGTGCACTGAGAAGAATCCGTCCCACGCCACAGCCCTTACAGTCATCGTTATTGACATCACAGTCAAGTACAGCAGCCACTTGGGCTCCCGGGACATGCGCTGGAGTTGGTACTTTATAAAGACAAGCTGTAGGCAACAGTCTGATTAACTCGATGCCACAGCACATCACAGATTACCGACGTCCAGTTCCCATTACCTTGGAGCTCAGACAAAGCTCAAACCCAAGGGCATGGACAAACCAGTCCCCAAATGCTATCCTTGTGGATCTATCTCCAGGCACCCCTCTTGTAATAATGCTACATCGATCGGGATCCACTCACAAGGCGGAAACCACAGAGTCATTTAAACAGGGAAGTTTTAACAGAACAATGAACTATTTACAGGGGATTGTGACTAAGTGTGAATCAAAGAGAACTCTAAAAAACACCCATGGGGCCGGGCGTGGTGGCTCACGCCTGTAATCCCAGCACTTTGGGAGGCTGAGGCAGGCAGATCAAGAGGTCAGGAGTTCGAGACCAGCCTGGCCAACATAGTGAAACTCCGTCTCTCCTAAAAATATAAAAATTGGCTGGGTGTGGTGGCACGCAACTGTAGTCTCAGCTACCTGGGAGGCTGAGGCAGGAGAATCGCTTGAACCCGGGAAGCAGAGGTTGCAGTCAGCCGAGATCATGCCAGTGCACTCCAGCCTGGGTGACAGAGGGAGACTCTGTCTCAACACACACACACACACACATACACACACACACACACACGCAAACAACAACAACCAAAAAACACCCAAAGGGTGAGGGAGAGAGCCCAGAGAAAGAACAAACCTGGAAGGGGGTAGCCTCGTTAAGGCTGGGTCTCAGACCTCACTGGAGAGAGGTGGCTGCAGCCCATTGGACGGTGAGGTTGGCTGGGTTGCCCCAGGTCACGGCTGGTCCACAACCAGCTGGCCGAGGCTGGTGGCCAGGGGACCACAAGCAGAAACCCCTCCTGCTGGGGTGCTGGGGTGCCAAGGTTGTCAGGCTGGGAACCACACACTGGGGCTGGCAGGCAGGAAGTTGAATGCCACTGTGTGTCCGGTGCAGGGCTGCCTGCCACGGGGGTGGGACAGAGGAGGAACCAGGACAAGCCCCTTCCTCCTGTGGTGTCCCTCCGGCGCCCTCTACTGGCAAAGAAGAAATGTTTGCCAGTTCCACATCTGGTAGCAAGCGGTGCAATAAATGGATTTGGAACTGGGAGGCAACAGATAGAAAACTGGCACCAGTATGTGCTCATGGTAAAAAAAAAAAAAAAAAAAGGAAAGGCAAGTTTTGTTTCTCTTTCCTTCTTGCTTGCTTGCTTTCTCTTTCTTTCTTTCTATTATTATTTTGAGAGAGATTCTTGCTCTGTCGCCTAGGCTGGAGTGCAGTGACAATCTGGGCTCATTGAAGCCTCGAACTCCCAGGCTCAAGTAACCCTCCCACCTCAGCCTCCCAAGTAGCTGGGACTACAGGTGTGTACCACCATGCCCGGCTAATGTTTATTTATTTATTTATTTATTTTTTGTAAAGATGAGGTCCTCACTATGTTGCCCTGGCTTGTCTCGAACTCCTGGGCTCAAGCGATCCTCCCACCTTGGCCTCTCAAAGTGTTGAGATTATAGGTGTGAGCCACCACACCTGGCCACAGTTTCATTTCAGAATGTCCTTGTTGAAGCAGTAAAAATGATCAATTTTATTAAATCTCAACCGTTGAATATATTTCTTCTTAATATTCTGCGTGTCAAAATGAGAAGAATGGATAAAGTGTTTAGATTAATCATAAATCCAATGGTTACCTCTGGAAAGGCTCTCAGAGATGGAGTTGTGGGATGAGCCAACCACCACCTGTCATGGAACACCATTTATACATGGAAGAACCAAGAACAATTTATTATTATTTTGAGACTGAGTCTCACTCCGTCGCCCAGGATAGAGTGCAGTGGCGCAATCTTGGCTCACTGCAACCTCTGCCTCCTGGATTCAAACAATTTTCATGCCTCAGCATCCCAAGTAGCTGGGATTACAGGTGCACACCACTACACTGGGCTAATTTTTGTGCCTTTAGCAGAGATGGGGTTTCACCATGTTGTGCTGGGATTATAGGCGTGAGCCACTACGCCCAGCCAAATTATTATTATTCAGACTTGGGTAGCTGGCAGACATTGTTTCAAAAATGAACTGAGTCGGTCACATCAAGAAAAACAACTGACAGTGCTACCAATGATGAAATTCTTTTTCTTTTTTTTTTTTTTGAGATACAGTCTCGCTCTGTCACCCAGGCTGGAGTGCAGTGGCACCATCTCGGCTCATTGCCAAGATCTCGGCTCATTGCAACCTCCATCTCCTAGAAGGGTCAGGTGATTCTCCTGCCTCAGCCTCCCAAATAGCTGAGATTACAGGTGCGTGCCACCACACTTGGCTAATTTCTGTATTTTTAGTAGAGACAGGGTTTCACCATTTTGGCCAGGCTGGTCTCCAACTCCTGACCTCAAGTAATCTTCCCACCTTGGCCTCCCAAAGTGCTGGGATTACAGGCGTGAGCCACTGCGCCTGGCCAAAATTCTACTTTTTAAGTGAAAATTAGAATTTAAAAAAATGAAAAAAAATATCTGTTTTCATTAGCCTGGCGGCTGCCTACCACTTACAGATTTTATCCTCTCCTTTATTATTATTATTATTATTATTATTATTATTATTATTATTATTATTATAGAGATGGAGTCTCGCTCTGCCCCCCAGGCTGGAGTGCAGTGGCATGATCTCGGCTCACTGCAAGCTCTACCTCCCAGGTTCACGCCATTCTCCTGCCTCAGTCTCCTGAGTACCTTGGACTACAGGCACCTGCCACCATGCCTGGCTAATTTTTTGTATTTTTAGTAGGGATGGGGTTTCACCGTGTTAGCCAGGATGGTCTCGATCTCCTGACCTTGTGATCCACCCACCTCGGCCTCCCAAAGTCCTGGGATTACAGGTGTGAGCCACCGCACCCCGCCTCCTTTTTTTTTTTTGAGACAGAGTCTTGCTCTGTTGCCCAGGCTGGAGTGCAGTGGCTCTATCTCAGCTCACAACCTCCGCCTCCTGGGTTCAAGTGGTTCTCCTGCTTCAGCCTCCCGAGTAGCTGGGATTACAGGTGCCCACCATCACGCCTGGCTAATTTTTGTATTTTTAGTAGAGACAGGGTTTCACCATGTTGGCCAGGCTGGTCTTGAACTCCTGGCCTCAGGTGATCCACTCACTTCAGCCTCCCAAAGTGCTGGGATTACAGGAGTGAGCCACTGCGCCCAGCCAGTTTAATGTGTTTTATTTTATTTTATTTATTTATTTTGTTTTTTGAGATGGAGTTTCGCTCTTGTTGCCCAGGCTGGAGTGCAATGGCGTGATCTTGGCTCACCACAACCTCCGCCTCCCGGGTTCAAGTGATTCTCCTGCCTCAGCCTCCCGAGCAGCTGGGATTACAACAAGCATGTGTCACAACGCCCGGCTAATTTTGTATTTTTAGTAGAGACGGGGTTTCTCCATGTTAGGCTAGTCTCAAACTCCCGACCTCAGGTGATTCACCCGCCTCGGCCTCCCAAAGTGCTGGGATTACAGGCGTGAGCTACTGCTCCCAGCCAGATGGACTATCAATTATTAATAGACACTTCCTGGCCAGGCACCGTGGCTCATGCCTGTAATCCCAGCACTCTGGGAGGCTGAGACGGGCAGACCATGAGGTCAAGAGATGGAGACCATCCTGGCCAACATGGTGAAAACCAGTCTCTACTAAAAATTAGCTGGGCGTGGTGGCACGCGCCTGTAGTCCCAGCTACTTGGAAGGCTGAGGCAGGAGAATCGCTTGAACCTGGGAGGTGGAGGTTGCAGTGAGCCGAGATCGCGCCACTGCACTCCAGCCTGGCGACAAAGTGAGACTCCATCTCAAAAAAATAAAAATAAAAATAAAATAAAATAAAATAAAATAAACACTTCCATCTATTTGTCTGAGACCTTCTATCTCATATGCAGGCAATTCTAGGAGAGGTTGGGGTTACAAGGAAGTTGAGGGCAATGGTGAGAATAACCTAAAAGCTTGGGAGTGGTTATTCCCAAGAACTCTCATCTTGTGGACCAAGGAGGGTTGGAGAAATAGAGCCTTTGATTCTATTTTAAAAGGCTCAGGGAGGCCAAGCAAAGTAGCTCATGCCTGTAATCCCAGCACTTTGGGAGGCAGAGGTGGGAGAATCACCTGAGGTCAGGAGTTCGAGACCAGCCTGGCCAATATGGCAAAACATCATCTCTACTAAAAATACAAAAATTAGAGCCAGGAGCGGTGGCTCATGCCTGTAATCCCAGCACTTTGGGAGGCCAAGGCGGGCGGATCACCTGAGGTTGGGAGTTAGAGACCAGCCTGACCAACATGGAGAAACCCCATCTCTACTAAAAATACAAAATTAGCCGGGCATGGTGGCTCATGCCTGTAATCCCAGCTACTCGGGGGGCTGAGGCAGGAGAATCGCTTGAACCTGGGAGGCGGAGGTTGTGGTGAGCCGAGATTGCGCCAATGGGGCAACAAGAGCAAAACTCCATCTCAAAGAAAAAAAAAATTAGCTGGTTGTGGTGATGCATGCCTGTAATCCAAGCTACTAGGGAGGCTGAGGCAGGAGAACCATTTGAACCTGGGAGACGGAGGCTGCAGTGAGCCAAGATCACGCCACTGCACTCCAGCCTGGGTGACAGAGCCAGACTCAGTCTCAAAAAAAAAAAAAAAAAAAAAAAATGGCGGCGGGGGAGCTTGGGAAAAGTGATGAGAGAAACCTGAGGTCTGACAGGTGCATGAGGAAATCTCACCTGTGACCCAGAAGAGGGTCGTACTGTGCTGCTCTGCGTTTCACAGGGCATGCCACATTTTTTTTAAAATAATTTCAACCTTTATCTTATTATTTTCTTGAGATGGAGTCTTGCTCTGTCACTCAAGCTGGAGTGCAGTGGTGCAGTCTTGGCTCACTGCAACCTCCGCCTCCCAGGTTCAAGTGATTTTCCTGCCTCAGCCTCCCAAGTAGCTAAGATTACAGGTGCCTGCTGCCATGCCTGGCTAATTTTTGTATTTTTAGTAGAGACGGGGTTTCACCGTGTTGGCCAGGCTGGTCTTGAACTCCTGACCTCAGGTGATTCGCCTGCCTCGGCCTCCCAAAGTGCTGAGATTACAGGCGTGAGGCACCCACCGTGCCCGGCCATATTATTATTATTTTTTGAGATGGGGTGTTGCTTTGTTGCCCAGGCTGGAGTGCAGTAGCTCGATCACAGGTCACTGCAGTCTCACCCCCGCAGGCTCAAGCAATCCTCCCACCTCAGCCTCCTGAGTAGCTGGTGCTATAGCAAGTTCCACCACACCCTGCTAATTTTTTGTAAAGGTGGGGTCTCTCTATGTTGCCAAGGCTGGTCTCAAACTCCTTGGCTCAAGCCATCCTCCCACCTCGGCCTCCCAAAGTGCTCGGATTACAGACCTGAGCCACCGAGCCTGGTCTCCCAGCTTTTATTTTAGGTTCAGGGAGGCGTGTGTGGGTTCGTCACCTGGGTATACTGCATGATGCTGAGGCTTGGGCTATGAATGATCCTGTCATCCAGGAAGTAAGCATAATACCCAACAGTTTTTCAACTCTTACTCTCCACTGTCCCTCCCCACTCTAGGAGGTCCCAGTATCTATTGTTCCCATCTTTACATCCATGTGTGTACTCAATGTTTTTTTTTTGTTTTGTTTTGAGATGGAGTTGCGCTCTGTCGCGTAGGCTGAAGTGCAATCATGCAATCTTGGCTCACTGCAACCTCCACCTCCCGGGTTCAAATGATTCTCCTGCTTCAGCCCCTCGAGTAGCTGGGATTAAAGGCACCTGCCATCATGCCTGGCTAATTTTTGTATTTTTGTAGAGACAGGGTTTCGCCATATTGGCCAGGCTGATCTTGAACTCCTGACCTCAGATGATCCACCTGCCTCAGCCTCCCAAAGTGCTGGGATTACAGGTGTGAGCCACCACACCCAGGCAATGTGTACTCAATGTTTAGATCTCATTTATAAGTGAGAACACGCAGTCCTTGGTTTTCTGTTCCTGGGTTAATTTGCTTAGGATAATGACCGCCAGCTACATCCATGTCAGAGCGAAGAACATGATTTCATTAGTGTTTATGGCTGGGCGTGCTGCATTCTTTCACTGCTTGCTGAGCATCAGCAGGGAAGCATTGCCTTGGGAACGGAACTTGATGGGAGGCCTCCTTGGGACCTCTCTCCTTCTCCGCCTCCTCCTCACTCTCCTCCTTCCTCCTCCTCCATAAATTGGACCAAAACATATCCTGCTGGGGACCAAAACATATCTGCACTGGCTCACGCATGTAACCCCAGCACTTTGGGAGGCTGAGGCGGGTGGATCACTTGAGGTCAGGAGTTTGACACCAGCCTGGGCAACACGGTGAAACTCCATCTCTACTGAAAATACAAAATTGCTTGAATCTGGGAGGTGGAGGTTGCAGTGAGCCAAGATTGCGCCACTGCACTCCAGCCTGGGTTAACAAGTGAGACTCTGTTTCAAAAAAAAATATATATATATATATATATGGCCGGGCACGGTGGCTCTCACCTGTAATCCCAGCACTTTGGGAGGCTGAGGCGGACAGATCACAAGGTCAAGAGATCGAGACCATTCTGGCCAACATGGTGAAACCCCATCTCTACTAAAAGTACAAAAATTAGCTGGGTGTGGTGGTGCGTGCCTGTAGTCTCAGCTACTCAGGAGGCTGAGGCAGGAGAATCGCCTGAACCCAAAAGGTGGAGGTTGCAGTGAGTTGAGATTGTGCCACTGCACACCAGCCTGATAACAGAGTGAGACTTCATCTCAAAAAAAAAAAAAAAAATATATATATATATATATATATATATATAAAATAGAGGACCAATTTCAGCAGCATATTAAAAGGATTTTATGGGGCCGGGCATGGTGGCTCATGCCTGTAATCCCAGCACTTTGGGATGCCAAGGTGGGCGGATCATGAGGTCAAGAGTTTGAGACCAGCCTGGCCAACATGGTGAAACCCCATCTCTATTAAGAATACAAAAAGTAGCCGGGCGTGGTGGCACATGCCTGTAAATCCCAGCTACTCAGGAGACTGAGGCAGGAGAACTGCTTGAACCCAGGGGGTGGGGGTTGCAATGAGCCAAGGTTGCGCCACTGCACTCCAGCCTGGACGACAGAGCAAGACTGTCTCAGGAAAAAAAAAAAAAGTATTTTATCCATGAACAAGTTGGATTTATTCCTGGAATGCAAAGATGTTTTAACATATGAAAATTAATCAATGTCATATACCACATTAATAGAATAAAGGGAAAAATCTTATAATTGTCTCAGTTGATGCAGAAAAAGTATTCGGCAAAATCCAATACTCTTTCAAGATTTAAAAAAAAACACTCAGCCAGGCACGGTGGCTCACGCCTGTAACCCTAGTACTTTGGGAGGCCGAGGCAGGTGGATCGCTGGAGCTCAGGAGTTCAAGACCAGCCTTGGCAACATGGCAAAACCATGTCTCTACCAAAAACAAAAATTAAGCTGGGTATGGTGGTGCATGCCTGTAGTCCCAGCTACTTGGGAGGCTGAGGTGGGAGGATGGCTTGAACCCAGGAGGTGGAGGTTGCAGGGAGCCATTATCAGGCCACTGCACTCCAGCCTGGGTGAGAGAACAAGGCCCTGTCTGGAAAAAATAAAATAAAACTAGAACTAGAAGAATTTTCCTCAACATGGTAAAGGCCATACATGAAAAACAGAGTTAACATCATATTCAATGATGAAAGACTGAAAATTTTCCCCATAAGATCAGGAACAAAACAAGAACCACCACTTTGGCCACTTCTATTTAACAGAGTATTGGAATTTCTAGCCAGAGAAATTAAGCAAGAAAAATAAGTAAAAGTTACCTGAATTGGAAAGGAAAAAGTAAAATTATCTGTACTTGCAGATGAAATGATTTTATACGTGGAAAACCCTAAAGCTTACATACATACACAACTATTAGAGCCAATAAATGAATTCAACAAAGTTGCAGCATACAAAGTCAACACACAAAAATCAGTTGCATTTCTTTACACTAACGATGAATAACCCCAAAGAGAAATTAAGAAAACAACTCTATTTAAATTACCATGCGGCCGGGTGCAATGGCTCATACCTGTAATCCCAGCACTTTGGGAGGCTGAGGTGGGTGGATCACCTGAGGTCAGGAGTTCAAGACCAGCCTGGCCAACATGGTAAAATCCAGTCTCTACTAAAAATACAAAAAACTGGCCGGGTGCGGTGGCTCACGCCTATAATCCCAGCACTTTGGGAGGCCAAGGCGGGCAGATCACCTGAGGTCGGATGTTCGAGACCAGCCTGACCAACACAGAGAAACTCTGTCTCTACTAAAAATACAAATAAAATTAGCTGGCCGTGGTGGCACATGCCTGTAATCCCAGCTACTCAGAAAGCTGAGGCAGGAGAATTGCTTGAACCCGGGAGGCAGAGGTTGCGGTGAGCCGAGGTCACACCATTGCACTCCAGCCTGGGCAATAAGAGCAAAACTACATCTCAAAAAACAAAAACAAAAACAAAAAATTAGCTGGGCGTGGAGGCGGGTGCCTGTAATCTCAGCTACTTGGGAGGCTGAGGCAGGAGAATCACTTGAACCCAGAAGGCAGAGGTTGCAGTGAGCCAAGATCACACCACTGCAATCCAGCCTGGGCAAAAAGAGCGAAATTCTATCTCAAGAAAAAAAAAAGCCATGAAAAGGAATCAAATAGGAAGAAATGTAACCAATGAGGCAAAATATTTGTAACTGAAAACTACAAAAAATTAAAGAGACATAAATAAAAAGATATCCTATGTTTATAGAATGTAAAATTTATTGTTTGTTTGTTTTTTGAGACAGAGTCTTGCTCTGTCACCCAGGCTGGAGTGCTGTGATGCGATCTTGGCTCACTGCAACCTCTGCCTCCTGGGTTCAAGTGATTCTTCTGCCTCAGCCTCCTGAGTGGCGGGAACTACAGGCACGTGCCACCACGCCCAGCTAATTTTTTTTTTTGCATTTTTAGTAGAGACAGGATTTTACCATGTTGGCAGGGCTGGTCTCGAACTCCTGACCTCAAGTGATCTGCCCGCCTCAGCCTCCCAAAGTGCTGAGATTACAGGCATGAGCCACTGCGCCCGGCCTGAATGTAAGATTTAATATTGTTAAGATGACGGTACTACCCAGAGCAATCTACAGATTCAATGCAATTTGTATCAAAATCCAAATGGTATTTTTAATATTTTACAGATATACAAAAACTCATCCTAAAATTTATGTGGAATCACAAGGCATCCTAAATAACACAAAAAAAGACGGAAAAAAAGGTCTGCAGAAAAAGAAGAAACCAGGTCTCTCATTTCCTGATTTCAAAACTTAAATACTAACCTACCACAATGAAAAGAGTGTGGTACTGGCATAAAGACAAACATATAAGGCCGCCTGTAATCTCAACAATTTGGGAGACTGAGGTGAGTGGATTGCTTGAGCCCAGGAGTTCAAAATCAACCTGGGCAACATGGCAAAACCCAGTCTTTACAAAAAATACAATTAGCTAGGCGTGGTAGCCTGCGCCTATAGTCCCAGCTACTGAGGAGGAGGCTGAGGTGGGAGGATCACTCAAGCCTAGGAGGCAGAGGTTGCAGTGAACTGAGATCATGCCAGTGCACTCCAGCCTGGGCAACAGAGTGAGACTCCGTCTCAAAAATAAAGAAAGAGAGAAAAAAATAGACACATATATTAGACCAGTGTGAGAGGTGACAGCGTGCTGGTAGTCCTCACAGCCCTCATTCGCTCTTGGCGCCTCCTCTGCCTGGGCTCCCACTTTGGCGGCATTTGAGGAGCCCTTCAGCCCACCACTGCTCTGTGGGAGCCCCTTTCTGGGCTGGCCAAGGCCGGAGCCAGCTGCCTTAGCTTGCGGGGAGGTGTGGATGGAGAGGCACGAGTGGGAAGCGGGGCTGCGCGCGGCGCTTGCGGGCCAGCTGGAGGTCCGAGTGGGCGTGGGCTTGGCGGGCCCTGCACTAGGAGCCACCAGCCGGCCCTGCCAGCCCCGGGCAATGAGAGGCTTAGTACCCGGGCCAGCAGCTGCGGACGGTGTACTGGGTCCCCCAGCAATGCCAGCCCACGGGCGCTGCTCTCGATTTCTCACGGGGTCTTAGCTGCCTTCCCGCCGGGCAGGGCTCCGGACCTGCAGCCCGCCATGCCTGAGCCTCCCACCCCCTCCATGGGCTCCTGTGAGGCCGGAGTCTCCCCAGGAGCACTGTTCCCCGCTCCTCGGCGCCCAGTCCCATCGACCACCCAAGGGCTGAGGAGTGCAGGTAGACAGCGCGGGACTGGCAGGTAGCTCCACCTGCAGCCCCGGTGCGGGATCCACTGGGTGAAGCCAGCTGGGCTCCTGAGTCTGGTGGGGACGTGGAGAACCTTTATGTCTAGCTCAGGGATTGTAAATACACCAATGGGCACTCTGTATCTAGCTCAAGGTTTGTAAACACACCAATCAGCACCCTGTGTCTAGCTCAGGGTTTGTGAATGCACCAGTCGACACTCTGTATCTAGCTATCTGGTGGGGCCTTGGAGAACCTTTGTGCTGACACTCTGTGTCTAGCTAATCTGGTGGGGAGGTGGAGAACCTTTGTGTCTAGCTCAGGGATTGTAAACGCACCAATCAGCACCCTGTCAAAACAGACCACTCAGCCCTACCAATCAGCAGGATGTGGGTGGGGCCAGATAAGAGAATAAAAGCAGGCTGCCCGCGCCCACAGTGGCAACTGGCTCGGGTCTTGTTACACGCTGTGGAAGCTTTGTTCTTTCGCTCTTTGCGATAAATGTTGCTACTGCTCACTCTTTGGCTCCACGCTGCTTTTATGAGCTGTAACACCGCGAAGGTATGCAACTTCACTTCTGAAGCCAGCGAGACCATGAGCCCACCGGGAGGAATGAACAACTCCAGACGCGCCACCTTAAGAGCTGTAACACTCACCGCGAAGGTCTGCAGCTTCACTCCTGAACCAGGGAGACCACGAACCCACCAGAAAGAAGAAACTCCAAACACATCCGAACGTCAGAAGGAACAAATTCCAGACGCGCCACCTTAAGAGCTGTAACACTCACCGCGAGGGTACGCGGCTTCATTCTTGAAGTCAGTGAGACCAAGAACCCACCAATTCCGGACACAAGTGGAATAGATTAGAGAGCCCAGAAATAAACCTTCTACATGGAAGATTAATTTTTGACAAGGGTTCCAAGACCACTTAATGGGGGAAAGAACAACCTTTTCGATAATAGCAGTGGGACAACTGGATATCCATACACAAAAGAATAGTCCGGGTGTGGTGGTTCACACCTGTAATCCCAGCACATTGGGAGGCCAAGGCAGGCAGATCACCTGAGGTCAGGAGTTCAAGACCAGCCTGGCCAACATGGTGAAACCCCATCTCTACTAAAATACAAAAAAATGAGCTGAGCCTGGTGGCATGCAGCTGTAATCCCAGCTACTTGGGAGACTGAGGCATGAGAATCGCTTGAACCCAGGAGGGGGAGGTTGCCATGAGCTGAGATTGCGCCACTGCACTCCAGCCTGGGTGACACAGCAAGACTCCATCTCAAAAAAAAAAAAAAAAAAAGTCTTTACAATAGATCAATTTAGGTTTTATATTTCTTTTTTTCTTTTCCTTTTTGAGTTGGAATTTCCCTCTTGTTGCCCAGGCTGGAGTGCAATGGCGCCATCTCAGCTCACTGCAGCCTCAGCCTCCTGGGTTCAAGTGACTCTCCTGCCTCAGCCTCCAGAGTAGCTGGGATTATAGGCACATGCCATCATACCCGGCTAATTTTTGTATTTATTTATTTATTTATTTTTGAGACAGAGTCTCGCCCTGTCACCCAGGCTAGAGTGCAATGGCACAATCTCAGCTTACTGCAACCTCCACCTCCCCGGTTTAAGTGATTCTCCTGCCTCAGCTGGGATTACAGGCGTGCGCCACTTGCCTGGCTAATTTTTTGTATCTTTAGTAGACATGAGGTTTCACCATGTTGGTCAGGCTGGTCTCAAACTCCTGATCTCAGATGATCTACTTGACTCAGCCCCTCAAAGTGCTGGGATTACAGACGTGAGCCACCATGCCTGGCCTAGATTTTATATTTCTTCTTAAGTTTGGTGTTTAAATTCCCCTAGGAATTTGTTCCTTTCATCTAATTTGTTGGCATACAACTGTTCATAGTATTCCCTGATAATTCTTTTACTTATCTAATGTTGGTAGTGATGTCTCCTCTTTTGCTCCTGTTTTGCAGTTTGAGTCTCCTCTGCTTTTTTCTTGGTCAGTCCATCTAAAGGTTCATCAATTTTATGGATTTTTCAAAGAACCAAATTATTTTGGTTTTACTTACTTCCTCTATTTTTTATTCTCTGCTGCATTTATTTCTGCTCATCTTTATTATCTTTTTTTTTTTTTTTTTTTTTTTTTGAGACGAAGTCTCTTGTCGCCCAGGCTGGAGTGCAATGGTGAGATCTCAGCTCACTGAAAACTACGCCTCCTGGGTTCGAGCGATTCTTGTGCCTCAGCCTCCTGAGTAGCTGGGACCACAGGCATGTGCCACCATGCCTGGCTAATTTTTTTATTTAGCAGAGACAGGCTTTCACCATGTTGGCCAGGATGGTGTCAAACTCCTGGCCTCAAGCTGTCTGCCCGCTTCAGCCTCCCTAAACTGGGATTACAGGTGTGAGTAATCCTCTGCCTCTGGGAGGCAGAAGTTGCAGTGAGCCAAGATCACACCACTGTACTACAGCCTGTGCAACAGAGCGAGACTCCACCTCAAAAAAAAAAAAAAATTAGCCGGACATGGTGGCACATATCTGTAGTTCCAGCTGCTTGGGGGACTGAGGCAGGGGGCTTGCTTGAGCCTAGGAGGTCAAGGCTGCTATAACCCATGTTTATGCCACTGCACTGCAGCCTGGGCAACAAAGTGAGAACCTGTCTCAAAATAAAAATAAAAATAAGTAAATAGGCCAGGCATGGTGGCGCATGCCTGTAATCCCAGCACTTTGAGAGGCTGAGGTGTGAGGATCATGAGGTCAGGAGTTTGAGACCAGCCTGGCCAACATAGTGAAACCCTGTCTCTACCAAAAATACAAAAATTAGCCAGGTGTGGTGGTGGGCACCTGTAGTCCCAGCTACTCGGGAGGCCAAAGCAGGAGAATCGTTTGAACCCGGGAGGCAGAGGTTGCAGTGAGCCGAGGTCATGCCATTGCACTCCAGGCTAGGTGACAGAGTGAGACTCCGTCTCAAAAAAAAAAAAAAAAAAAAAGGAAATAAATATAGCTTCCTAGGGGATTCTGTTTGCAGAGTGTGTCGAGAATATGAAGCCCAGAATTCAAGACTGCATTATGGACTGTGAAGGCTGAGGAGGGCTGTGAGGAAAGAGTGGGTAGGTTAAAGGAGCAGAAGCAACTGTCATGCCCTTTGGCTCTTCTATAGGAAAAGAGGAAAGAGTGAGCCTTGGGCTGTGTTTTGTGAGGGAATAGTGCCCTCCCTTTGTGGGTAAGCAAAGTTGGCTCGGAAGATGAAGACAGATGAGTCAAGAACGTCAGGGTGTCAGGGGGAGCACAAAAAGAAGGCGAAATATGCCCTTCTACACTCAAACTTGAAGGTATTCGGGGCCTGGTGGCTGGATCTGAGGCCATGCTGAGTCCTGAAGAGGGGACCAAAGTCTTGCTTTGTGAAAACTGTCTAGACTGTCCTAGCAATTCCATTTGTTTTTGACTGTCCTAGCAATTCCGTTTTTTTTTTTTTTGACAGCATCTCACTCTTGTCACCCAGGCTGGAGTGCAGTGGCACGATCTCAGCTCATTGCAACCTCCACCTCCTGGGTTCAAATGATTCTCCTGCCTCAGCCTCCCAAGTAGCTGGGATTACAGGCACCTGCCACTGCGCCCAGCTAATTTTTGTATTTTTGGTAGAGACAGGATTTCACCATCTTGGCCAGGCTGCTCTTGAACTACTGACCTTGTGATCCACCCACCTTGGCCTTCCAAAGTGCTGGGATTACAGGCGTGAGCCACTGTGACTGGCTTTTTTTTTTTTTTTTTTTTTTTTCTGAGACGGAGTCTCGCTCTGTCACCCAGGCTGGAGTGCAGTGGCGCAGTCTCAGCTCACTACAAGCTCTGCCTCCCGGGTTCGCGCCATTCTCCTGCCTCAGCCTCCTGAGTAGCTGGGACTACAGGCGCCCGCCACTGCGCCCAGCTAATTTTTTGTGTTTTTAGTAGAGATGGGGTTTCACTGTGTTAGCCAGGAGGTTCTCGATCTCCTGACCTCATGATCTGCCCGCCTCGGCCTCCCAAAGTGCTGGGATTACAGGCGTGAGCCACTGCGCCCGGCTGCCTTTTTAAATTTAAAAAACTTTTTTTTTTTTTTGAGACAGTCTCTCTCTGTCCCCCAGGCTGGAGTGCAGTGGCGGGAATCTCAGCTCACTGCAACCTCTACCTCCCAGGTTCAAGCAATTCTTCTGCCTCAGCCTCCCAAGTAGCTGGGATTACAGGCACACGGCACCACACCTGGCTAATTTTTGTATTTTTAGTAGAGATAGGTTTTCACCATGTTGGCCAGACTGCTCTCGAACTCCTAACCTCAGGTGATCCTCCTGCCTCGGCCTCCCAAAGTGTGAGTACAGGCGTTAGTCACCACTGCACCTGGCCTCCATTCTCATCTTTTCTGATTGGAGAACTCGGTTCTCCAGAGCACAGAAGTAGCACTTCTTTCCCCTGGTCCCTGGAGAGTAAGGTCTTGTTCACATCTGTGCATGGGGCTCAGATCAGGGCCTGGTGCAGAGAAAGTGCGCAATAAATGGGTGTTTAAGTCTGGGCATGGTGCCTCATATCTGTAATCCTAGCACTTTGGGAGGCCAATGTGGGAGGATCACTTGAGCCCAGGAATTCAAGACCAGCCTGGGCAACAAAGCAAGACCCCGATCTCTACCAAAAAATAGAAAAATTAGCCAGGTGTGGTGGCACGTTCCAGCTACCCGGGAGGCTGAGGTGAGAGGATTGCTTGAGCTGGGAGGCTTCAGTGAGCTGTGCTTGTACCACTGCACACCAGCCTGGGAGACACAGTGAGACCCTGTCTCAAAAAATATAATAAAAGTCTAAAAAATAAATGGGGGCTGGGCGTGGTGGCTCATGCCTGTAATCCCAGCACTCTGGGAGGCCAAGGTGGGCAGATCACCTGAAGTCAGGAGTTCAAGACCAGCCTGGCCAACATAGTGAAACTCTGTCTCTACTAAAAATACAAAAATTAGCTGGGCATGCTGGCGGGTGCCTGTAATCCCAGCTACTCAGGAGGCTGAGGCAGGAGAATTGCTTGAACCCAGGAGACGGAGGTTGCAGTGAGCCAAGATCACGCCACTGCACTCCAGCGTGGGCAACAGAGCAATACTCTGTCTCAAAAATAAATAAACATAGGCCAGGTGCAGTGGCTCATGCCTATAATCCCAGTACTTTCAGAGGCTGAGGCAGAAAAATCACTTGAGGTCAGAAGTTCGAGACCAGCCTGGCCAACATGGTGAACCCTCATCTCTACTAAAAATACAAAAATTAGCCAGGCGTGGTGGTGCATGCCTGTAATCCAGCTACTTGGGAGGCTGAGGCAGAAGAATTGCTTGAACCCAGGAGGCAGAGGTTGCAGTGAGCCAAGATTGTGCCACTGCACTCCAGCTTGGGTGACAAAGTGAGACTTTGTCTCAATTAAAAAAATAATAAGATAGCCAGGCGTGGTGGCTCACGCCTGTAATCCCAGCACTTTGGGAGGCCAAGGCGGGCGGATCACCTGAGGTCAGGAGTTCAAGACCAGCCTGGCCAGCATGGCGAAATCCCATCTCTACTAAAAGTACCAAAATTAGCCAGGTGTTGGGGTGGGCGCCTGTAATCCCAGCTACTCAGGAGGAGGAGGCGGCAGAATCACTTGAACCCAGGAGACGGAGGTTGCAGTGAGCTGAGATCACGCCACTACACTCCAGCCTGGGTGACAAGAGCAAGACTCCGTCTCAAAAAAATAAAATAAAATAAAATAAATAAAATAAAATAACAAATGGGTGTTTAAATGAATGATGTTCATGGAATCTCTCCCCAGTGCTTTGCTTTCCACAAAGTTCTGCATGGAAGTCTCAATAAATTGTGGTTGAATGCTTGACAGTAACTGTGATGAAAGCAGAATTCACCTTTCATCACCTGGCCAGCAAATGTTTTGTTGTCTTATTATTATTATTATTATTTTTTGAGATGGAGTCTTGCTCTGTCGCCCAGGCTGGAGTGCAGTGGCGTGATCTCGGCTCACTGCAAGCTCCGCCTCCTGGGTTCACGCCATTCTCCTGCCTCAGCCTCCCAAGTAGCTGGGACTACAGGTGCCCGCTACCATGCCCGGCTAATTTTTTTTTGTATTTTTAGTAGAGATGGGGTTTCACCATGTTAGCCAGGATGGTCTCGATCTCCTGACCTTGTGATCCGCCCACCTCGGCCTCCCAAAGTGCTGGGATTACAGGCTTGAGCCACCGCGCCCGGCCTGCTTGTCTTATATAGTATTGACCAGTAAAATGTTTTTTTTTTTTGAGCCAGAGTCTCACTCTGTCACCAGGCTGGAGTGCAGTGGCGTGATCTCGGCTCACTGCAATCTCCACCTCCTGGGTTCAAGCGATTCTTCTGCCTCAGCCTCCTGAGTAACTGGGACCACAGGCTCCCACCACCATGCCCAGGTAATTTTTGTATTTTTAGTAGAGACAGGGTTTCTTTCTCTTTCTTTCTTTTTTTTTTTTTTTTGGAGACGGAGTCTCGCTCTTTCACCCAGGCTGGAGCTCAGTGGCATGATCTCGGCTCACTGCAACCTCCACCTCCCAGGTTCATGCCATTCTCCTGCCTCAGCCTCCTGAGTAGCTGGGACTACAGGTGCCCGCCACCACACCCGGCTAATTTTTTGTATTTTTAGTAGAGATGGGGTTTCACCATGTTAGCCAGGATGGTCTCGATCTCCTGACCTTGTGATCCACCCACCTCGGCCTCCCAAAGTGCTGGGATTACAGGCTTGAGCCACCGCACCCGGCCCGTAGAGACAGGGTTTCACCATGTTGACCAGTATGGTCTCGATCTCCTGACCTCAGGTGATCCACCTGCCTCGGCCTCCCAAAGTGCTGGGATTACAGGAGTGAGCCACCGGGCCTGGCCAAGATGTCTTTCAAATAATTAAAGCCACATCTTTTTGTAGTTCATAAACGTGATGACTGTGTTTTCATGCTCATGCGTGAGTTGCACCTCCCTCAAACCTTGTTTTGACATTGACACATTATCTGCCTGATGTAAAAATAATGAAATCCAATATACTAAGATCAGGAGATTTCACAATAAAATCCCAATTTCTGTTTCTTTTAAAAAATCAGGCCAGCCATGATGGCTTATGCCTGGAATTCCAGCACTTTGGGAGGCCCAGGCAGAAGGATCACTTGATCCTGGAAGTTCAAGATCAGCATGGTTAACACAGGGAGACCTGGTCTCAATTTAAAAATTAGCTGGGCATGGCACTTTGGGAGACTGAGGCAGGTGGATCACCCGAGATCAGAAGTTTGAGACCAGCTTGGCCAATATGGTGAAACCTCATCTCTGTATTAAAAAAAAAAAAAAATTAGCCAGTTGTGGTAATGAGCGCCTGTAATCCCAGCTACTCGAGAGGCTGAGGCAGGGGAATCACTGGAACCTGGGAAGTGGAGGTTGCAGTGAGCCAAGATCTCGCCATTGCATTTGAGCCTGGGTAACAGAGTGAGACTCTGTCTCAAAACAAACAAACAAACAAACAAAAACATTAGCCATAGCCCCAGTTATCTGGAGGCTGAGATGGAGGCTGAGAACCCACGAGTTCGTTCAAGGCTGCAGTGAGCTATCATTGCACTCCAGCCAGGATGACAGAGCAAGACCCTGTCTCAAAATAAAATAAATACTTTGGGAGGCCAAAGTGGGCAGATCACCTGAGGTCAGGAGTTCGAGACCAGCCAGGTCAACATGGCGAAACCCATCTCTACTAATAAAATACAAAAATTAGCCAGGCATGGTGGTGTGTGCCTATAATCCCAGCTACCCAGGAGGCTGAGGCAGGAGAATCACTTGATCCCAGGAGGCAGAGGTTGCAGTAAGCCGAGATTGTGCCACTGCACTCCAGCCTGGGCAACAAGAGCAAAACCCCATCTCAAATAAATAAATAAATAGAAATAAATAAATAAAATGGTTACTTTATGTTATTTCACCTCAATAATTTTAAGTAAAATAAAATTAGATAACTGATAGCCAGGCATGGTGGTGGATGCCTGTAATCCCAGCTACTCAGGAGGCTGAGGCAGGAGAATCGCTTGAATCCGAGGCAGAGGCTGCAGTGAGCCAAGATCACGCCACTGCACTCCAGCCTGGGTGACAGAGCAAGACTCCGTCTCAAAAAAAAAAAATTTAGATAACTGATTAGAAGGTACTGAAGTTTGCCATCCTTTGGAAACGATCCTCTTCATTAGAAAGATGAGGATCCTGAGGCCCTACAAGGGAAGTGTCAGGTCAGTGGAAGAGACTGAAAGGGAAGTTTGGTTCCCACCCCGGCAGCACAGTCGCTGCCTCCTCTCCCCTTTACTTAGGCTATGAACTCTGGTGTGATACAGACCACAACCCGTTCACCATAGGTTACACCCCACATCTTCTGGCTCGGACCCTGGCACTTGAACTGTCAGCCTCCAAGTAGCTGGGACAATAGGCCAGCTCAACAAATGCCCCCTGCTCATTAAAATTTTTTTTTTGTAGAGTTGGGGTCTTGTTATGTTGCCCAGGGTGGTCTCAAATTCCTGATCTCAAGCAATTCTCGCCTTGGCCTCCCAAAGTGCTGAGATTACAGGCATGAGCCACTGTACACAGTCTTGATGTATTACCTTTTATTTTTTAAAAAATTTTTATAAAGACGGGTGTCACCATGTTGTCCATGCTGGTCTCAAACTCCTGGGCTCAGGCAATCCTCCCGACTTGGCCTCCCAAAGTGCTGGGATTACTGGTGTGAGCCGTGCCTGGCTTGCTTTTTTTGTTTTTGTTTTTGAGATGGAGTCTCACTGTTGCTCAGGCTGGAGTGCAGTGGCGCAATCTCGGCTCACTACAACCTCCGCCTCCTGAGTTCAAAGGATTCTCCCGTCTCAGCCTCCCGAGTAGCTGGGATTACAGGTGTGTGCCACCACACCTGGCTTATTTTTGTATTTTTAGTAGAGATGGGGTTTCACCATGTTGGCCAGGATGGTCTTGATCTCCTGACCTCATGATCCACCTGCCTACGTCTGGCTTTTTTAATTAAAAAAAAATTTTTTTAAGTACTTTTTTTCTTTTGAGATGGAGTCTCACTCTGTCACCCAGGCTGGAGTGCAATGGCACAATCGTGGCTCACTGCAACCTCCACCTCTTGGGTTCAAGCAATTCTCCTGTCTTAGCCTCCCAAGTAGCTTGGACTACAGTCATGCACCACTATGCCTGGCTAATTCTTGTATTTTTAGTAGAGATGGGGTTCCACCATGTTGGTCAGGCTGGTCTCGAACTCCTGATTTTGTGATCCACCTGCCTCAGCCTCCCAAAGTGCTGGGATTACAGGCATGAGCCACCATGCCCAGCCTAAAGTACTTTTCATTAGAGACAGTACTTTATTCAAACTGCTTCTCTTCTCGTGCTTTTGTGTCTTGAGACAGTCTGTCTGTCACCCAGGTTGGAATGCAGTGGTGTGATGACAGCTCACTGAAGCCTCGACCTTCCAGGCTCAGGTGATCCTCCCACCTCAGTCTTCTGAGTTGCTGGGACTATAGTTGTGTGCCACCATGCCTGGTGGATGTATGACTGTTTATGTAGGAACATCTGTTAATTGTAAATTTCCTCCAAAACCACCCTGTTGTTGCAGAAATGACAGGCTGTGAGCACTGTAGCCACCTATACATTCCTTCCAGAGCACTATGCTTTTGCTCCAAGACATAAGCGGTAGGTCTTGGGGCTGTGGTGTGGAGATCTGTCATGGCGCAGCCCAAGACCATGCTTTTGTGTGTAAGTTCCTTAATAAATCACCCAAAACTGACAAACTGGATTTGTCTGCTTCCTTTTTTTTTTTGGCTCCTTTGGCATGAGGGTCACTTGGCATATACGGCCCTTTCACGGAATGCACAGCAACTCCAACAAAGAGAGATGATCTTTCACAGATGAAGCCGCTGAGGCTTAGAGAAGCGAGATTGTCCCAAGGGTGGCAGCTTCTAAGGGAAGGGCTGGAATGTGAACCCAGGCATCTTGACTTGAGCCTTGTCCTTTTGGCCCCTATGCCCTCCCACCTTCCAACCCAGGGGATTAGCTAAAATTTAGGAAAGCAGTTCATGTTATTTAAAGGGAGGGGAGGCCGGGCATGGTGGCTCATGCCTGTAATCCCAGCACTTTGGGACGCTGAGGCGGGCAGATCACTTGAGGCCAGGAGTTCAAGACCAGTCTGGCCAACATGGTGAAAACCCATCTGTACTAAAAATATGAAAATTAGCCGGGTGTGGTGGCGAGTGTCTGTAGTCCCAGCTACTCGGGAGGCTGAGATTGCAGTGAGCTGAGATTGCACCACTGAACTCCAACCTGGGTGACAGGGCAAGACTCTGTCTATAAAATAAATAAATTATAAAATAAATAAAATTTCAGAAAGCAGCTCACTTTATGTAAAGGGACAGGAAACAGCAACAGATGACATAGATATAGGATGATTCCAGTCTAGTAATAAATATACACACACCAGAAAGAGAGGCATTAAAATGTTAACGGTAGTTAACAGCCTGGGCGACAGAGCGGAGACCCTGTCTCAAAAAAAAAAAAAAAAAGTTAAGAAAAGGAGTGACAATCCACGTGTGGCCCACAAAGCTTAAAATATATACTATCTAGCCCTGGGCAGAAAAGGGTTTGACAATGCTGTTCAAAGGTCACCATTGGTAGATTGGAAACTGAAAAAGGTATATACCCTGGCATTGGACAACACAATGGCTGTGCCTCCTGCCTAAGAATGCTGAACTGGCCAAGTGAGGTACTTGGCAGCCCAGCCCTGAAATGCATAAGCTCTCCAGCCTTTTCATCACTGCTCCTCCCTGGTTCTTAACCTCTGGCCACTCGATCCTCTGGCTTCCCTTCCACCAAGCACTCGCACGTTGAGTCCAGTCCCTAGGCCTCTCCTCTAGGCTGCCCCCTCTGGAAATGTAAGCAGCACCAGGTATAAGAGCCAGGCACAGGCTGCCTTGACGTGCACCTAGCCCCCTTACTTCCCCATTGTGTGGAAGGTAAATCACTTCTCTTTGGGTCTGTTTTCCCATCTACAAGTTGGGAATGACAATAGGGTTATTCTGAGATTAAGTGAGATAAGGCAGCTAAAGCACGCAGTATGGAAGTGGTCAACATGCTGGCTCTGATGTCAGCCACGACCAGACTTCGGGTAACTATTTATAAGTCATTCCCTTCAAAACCTTTCTCTCTGTTCTTTCTCTTCTGTGACAGACTAATACTTGTGCCCCTTCCCTTCATTTAGAAACAAAATGACCCAAGTTTAAATGAACATGTAACTATCCAGCTAGAGGCATTTTAGTCTCGCATATAGGGTGGTAAGAAGGTGAGACTAAGTTCTGGCCAATGGGATCAGTGTAATTTCCAGGCCCTGTATTTCCGCTTCCTTTTACATGGGCTTGAACGAGGACTTGGGGCTGGTGAGCCGCTTTAACCACACAGATGACAACCTTGGGGATGCAAGAGCAACATGACAGCGCAGCCCTGGGTCCCTAGATGATTTTGCATAACGGTTGTTGTCTAACCCTAACCCTGGACCAATCACCTCTGAACTGTCACATGAGAAATAAGCTATTTTGCTGAGTCACTGTTTGGGGCTCCTTGTGACAGAAGCTGAGTCTAGAATCTAGTTAGTGCACATCAGAAGGCTTCTCTTCAACTTCAGTATCAGTCCGCCCTCCATATGTGCTGTTCTTGTACTTCTGAACACAAAGAATATTCCAGCTATTTCTTGAAAACAGTCATATTTGTTTATCCTCCAGTCAGGAGAATGTGTCATTCTTGACTCCTTCAACTCCCGAATCCACTGGTCACAGTAGCTTCAGTTTTTTACATCTGCACCTCTTCAATCCTCCCCCCACCTCTGACCCCAGGCACCCTGACTTCAGATGGTTTTTTTTTTTTTTTTGGGCTTCATGCTCTTTGCTTCCAATTTCATAGTCTTACACAATGATGCTTCATTCTCTTAAAATGGAATCCATTCATGTTATTTTGTTACCTTTTTTTAGAGACAGGGTCTTGCTCTATTCCCCAGGCTGGAGTGCAGTGGTATAATCACAGCTCACTGTACCCTTTACTTAAATAGACCTTAAGTTCCTGGGCTCAAGTGATCCTCCTGCCTCAGTCTCCCCAGCAGCTTGGACTACTGGCACACACAACCATGTCCGGCTAAATTTTAATTTTTTGTCCTCTCCCTCCCCCTCCCCCTTCCTCTCTCACTTTCCACAGTCTCCCTCTGATGCCGAGCCGAGGCTGGACTGTACTGCCACCATCTCGGCTCACTGCAACCTCCCTGCCTCATTCTCCTGCCTCAGCCTGCCAAGTGCCTGGGATTGCAGGCACGCGCCGTCTGTGTTTTTTGGTGGAGACGGGGTTTCGCCGTGTTGGCCGGGCTGGTCTCCAGCTCCTGACCGCTAGTGATCCGCCAGCCTCGGCCTCCCGAGGTGCTGGGATTGCAGACGGAGTCTCGTTCACTCAGTGCTCAATGGTGCCCAGGCTGGAGTGCAGTGGCATGATCTCGGCTCGCTACAACCTCCACCTCTCAACCGCCTGCCTTGGCCTCCCAAAGTGCCGAGATTGCAGCCTCTGCCCGGCCGCCACCCCGTCTGGGAAGTGAGGAGCGTCTCTGCCTGGCCGCCCATCATCTGGGATGTGAGGAGCCCCTCTGCCTGGCTGCCCAGTCTGGAAAGTGAGGAGCCTCTCTGCCCGGCCGCCATCCCATCTAGGAAGTGAGGAGCGCCTCTTCCCGGCCGCCATCCCATCTGGTAGGTGAGGAGTGTCTCTGCCAGGCTGCCCATCGTCTGAGATGTGGGGAGTGCCTCTGCCCGGCCGCGACCCCGTCTGGGAGGTGAGGAGCGTCTGAGAAGTGAGGAGACCCTCTGCCTGGCGACCGCCCCGTCTGAGAAGTGAGGAGCCCCTCCGCCCGGCAGCCGCCTCGTCTGAGAAGTGAGGAGCCCCTCCGCCCGGCAGCCACCCCGTCTGGGAAGTGAAGAGTGTCTCCGCCCGGCAGCCACCCCGTCCGGGAGGGAGGTGGGGGTCAGCCCCCCCGCCCGGCCAGCCGCCCCGTCCGGGAGGGAGGTGGGGGAGTCAGCCCCCCCGCCCGGCCAGCCGCCCCACCCGGGAGGGAGGTGGGGGGATCAGTCCCCCGCCCAACCAGCCGCCCCACCCGGGAGGGAGGTGGGGGGGTCAGCCCCCAACCCGGCCAGCCGCCCTGTCCGGGAGGTGAGGGGCGACTCTGCCCGGCCACCCCTACTGGGAAGTGAGGAGCCCCTCTGCCCGGCCGCCACCCCGGCTGGGAGGTGTGCCCAACAGCTCATTGAGAACGGGCCATGATGACAGTGGCGGTTTTGTGTAATAGAAAGGGGGGAAAGGTGGGGAAAAGATTGAGAAATCGGATGGTTGCCGTGTCTGTGTAGAAGGAAGTAGACATGGGAGACTTTTCATTTTGTTCTGTAGTAAGAAAAATTCTTCTGCCTTGGGATCCTGTTGATCTGTGACCTTACCCCAACCCTGTGCTCTCTGAAACATGTGCTGTGTCCACTCAGGGTTAAACGGATTAAGGGTGGTGCAAGATGTGCTTTGTTAAACAGATGCTTGAAGGCAGCATGCTCGTTAAGAGTCATCACCACTCCCTAATCTCAAGTACCCAGGGACACAAACACTGCGGAAGGCCGCAGGGTCCTCTGCCTAGGAAAACCAGAGACCTTTGTTCACTTGTTTATCTGCTGACCTTCCCTCCGCTATTGTCCTATGACCCTGCCAAATCCACCTCTGCGAGAAACACCCAAGAATGATCAATAAAAAAAAAAAAAAAAAAAAAAAAAAACATGGTTTCTCCATGTTGGTCAGGCTGGTCTGGAACTCCTGACTTCAGGTGATCTGCCCACCTTGGCCTCCCAAAGTGCTGGGATTACAGGCATGAGCCACTGTGCCTGGCCCCAAATGTGTTTTACATTTTCTTCCTATTTGATTCATCTTTGTCCTGCAACATAAATATGCTACTTTTCCACCGATAAAAAGACAAAATGGAATTTAAATCTGGCCTGGACTTCTCAAAAAAGTCAGTGTGATGAAAACATGTTCTAGATAAAACAGAAATGAGACTGGGCATGGTGGCTCATGCCTGAAATCCCAGCGCCTTCGGAGGCCAAGGCAGGAGAATCACTTGAGGCCAGGAGTTTGTGAACAGCCTGGGCAACATAGTGAGACCCCAGATCTACTAAAAATTTAAAAATTAGCTGGGCATGGTGGTGCATGCCCATATGTCTGGAGGCTGAGGCAGGAGGATCGCTTGAGCCCAGGATTTGGAGGCTGCAGTGAGCTATGATTGTGCCACTGCACTCCAGTGTGGGTGACAGAGTGAGACCCTGTCTCTAAAAAAAAAAAGAGAGACGAGATGATCAGGATGAGCGCAGTGGCTCACGCCTATAATCCCAGCACTTTGGGAGGCCAAACCAGGTGGATCATATGAGGTCAGGAGTTCAAGACCAGCCTGGCCTAGATGGTGAAACCCCGTTTCTACTAAAAATACAAAAATCAGCTGGGTGTGGTGGCGCACACCTGTGATCCCAGCTACTCGGGAGGCTGAGGCGGGACAATTGCTTGAACCTGGGAGGCAGAAGTTGCTGTGAGCAAGATTACACCACTGTGCTCCAGCCTGGGCAACAGGAATGAGACTCTGTCTCAAAAAAAAAAAAAAGGGGGAAGATCAAACACAATGCATCAACCTCCCGGAGCCATATAAACCCTAACCCTAACCCAGGAAGCAGGCAAGCCTGTGTGTGAGTTTCCACTCTATTGCTGGTACCACTCGGCTCTGGCAACCCGGAAGGCCACCTTCCCCTGTTGTTACTGTGTAAGGAGGAAGGAGCACTGCTTTGCAAGTCAGAAGCCTGGGTTGAAGCCTCTGCTTGGGTTCCTGCTGGCTGTGGGAATGTGGGGTTACCTTTCCCAGCTGGCCTCGTTTCCTTCATGTCCAATGCAGGGGTTCCAGTCACATGCGTTGGGCACCATTACATGTCCAAGCTGTGCCAGGATCTAGAAAAATGGCTGGACTCAGGCCAAGGGGCCTTCCTGTCTGGCAGTGAAAATAAGAGGAGATACCAAGGGCCCTGAGTCTGGAGGGGAAGTCATGAGCACAGGGCAGTGCCAGGGCCCGGGAGCTGCCACAGAGGAGCCCATCTTGGTGACAGACACCTGTAGGCACATCCGTGATGCCCAGTGCCCAACACAGGGAACTGGACAAACGTTTCATGCACGACTCTTTTTTCCCTTCTTGGCTACCTTGAGGACCTTGATTATAATAGTTATCCTTTTTTTCTTTTTCTTTTTTTGAGACTCTTGCTCTGTCGTCCAGGTTGGAATGCAGTGGCAAAATCTTGGCTCACTGCAATCTTCACCTCTCAGGTTCAAGTGACTCTCCTTCCTCAGCCTCCCTAGTAGCTGGGATTACCGGTGTGCACCACTAGGCTCAGCTAATTTTTGTATTTTTACTACAGATGGGGTTTCACCATGTTGGCCAGGCTGATCTTGAACTGCTGACCTCAGGTGATCTGCCCACCTGGGCCTCCCAAAGTCTTGGGATTACAGGTGTGAGCCACTGAGCCCAGCCGGATTATAATAGCCTTTTCATGCACCAGGGGCTTTATACTCATTATCTCATTTCATTCATATGAGTTGAAATCAGCTTATCCCCCATTTCACAGATGAGGAAACCAAGGCCCAGAGAGGTTAGGAATTCATCCAAGGTCACACAGCTAGGAAGTAGGATTCAAACCCAGACAGCCAGGCTGTAACACCTAGGCTCTTCTCAGGCTCATGCCCTTCCCAGGGGTCTGGGAAGCCCTGACCTGCAGCCTGTCACCTTTGTTTACCCCCCAGCCTCCAGGATATTATGTGTGCACCGGCGTGGGATCCTGGAACTGGCAGGAATTGTGGGTTGTGTTGGTCCCTAGACTCCCATCACCTATACGAAATATGGTTCCTTTTGTGGCTTGGGAGGCCATGGCCAGCCCTGCGATGCCATTGACTGGTGAGTGCATGCCTGGGACCAGGCTACAAAATCCCTCACACTCTGGGGTAGTCAAGGCTTATGAGGAAGTACCCAAAACTGAAGCTGGGATTTGGTCCAGGGAGATCCCAGTGTGCAGTACTACTTTGCAGGCAGGCAGAGGCCTCTTGGATAACATGGCCAGTGAAGCCAGATCTTGGTACCAGCTGCCCCTTACCCTGGCCATGGGCTGAAAACGTTGCCTTAAAAAATTGGCCAGGAGCGGTGGCTAACTCCTGTAATCCCAGCACTTTGGGAGGCCGAGGCGGGCAGATCACTTGAGGTCAGGAGTTCAAGACCAGCCTGGCCAATATGGTGAAACCCCATCTCTACTAAAAATGCAAAAATTAGCTGTGTGTGGTGGCAGGCGTCTGTAATCTCAGCTACTCGGGAGACTGAGGCAGGAGAATTGCTTGAACCCGGGAGGTGGAGTTTGCAGTGAGTTGAGATTGCACCGCTGTATTCCAACCTGGACAACAGTGCCAAACCCTGTCTCAAAAGAAAAAAATAATAATAATATAAAGTGGCCAGGTGTGTTGACTCATGCCTGTAATCCCACCACTTTGGGTCGAGGCAGGAGGATCACTGGAGCCCAGGAGTTTGAAACGAACCTAGGCAACAGAGTGAGACCCTGTCTCTATATTAAACACAAACACACACACACACACACACACACACACACACACACACACACACACACACAAAGGCAGCCAGACTATGCACTAGGAACTGCCCTGGGAATCCCTTTGTGTTCTCACAACAATCCCATTTCACAGATGAAGAAACCTAGGCACAGAAATATTCAGTAACGTGTCCAGGTGCGGTGGCTCACGCCTGTAATCCCAGTACTTTGGGAGGCTGAGGCAGGCAGATCATGAGGTCAGGAGTTCGAGACCATCCTGGCCAACATGGTGAAACCCCGTCTCTACTAAAAATACAAAAATTAGCTGTGTGTGGTGGCAGGTGCCTGTAATTCCAGCTACTCAGGAAGCTGAGGCAGGAGAATTGCTTGAACCCGGGAGGCAGAGGTTGCAATGAACCGAGATCACACCACTGCACTCCAACCTGGGTGACAGAGCAAAACTCCTTCTGAAAAAAAAAAAAAAAAGAAATATTAAGTAACTTGTCTGAGGCCACTTAGTTACCAAGACGTGGGAGCTGGGACTTGAACCCAGGCAGTCTGGCTGGATTCATGCCTGCAGCCTCTGCACTCCTGCTACTTACTGTGTGAGAAGCGCCTGTTCTGTGGAAGGTTGTGGGCTGAGATCTTTCCATGAGTTCCACTCATTTACCCCCAAGGCTGTTCTTAAAGACGGGCATGACAGTTATGCCCATTTTACAGATGGGGCCCTGAGGCTCACAGGGGCATGCCACTCACCCATTTCCACAAAGCTATAGTTAGTTAGCAGAGGGCAGAATTCGGCCGCCTCTCCCCTAGCTTGAAGGCTGTGATTGACACAGAGGTTTTTTTGTTGTTGCTGTTGTTTGTTCCTTTTTCTTTTTTTTGAGACAGGGTCTTGCTCTGTCATCCCGGCTGGAGTGCAGTGGTGCGATCTCAGCTCACTGCAAACTCTGCCTCCAAGATGCAAATGATTCTCGTGCCTCAGCCTCCCAAGTAGCTGGAATTACAGGTGTGCACTACCACGCCCAGCTGTTTTTTGTAGAGATGGGGTTAATAGAGATTTGTTTTATAGAGACGGGGTTTCACCATGGTCTCTACTAAACCCTGTCTCTACTAAAAATACAAAAATTACCCAGGCGTGGTGGCACATGCCTGTAGTCCCAGCTACTCAAGAGGCTGAGGCAGGAGAACCACTTGAACCTGGGAGGTGGAGGTTGCAGTGACCCAAAATCATGCACTCTAGCCTGGGGTCTCGCTTTTGCCCAGGTTAGAGTGCAGTGGCACAATCATAGTGGCTCACTGCAGCCTCAAACTCCTGGGCTGAAGGGAATCCTCCCACGTCAGCCTCCCAAGTAGCTAGGACTATAGGCATGTGCCATCATGGCGAGTTAATTTTTTGTGTGTTTTTATTGTCTTGAGACAGAGTCTTGCTCTGTTGCTCAGGCTGGACTGCAGTGGCATGATCTTGGCTCACCGCAACCTCCACCTCCTGGGTTCAAGCAATTCTCCTACCTCAGCCTCCCGAGTAACTGGGATTACAGGTGCGTGCCACCATGCCTGGCTAATTTTGTATTTTTAGTAGAGACAGGGTTTCGCCGTGTTGGTCAGGCTGCTCTCGAACTCCTGACCTCGTGATCCACCTGCCTCGGCCTCTCAAAGTGTTGGGATTACAGGCATGAGCCACTGAGCCTGGCCTGGTGAGCTAATTTTTAAATTTGTTATAGAGACAAGAGTCTCTCTTATGTTGCCCAGGCTGGTCTCGACCCCCTGGCCTCAAGTGATCCTCCCACCTCAGCCTCCCAAAGTGCTGGGATTACAGATGCGTGTCACCGCACCTGGCCTCTGAGGAGGATTTCATTATAAACCTGCCCTGAAGGGAGGGAATCCAATTTTACGAGAGGGTGTAGCCTGGTGAGGCCTGGATGACCTCCGGAGGCAGGGGCTTGTGCCTGGGCTGAGGCCTAAGGGACAATGGGCAGACATGAAGTTGCCCCAGGCAGAGGGTACAGTGTGGGCAAAGTCAGGAAGTGGCAGGGCTTGGATCACTCCAGGAAGAGAGAGGAGTCATGTGTCACAGGAGCTCGAGACCCAGAGAGTGAGGCAGGCAGGCAGGGACCAAGCTTGGGCACAGCCAGGAAGGCAGGACAGGGCATGGTGGGGCCAATGGAATCATTATCGAAGTCGGGGATTTTCAGGGAAACAGCTTAGATAAGGCCAGGCATACAGTAGCTCCCACCTGTAATCCCAGCATTTGGAGAGGCTGAGGTAGGAGGACTGCTTGAGCCTGGGAGTTCGAGACCAGCCTAGGCAACATAGTGAGACCCCCATATCCACAAAAAATTTAAAAAAGGAGTTTGTGTTCCTGTAGTAGCATACTTGGGAAGTTGAGGTGGCAGTATGACTTGAGCCCGGGAGTTCAAGGCTAAAGTGAGCTGATGGAGCCATTGCACCCCAGCCTGAGCAACAGAGAGATACGCTGTCTCAAAGGAAATACAAATTAAAAAACCAGCCGGGCATGCTGGCGTGTGCCTGTAGTCTCAGCTACTTGGGACACTGAAGTAGGAGGATCGCTTGAGCCCAGGAGTTCAAGGCTGCCGTGAGCTATGATTGTGCCTCTGCAGTCCAGCCTGGGCGACAGAGAAAGACCCTGTCTCTTAAAAAAAAAAAAAAAAAAAAAAAAAAAAAAAAAAAAAAAAAACTTAGATAAGAGGATGCTGTGCCTCCCTGGGGGTCTTCAGTCACCCATGGTCCTGGCAAGAGAGGAGGGCCAGGAGAGAGCTTCACCCACCTGCTGTCCTGCCCATGTGACATCCGCAGGTGCTGCCATGGCCACGACTGTTGTTACACTCGAGCTGAGGAGGCCGGCTGCAGCCCCAAGACAGAGCGCTACTCCTGGCAGTGCGTCAATCAGAGCGTCCTGTGCGGTGAGTCCCCAGCAGCACCATGCCACCCACCCCGAGTATCCCCTGGGCACCCTGGCATAGCCAGATGACTTCCGTGCCCCTGTTGCAATAACCACTGCTTCCAACTCTCTATAGAACACCCCTTGGGTATATCTAATGTAAGTGATATTTATTTTATTTATTTTTTGAGTCAGAGTCTCGCTCTGTCACCCAGGCTAGAGTGTGCTGATGTGATCTTGGCTCACTACAACCTCTGCCTCCTGGGTTCAAGCGATTCTCATGCCTCAGCCTCCCAAGTGGCTGGGACTACAGGCATGCACCATCACGCCCAGCTAATTTTTGTATGTTTTTCAGTAGAGGTGGGGTTTCACCAAGTTGGCCGGGCTGGTCTCAAACTCCCCACCTCAAGTGCTCTGCCCGCCTCGGCCTCCCAAAGTGCTGGGATTACAGGCATGAGTCGTGGTGTCTGGCCCTAATGTGAGTGATCTTTAACAATGAGGACTTGAAAAAGAAAACCCTGAAGAAACCTAATTCTTTGATGTCTGGACGACAAGGAAGAAGATAGAAATGGCATCAGATAATAAACAGTGTAAATGTTTATCAGAAAGAGGCTGGTGGTCGGGACCAGTAGGAGGATCGCTTGAGTCCAGGAGTGCATCTCTACAAAAAAGTTAAAGGATTTTTTAACATTGGCCAGGCGTGGTGGCACACATACATCTGTGATCCCAGCTACTTGGGAGGCTGAGGCAGGAGGATTGCTTGAAGCCCAGGAGGTTGAGGCTGCAGTGAGCTGTGATCGAGCCACTGCACTCCAGCCTGGGTGACAGAGCAAAACCCAGTCTCAAAAAATAATAATAATAATAATAATATTTTACATAACCAACCACTTCTAAAGATTAAAAAAAAAACCCTACAATTAATTAAAAACCTCAGGTCCCTCAGGCAATCATACCAGATATTGAAACAAAGCAATAACATAAGGACTGCAGTATTTATTTTATTTTTATATTATTTATTTATTCTTCGTTAGTTTGTTTTTGGAGCGTGGGTTTTGTTTTGTTTTTTGATTTTTTTCTTTTTTTCGACCTACGGATTTATTCTTATTGCCCAGGCTTGAGTGCAATGGCGTGTTCTCAGCTTACTCAACCTCCGCCTCTTGGGTTTGGGTAATTGTTGTGCCTCGGCCTCCCTCTGCCTCTTGGGCTTGGGCGATTGTTCCACCTCATCCACCCTCCACCTCTTGGGTTTGGGTGGTTTTTCCACCTCGGCCTCCTGAGTAGCTAAGGGAGGAGTCTTGAGATTATCATCCACTGAGGGTGGAAGAGGAGAGGGTGGAAGCGGGACAAAGAGACATTCCTTCAGATTATCATCCACTGAGGGTGGAAGAGGAGAGGGTGGAAGCGGGACAAAGAGACATTCCTTCAGATTATCATCCACTGAGGGTGGAAGAGGAGAGGGTGGAAGAGGAGCAAGAGGACACTCCTTGATATTATCATCCACTGAGGGTGGAAGGGGAGTGAGCAGACACTCGGGAGGTGTCTTGAGGCTCAGGGAGTTATCAGTTATAGAATGTTGTTGAGTTGGAGGAGGTGGCTGGCGGCCCATCCTGTTTTTTAAAGTTTCAGCTGTGAGGTAGAGCCAGTAGGGCAATCCTGAAGAATGACAATGCTCCGCTGCCGCCATTCTGACCTGTAGGGCCAAAGGAGGGAATGTTTTCACACATATTCATTTGATGGACAAAATTACCACCACCAACACAGTCTGCACCTTCTGTTGCTGGTGATAGATTTTTGCACCTTTCCATCCTCCAGGTTTCAAAATAGCAGTATCAGTGTCATAATATCACCCTTCCACTGAGTACTGCCGACAGCTGGGGGGTAAAGAAAAGTCATTGGGACACACTGTTGTCTCCACATGCCACTGTGTCTGTCTGCAAATGTAGGCAGGCTGGGGTCCTGCCCCAGGGAAGACAGAGTCATAACAGAGTAATAAAGAAGCATGTTTGAGACACAGGAGTGTCTATGTCTATCCTCATTCCTCCCTCACAGCCATCACCAGAGCATGTTTCTTGCACCAGGTCAACAGACAGTAAGAGACAGTAAGAGAGGCATGAAAAGCCCATTGTCCACACATGTTGCAGCTTCTTTTTGGAGAATGTTTTCCAGGCCTTTCATGTTCTGTCTCTGACTCTCAGAACTCTGCAAGGTCAGTGTGACCACCCTGCTCCAAATCTAAGAAAACAGAGGTTTCCAGAGGAAGGAGAAATTGTGCCCAGGGTCACACAGCTTGCAAGAGGCAGAGTGGAAGTTGATTCCAGCTCTGCCTGCAGGACCCTCTCATTTCCCCTCTGTTTCCCTTCTTGACAAAGGATCTTCTTCACTCTGGAGGTGCCACCCATGAGAACAAAGAGCTCTGGAGAGATGTGGATTCCTGAAGAGCTGCAGGGGAACTGGGAGAGGGTTTTCTGACAGAACAATCTCACCTCAAGAAGTCACTTAGGCATGGCTGTAATATTTCTTTTCACTCCCAGGTAATACCAAATTGTAAGTGCACTAGGACATAAAGAATACTTTTGTCCATGGAAAAATGAGGTGGGAATTCTAAACAAAGCAAGTTTTAAAACTGTGTTTCACTTCAAGTGTACAAGTCCCATCACGTGTAATCATAGGACTCGGCAGCTTTTGAAGGTACAGAGGCCACACAAGAACCAGCTTAGCTGAGCATCATTTAAGGCCTTCATTTGGAATTGTCCCTGTGGGTAATAAGTTACATTCACTCTTCACTAATTTACAGTCAGGGCCCATTTGCTATTACAAATATGGAACCTCTGACACTTTGAATTTAGATCAGGGGCCCCACTGGGTGGGGATGAAGGTGTTTTTGCACAACACGGTTACCAACAGGGATGGGACTGTGATGCCTGTAGGCAGCCTTCCTCTCTGCCATCTCCCTCTGCAGGGCTTGAGCACAGAGCTGTAGGGAGAAAAATGTATCCATGTCCTGACCTGGCAGACTATGTTCAAAAGCAAGGAAAACAAACAAACTTACCCAGTTGCAAAGAGGCTTTCTTGCAGAAGGGGGGATCTGAAAAAGCCAACACATGAGAAATTGAATGTTGAGAGAGTCTAAGAGCCGTGGCATCATCTGCATCAGCACTGAACTATCCTGCAACTGCGGGGAGGAAGCTCCTTACTTTGCATTTGTGGTAGTCCTCTGCCCGCCGCCGCAACTCTTGCGCACGTTGAAACATTTTCCTATGGATTACAATCACTTTCATCAGATAAAGCACCACGTTCAGGATGATTTTAAATAATCTGCCATGTTTCTGTTATCCTCACAACTGTACCCTTACACAATCTATCTCTACCTAGAAAACGTATTTCAGATGGCTATAAGAGTACAGTCTGAGCCGGTCACGGTGGCTGATGCCTGTAGTCCCAGCACTCTGGGAGGGCGAGGCGGATGGATCACGAGGTCAGGAGATTGAGACCATCCTGGCTAATACGGTGAAACCCCGTCTCTACTAAAAATACAAAAGATTAGCCGGGCGTGGTGGCAGGCACCTGTAATCCCAGCTACTCGGGAGGCTGAGGCAGGGGAATCACTTGAACCTGGGAGGCGGAGGTTGCAGTGAGCCAAGATCACGTCATTGCACTCCAGCCTGGGTGACACAGCGAGACGCCATCTCAGAAAAACAAAAACAAAAACAAAAACAAAAAAACTGTACGGTCTGATCCAAACTGTTGCTGTATTGATTCCTCCTCTTGCTTACTGCCTGTTGACTTCTGAGATGATAGTTTCCTTCCCCATTCTCAGTATATCCCTAATTCATCCTTCATTGAGCATCTTTTATCATAAAGCTGTATTCTCTTTGTATTAATATCCTTACCGTGTTTCACAGGGCAGAAACAGCTGGGCTTATAAACAGGCATAGTCCTTTTGAAGGATGTGGTTGATCCTACAACAACACACTTTCCTAAGGATGACAACAACTCACCCCACCCCTAGAATGGCTGGTATGAACCGAGTTTCCACACAGTCTAGCTGGTAATGGGGTCAGGAGCCGTTTTGCTACTTCACATCTTTTGGTCACTGGTAAATATTAAGGTACTTTGTTTTCTGTTTTGTGAACTCTCTCTCTCTCTCTCACGATATGTCTTCTGACCGTTTGTTTCTATTTCTGCATTTACTGGGTCTAAACATTGTACAGAGGTTAAAAACAGCACTCCAATGGGCGTTTCCCAGGAGGGTGGGGTTCAGTTTCTGAACTCACTTGTAGGTGTGTATTTCTTTCATATCCAATTTCCCATTTTCCTCTGCCTCTGATACCTGCCTCTCCTTTTCTGCGTGCTCACATTCTTTCATGCTTAGTTTCCTCAGGTTAGAAGGGAGAGAAATGCACACACATGATCCACCAGTCCATGTGGGATTCCCTCTGCCCTTCTGGCATCTGAAGGCTGTGATTCAAAGATCCCCCCTGCAACCTTCCCACAAATGAACCAACTGATTCTCACAACCGAAGGGAGAATGGACACCTCCCATTGAGGGACCAAAAAAAATCACACTCTGGCCTGCTGGCAAGTCACCTGTCATTTCCAGCTCATCTTCATAGTTCCATAGTTAGTCCTATTCTTTAGTAAATATAAAGACTATTAAAAGCTTCTATGAGGTGCACTATGTGTGTCTCTGGGGTCAGTCTTGTGCTTGACACAGCGAAAGATCATTTTAGTTCAGTGTGAAAAACCAGACCTCACCAACTCATCACAACTAACTCCATCGGAAGCAGAGGATTGCTCCTCATCTGACTCTTCCTGTGTGAGACCTGCTTCTCAGTCAGAGGCTGATGCCGGAACTGAGACCATCAGCCATAGAGAGATCCTTCCAGAATATGGTGTCATTAACCCCGCAGTTCACTACTGCACTTTGCCATGATTCAGGACTGGAACTCTTGTCATCGACTTTAAAGATCCTGGTTGAGAGAAAAGGCAATCTGAATGCTGGGCGCATCTATTGAATTAGAAATGATCGGAATGGCTCCTAAGTCAGGGTGTTATGTCCTGAAAATAGGTGACAACGGCAAACCATCCACCCTGGTGTTGACTGACTTTAACAAGGTTCACTTCACAGACATTGAGGGCAGAAAAAGGAAATGGCCTAAAAAGGGTAAGTTTGCTGTGTTGCCCTCACACCACTTGATTCATGGTCCTGATCCTAAGGATCTCACCTGATACTTGGTTTTATAGGAAGGATGTGTAAAATTCCCAGAACGCTAGGAAACAGGGGTGAAAACACTTCAAAGAGAAAGTTAATGAACTTGTTTCTGACCACAGGGCATCCTTCAGCACATGCTGTCTGGAGTGGCCTCCAACAAGGAGTGTGTGGTGTGGTGCTGAGAATGCAATGGGAGCAGGGTCCTGTCCCCACGGTAAAGAAGCTCACAGCTTAATGCAAATGAGAAGCCAGTGAGGACATCACTACTCCTGCTGTCCACTTGGGAACTAGAAACACAAAACCTGACTCTGGAGGGAAGCTAAGGAAGCATTCTACTCTTGAGTTGACATAAGTGCATCTGAAGCTTCTGATCTCCGATGAGAACAATGGGGGACACCAAACAGAATATAAAACCCATGATTGAATACATCAAATTGCTAACATGGCAGTAAACAGACATGAGGTGAAGATGGAGAAGAAGGAAACCCAGGACGAAAGTCAGCCTCGCATTTGGAACCCATTTCCCTGAGTTTCATTGCTGAATTCCAGAAGGAACTACTGAGATGCAAAGAAGCACAGCAGCTTTTGCACACATGCGTGGGATTAGATGGAAAACAAGTGGATTGAGGGTCTGCCAATGAAAGCGACCCGTACTGAAATCCACTGGCTCTGGTTGAGACCCAGAAGAGTCATGCATCAGAATAGAGGTAGACAGGAAATACCCTGGCCTTTGTAGGGACTGAGCCTGCACCGACGACCTCAATTGCAGCCTGTATGGAGGACCCGTGACCATCCCCCAGAAGTAGACTCCCATCTCTTCTGCAGCAAGATAACATGCCACTAGGCCTCAATTCATTGCTAAATATTTTTTAACAAGTATCTCACATTTAACAAAAAGAGATCAGTCATATGGCAGCAAAATACAATGTAATATGACCAAAACATGAAAGACTGTGAAAATGAATCTGGAGGTGACCCAAGCATTGAATTCAACAATCCAGGCTGGGTGCGGTGGCTCACACTGGGAGGCTGAGGTAGGCAGATCACCTGAGGTCAGGAGTTCAAGACTAGCCTGGCCAACATGGTGAACCCCTGTCTCTACTAAAAATACAAAAATTGGGCCAGGCACGGTGGCTCACGCCTGTAATCCCAGCACATTGGGAGGCCGAGGTGTGTGGATCATGATGTCCAGAGTTCTAGACCAGCTTGGCCAATATGGTGAAACCCCGCCTCTACTAAGAATACAAAAATTATCCGGGCATGGTGGCATATGCCTGTAGTCCCAGCTACTCAAGAGGCTGAGGGATAAGAATCGCTTGAACCTGGGAGGCGGAGGTTGCAGTGAGCCAAGATCATGCCACTGCACTCTAGCCTGGGTGACAGAGTGAGACTCTGTCTCAAAAAAAAAAAAAAAAAAAAAAATTGGCCGAATGTGGTGGCACACACCTGTAATCCAAGCTACTCAGGAAGCTGAGGCAGAATTGCTTCAAACTGGGAGGCAGAGGTTGCAGTGAGCCAAGATTGCACCATAGCACTCCAGCCTGGGCGACAGAGCGAGATTCTATCTCAAAATTTAAAAAAAAAAAAAAGGCTGGGTGTGGTGGCTCACGCCTCTAATCCCAGCACTTTGGGAGGCTGAGGCAGGTGGATTACCTGAGGTCAGAAGTTCGAGACCAGCCTGGACAACATGGTGAAACCCCATCTCTAGTAAAAATACAAAAATTAGCTGGGCGTGGTGGTGGGCACCTGTAATCCCAGCTACTTGGGAGGCTGAGGCAGGAGAATTGCTTGAAGTCAAAAGGCAGTGAGCTGAGATTGTGCCATTGCACTACAGCCTGGGCAACAACAGCAAAGCTCCATCTCAGGAAAAAAAAAAAAAAAGAGAGAAAGGAAAACCAATGCCAGTACTAGCAACTCCTCTTCCCCCGAAAAAATTACAAACAAGAATGTAGGAAGGGAAAGGAATTATACAGCTTAAACTAATGAAGCAGAAAGGACAAACTCAATTTTGAGCCCACTGAATTTGCCACAAATATTGTAGAAAATATTCTCAAGGACTTTACAGTTGTCTACTTTGATTGGCACATGGTTCATACAACAGTATTTGTGTCAAGGCACATCTTACTGTTTTCTGGCGGTCTTCCTCTTTCCATTGATTTTGTCATGACGGTTGATTTTCGTTGTCACCTTCCTCTTACGGATTTTAGCTCTAACTTTTGTTTCCACATGCCTCCGTAGAGTAATGACGTCTTTCAGGCCAATTTTATTTCCTCGAAAGGAAGAAACTCTTTTCTTTGTGTGCATACAAATGGACCTCAGCCCTTGGTGAGAGTGAGGAGAGGAGAAGGTGAGAAACCTGAGGTCAAGAAGCTGTTCTTTCCCTTTCCAGGGCAAACTCATTTCCACACTATGGGGACTCCAACAGAGCCATACCTTTCTGTCTACTGCGGTTGGACCTCCAGGCTCTCTGCTGTACATCCATGGATCCATCATGTCCATTTCGAGACCAGAAGATAGTCTTCAGGAAAGACACCTAGGAAATAATAATATAAGAATGACGGCTGGGCACGGTGGCTCATGCGTATAAATAATCCCAGTACTTTGGGAGGCCGAGGCAGGTGGATCACGGGGTCAGGAGTTCAAGACCAGCCTGGCCAAGATGGTGAAACCCTGTCTCTACTAAAAATACAAAAATTAGCCAGGCATGGCAGCGGGCGCCTGTAATCCAAGCTACTCGGGAGGCTGAGGCAGAGAACCGTTTGAAGCTGGGAGGCGGAGGTTGCAGTGAGCCGAGATCACACCACTGTACTCCAGCCTGAGCGACAGAATGAGACTCTGTCTCACACACACACACACACACACACACACACACACACACACACACAAGAATGACATGAGGCTGGCACGGTGGCTCACTCCTGTAATCCCAGCACTTTGGGAGGCCGAGGCAGGCGGATCACCTGAGGTCGGGAGTTTGAGACCAGCCTCACCAACATGGAGAAACGCTGTCTCTGCTAAAAATACAAAATTAGCCAGGCATGGTGGTGCATGCCTGTAGTCCCAGCTAGTCGGGAGGCTGAGGCAGGAGAATCACTTGAACCCAGCAAGAAAAGGTTGTGGTGAGCTGAGATTGTGCCATTGCACTCCAAACCTGGGCAACAAAATTGAAACTCTGTCTCAAAAAAAAAAAAAAAAAAAAAAAAATAGCCCAGGTGCGGTAGCTCACGCCTGTAATCCCAGCACTTTGGGAGGCTGAGGCGGGTGAATCACAAGGTCAAGAGATGGAGACCATCCTGGGCAACATGGTGAAACCCCGTCTCTACTAAAAATACAAAAATTAGCTGAGCATGGTGATGCACGCCTGTAGTCCCAGCTACTCGGGAGGCTGAGGCAGGAGAACTGCTTGAACCCAGGAGGCAGAGGTTGCAGTGAGCCAAGATCCCACCACTGCACTCCAGCCTGGTGACAGAGTGAGACTCCGTCTCAAAAAAAAAAAAAAAAAAAATGACATGAATATACTTCACACAACTGAACTGTACACTTCAACACGGTTAGATGGTAATTATCATCTTATAAGTATTTTACCACAGGTTAACATGTTTCACAACTTGAAAAGGAAGTAATTACCTTCAGCTCTCTGAGTTCTAGAATTTGTAACATTTCACCCCCTGCTCCTTCCTGATCTGCACTGGAGCATCTTCCTTCTGTCCCTGCTCTACTCAGAGTTCACTTTCCCTTCCCTCACATCAGCTTCATTGAGGCTGGTTTGAACTTAACGCAAAACATTCTCACTAATGACTGAATTCCCTCCAAGATTTCCATATTATCACAGTATGCTTTTAATCTTCTAAGATATTAAATATTTGTTCTCATCATAGCGAAAATGCAATGCAAATCCCATCTCAGATGTGGGTCAGATACCTATGAATGTCCTGAGGTAGTCATTGAAATGACTTTTTTCTTGAGATGGAGTGTCACTCTCAACCATGCTGAAGTGCAGTGGCACTACCTTGGCTCACGGCAACCTCCACCTCCCAGATTCAAGCGATTCTTGTGCCTCGGCCTCCCAAGTAGCTGGGATTACAGGTGCCTGCTACCATGCCTGGCTAATTTTTGTCTTTTTAGTAGAGATGGGGTTTCACCATGTTGGCCCATCTGGTCTTGAACTCCTGACCTCAAGTCATCCACCTGCCTCAGCCTCCCAAAGTGCTGGGATTACAGGCATGAGCCACCACACCTGGCCTGAAATAATATCTTTCAAATTCTTTGTAGAATTTGTTTTTTCCTGATTTCTGCACATAGGATAAAAAAAAAAAATCATGTACTAGGATTTCGAGAGAAGCAATGGGTAATCTAAAAAGATGAAAAGAGCAACCACGTCAATCCCACAGCTACTACTAGATTTCATAGGAAAGGTAGCTGGCCCAGTTTGGAGCTAGGAGAAATGTCAAACACATGAAGAAATGACAAGCAAAGAAATGCCATCACGCATGAATGCTTCATGGCACCCATGATGTCCCTGCTTAGGAGGTAATGGTATAGATGACTAGATGACAAGGACAAAGATGAGAGGTGCGAAGTTGTCCAAGTCCAGCAGCTCAACTGAACTTTCCTAAATGGAACTGTTAAAAAGTGGTAAATTTAAAAACTTCCCCTGGCTCACGTGGTGGCTCACGCTTGTAATCCCAGCACTTTGGGAGGCTGAGGCGGGTGGATCATTTGAGGTCGGGTTTTGAGACTAGCCTGGCCAACATGGTAAAACCCCGACTCTACTAAAAATACAAAAATTTGCTGGGCATGGTGGTGGGCACCTGTAATCCCAGCTACTTGAGAGGCTGAGGCAGGGGAATCGCTTGAAGCCAGGAGGTGGAGGTTGCAGTGAGCCGAGATCACACCATTATACTCCAGCCTGGGCAACAGAGGGAGACTCGTCTCGGGGGTGAGAAAAGAAAAAAAAAAAAAAAAAGCTTCCTCCAATTTATACCGAAAATTCTCTGTTCAGGACTAAGTGGCATAGAGAATGTTAAATGTGCCTAGATATCTTCATAACTCATATATTTTCTGTTTTCTACATATCTTGAAAGGCAGTGCCAAATGACGTGTAATTATCTAGGTGGTAAAACTGAAACATACTTCCTCTTCCCTTGAATATAAAAAAGCATTGTGGTATTAGTACTTTTATCTTGGATCATTGTTCAGGAGGTTCAGCCCCCAGAAAACCACATTTTTACTGTCATGAATGGCAAGACAAAATGTAGAGCTCAACTTACCCAAAGGAAAAAAGGCTCAAAAGACAAATTATGGCACAACTTAGCAGCCAAATTCTTACCAAGTACAGACTTTTGACATACTGATCTCTCTCCAGTTGCAAGTGGGAACATGCACTTTGAATGATGTCATTCAAAATTACCCTGCCCAGACACACTTTTCATTGATTCTCTTGGAGGGCAGTTCTAAGAGATTCTCTGGGGCTTTCTCTGCATCATGAGACGCAGTGCAGTTCTGCCCTTCACCTTCCGGCAGTTTGTCACCTCGTCCCTATGACCTCAGAGGAACTTTGTCTCAGGCCAATTGTTTGTTCCTTGGCCTCTTTCATTTCCCCTAAAAATCATTTGCTGCCCCTCTAAATGGCCTACATCTCCATCTATCTCCCTCTCCCCTCAGAAGAGGGTGCTCTTTAAGCATCAACCATCCGGCCCTTCTAGCAGTCTCATTTTTCAGCTGGTTCCCATGTTTATGCCTGTTCTATGTTTTTCTTTTCCTGTTAAGCTGTCTGTTGTCAGCTCATTTCTGCAGTGAATCTTCAGAGAGGAGATTGGAAGCTTTCCTTCCACCCATACGATAGAACTATAAAGCAGAAGAGTTTAGAAAGAATTTCCTATTTAAGTGACGAAACCTCATACTCCATTTGTGATAAATAGCACAAAGGCTAAAAAAACTTATTTTTGACCAAAAGCTCTGTTGACATTCTATTAAACAAACACCGACCTATTTAATTTTCATAATGTAAATGGCAGACATTTTCATAATTCTTATGCTAATAAATCATTTCCCTGATTTTTTGGGTAAAACCACATATTCATAATGAAGTCCAGAAACGTGAATTGTTTTATATAATTTATTCTTATTTGTGATTACAAGTATACCTCTACAGAAAGTTAGTATACTCACACAAAGGCAACTTGTGCAGAAGAGAACGTTAAATGTGTAACGTCTCAGAAACCCAATAATGATAATTATCAAATTATCCAATTTTTGTGGAGATGGGGTTTTGCCATGTTGGCCAGGGTGGTCTCGAACTCCTACACCAAAGTCAGTCTCACGATGACGATAGACAGCCAGACTATTGATAACCTGGAATAATAATAGTTGAAATAATGAAAAGGTCAATGACACCGACAATATTTCACTCAGAAAGAATCATCCTTAGAAACCGTCAACCTCCTCCAAAAGGTAACCACATCCCTCAGATATCACCGTGGGATTCCACTGCTACAAAAAAGAACAGAAGTTAGAAGTCTCATGTTTTTCAGATGGCTGGTAGTGTTTTTAGGCATTGCAAATGTGGGGTGTTGTCTTTCTTGGTATAAAGCAGGGATATCCAATCTTTTCACTTCCCTGCCTATATTAAAAGAAACAAAGTTGTCTTGAGCCACACATAACATACACTAACACTAACAATAGCTGATGATCTAAAAAAAAACTCTTTTTTTTTTTTTTTTGGAGACAGAGTTCCGCTCCACTCAGTCGCCCAGGCTGGAGTGCAGTGGTGCAATCTCGGCTCACTGCAACCTCCAGCTCCTGGGCTCAAGCCATTCTCCTCCCTCAGCCTCCCGAGTAGCTGAGATTACAGGTCTCTGCCACCATGCCCGACTCATTTTTGTATTTTTAGTAGAGATGAGGTTTCACCATGTTGGCCAGTCTGGCCTTGAACTCCTGGCAGGCGATCTGCCTGCCTCGGCCTCCCAAAGTGCTGGGATTACAGGTGTGAGCCACCGTGCCCAGCCATTTTTTTTTGTTTTTGTTTTTGTTTGGTGTTTTGTTTTTGAGATGGGGTCTCACTCTGTCACCCAGGCTGGAGTGCAGTGGCGTGCTCTCGGCTCACTGCAACCTCTGCCTCTCAGGTTCAAGTGATTCTCCTGCCTCAGCCTCCTGAGTAGCTGGGAGTACAGGTGCCTGACAATGCACTCAGCAAATTTTTGTATTTTTTGTGGAGATGGGATTTTGCCATGTTGGCCAGGGTGGTCTCGAACTCCTGACCTCAGGTAATCTGCCCGCCTCAGCCTCCCAAAGTGCTGGGATTACAGGCATGAGCCACTGTACCTGGCCAAAATCTCCTAATGTTTTAAGAAAGTTTACAAATTTGTGTTGAACTGCATTCAAAACTGTCCTGGGCCACATGCAGCCCGTCACTCATGGCTAAGACAAGCTAAGTATAAAGTAATTATCTTTTCTTTTTGTTTGGAGACAAAGTCTTGCTCTGTCACCCAGGCTAGATTGCAGTGGCATGATCTCAGCTCACTGCAACCTCCGCCTCCCGGGTTCAAGCGATTCTCCTGCCTCAGCTACTGAGTAACTGGGATTACAGGCGCCTGCCACCGCACTCGGCTAATTTTTGTATTTTGAGTAGAAACAGGGTTTCACCATCTTGGCCAGGCTGGTCTCCAACTCGTGACCTCTTGATCCACCTGCCTCGGCCTCCCAAAGTGCTGGGAATACAGGTGTGAGCCACTGCACCTGGCCAGTAGTTATCTTTTCTTTAAAGTTATTTACTTGTTTTTTAAATTGATGTATAACATTGGATGCATTTATTATATATCACATGGTAAAAGAATCCCTCTAAATAATACTTCTCTCTTGGATTATATGAATCTTTGTCATTTGAAGCTCAGCATAAGTAAAAAAAAAAAATACAATGAAGAGATTACTTCATTCACAAATAAGTATCAAATTTTAGTGCTTAAAAATTAACAAGGTGGGCCGGGTGTGGTGGCTCACGCCTGCAATCTCAGCACTTTGGGAAGCCGAGGTGGGTGGACCACGAGATCAGGAGATTGAGACCATCCTAGCTAACACGGTGAAACCCATCTCTACTAAAATTACAAAAAATTAGCAGGGCATGGTGGCACGTGCCTACAGTTCCAGCTACTTGGGAGGCTGAGGCAGAAGAATCACTTGAACCCAGGAGGCAGAGGTTGCAGTGAGCCGAGATCGCACCACTGCACTTCAGCCTGGGTGACAGAGTGAGACTCTGTCTCAAAAAAAAAAAAAAAAAAAAAAAATTACCAAGGTGGAGATCATGAAAATGGCATGAATAGTGTGGGATTTCTCTAAGATTGTTGATATTAATTCCAGTAGACTCTTATGTGAGTGAAGACGAAGACTTCCCCTGAGTAAGTTCAGACAGCTTGTGATAACATTTCTACATCGATTCCTCAGGATTTAACTATATATTCTTGAAAACATCTCAATTTTAAATGTTTCTTTCAAGATGGTGAATTAAACAGAGATAGCCCTTCAACAGGTTGAACTCAGCATATGCTGAGTCTGAAATGGAAATGATGGAGTTAGAGAACCATACAACAATGGTAATGATTTCAGAAACATGGTGTTGAGCAGAACAAAGCAGACACAAAAGAGTACCTATGGCATGGCACGCATCTGTATACGCGAAATTCCAGAATAAGCAAGCTAACCTATGATAAGAAAGAGACTGGCTGGGAAGACTGAGAGTTCACTTTCTGGGGTGACATAATAGTGTAGATCTTGGCTGGGCACGGTGGTTCACGCCTGTAATCCCAACACTTTGGGAGGCCGAGGCGGGCGGATCACCTGAGGTCGGGAGTTCAAAACCAGCCTGACCAACATGGAGAAACCCTATCTCTACTAAAAATACAAAATTAGCTGGGAGTGGTGGCACATGTCTGTAATCCCAGCCACCCGGGAGGCTGAGGCAGGAGAATCGCTCAAACCTGGGAAGCAGAGGTTGCGGTGAGCTGATATTGCCCCATTGCACTCCAGCCTGGGCAACAAGGGAGAAACTGTCTCAAAAAAATAAATAAATAAATAAAATAATGTAGATCTTGAAAGGGGGTCGGTTTATGCTGGTGTATGTACTTTCCAAAGTTAGTAAACTTACACTTAAGGTTATATATTTTGGCCAGGCGCGGTGGCTCACGCCTGTAATCCCGGCACTGGGAGGCCGAGGCAGGCGGATCACGAGGTCAAGAGATGGAGACTATCCTGGCGAACATGGTGAAACCCCGTCTCTACTAAAAATACAAAAATTAGCCAGGCGTTGTAATCTGAGCTACTCAGGAGGCTGAGGCAGGACAATTGCTTGAACCCCGGAAGCGGAGGTTGCAGTGAGCCGAGATCTTGCCACTGCACTCCAGCCTGGGCGACAGAGTGAGACTCTGTCTAAAAAAAAAAAAAAAAAAGTCATCAAACCAGATGACACAAATCAAATGACATTTCACTTTGTTTTGGTCCATTTTGTTTGTTAGAGACAAGAGTGCAGCGGGGCCATCTCAGCTCACTGCAACGTCCAGCTCCTCGGCCCAAGCGATCCTCCCACCTCAGCCTCTCCAGTAACTGGGATAACAGGTACGCACCACCAGGCCCGACTAATCTTTTTTGGAATTTTTTGTAGAGATGGGGTTTCGCCATGATGCCCTGGCTAGTCTTCAACTCCTGGACTCAAGTGATCTGCCCACCTCGGCCCCCTAAAGTGCTGGGATTACAGGCCTGAGCTGTGTAATTTCATGCCGCGTGACACAGCCCAGTAAAAAGGAAGAAACCCCGCGGGTCCAGCGTCTACTCACAGGGGTGGGCTGATGGCTGATAAATCCCAGCAGGAGCCAAATGAGGAGCCAAAAGCGCAGCCGCATGTCCTGATCCTTTCAGGGTGCCCTGAGGCGGCCAGGACAGAGGTGGAGGTGGCTTAGGGCAGGGGGGAGGGAAGGGGACGGGGACCGGGGCCGGATCTGAGTTGGGGCGGGGGAGGGGAGGGGGAGGGGAAGGGGAGGGGGAGGGGAAGGGGAGGGGGAGGGGAAGGGGAAGGGGAGGGGAAGGGGAGGGGAGGGGGAGGGGAAGGGGAGGGGAAGGGGGGAAGTAAGGGAAGGGAAAGGAGGAGAAGGGGGCTGTTGGGCACCTGGAGGAGGTGGAGGAGGAGAAGAAGAAAGGGGTCTGGGAAAGGATCCGGTTCAAATTAAGTTCTCAAGCGCTGGTGGAAGGTTTAGCTACAGGTCACGGAGAAGATCAGGGAAGCAACAGGACACGCGGGGCAAGGGAGCGTGAGGCTTAGGAGCAATTAGAGGGAGACAAAAAGGTTCTGCTATCCGCCAAACCTTCTTCGGTCTGGGCCCTCCCTTAGCAAACCTGGGGCTTTATACTCCCTCTCCACCAATCCCTGATGACCCCGGTGGTGCCTCACAATGGACAATGCCAAGTAGCGCCCGCATCATTCCAATGACCCCTCCCCCATCTCAGTCTCCCACACTCCTCGCAAGGACAGGTCCTCTCTGGAACCTTCACAAACCTGATTTCTGGTCCTCCCCAACCAGCTCCCTGTCCCTGCTTCTGGGCGCTCCTTCCTTCCTGAGCTCCCAGGGTTCCTCAAGGTCACTTTTGGCGACAAAACATAAAAAACAAATGATGGCAGGATGGCAGGAAGAACCTCATACCCAAGCAGAGTGCCAGGTTTTACAGCCTCCGCTCAGCCATTCATATCCTAAGCAACAAAACATCAGCAGGATGCGGAAGGTCCCGATAGTAAACCATCTCCATCACATCCATGTAGCCATCCGTCCATCAACCCGTATCTCAGGAACAAATGTAGATACATTCATTTTAAGCAAGCATGGTACATTTACAAAAATTAACCTGACTTATTTTGTTCCAGCAAATCTCAATATATTTGAGAGCAATCAAATCACACAGCACGTTTCTGATCATATAACTGTGCTAGAAGTCAATGATTAAAAGCTAATTCAAAATTATTATTTGCTTGGAAATTCAAAGTGCCCTTATAAGACATAAACATAAGAAAGAATCCAAAATGAAACAAGATTGCCTTTCAACTCAATGATAAGATCATAACATGGCAATAAAATGTCTCCCTCTGGCCTGGGAATTCCTCTTTGTGGCACAAGGTTGTGTGATCTCAAATCACCCCTAACCCACCTAGACAATTTAACATCCGAAACCGAGTGATGATGTCCTTATCTATAATCATCTTACTGCCTGTGTGTGTGGACTTTAAATTCTGAACCCAAATGAGGGGGAGAAAACCAAGTTGACCTTCATGATTGACCTCTCAGGGATGTCCAAGGAATCTGTGCATGGTGGCACCTGCCTGTAGTCCCAGATACTTGGTAGGCTGAGGCAGGAGAATCACTTGAACCTGGAAGATGGAGTTTGCAGTGAGCTGAGATAGTGCCACTGCACTCCAGTCTGAGCAACAGAGCGAGACTCCGTCTCCAAAAAAAAAAAGTTGGAGGATTCACATTTCCTATTTTCAAAAGCTCACTACAAAGCTATAGTAATTAAGACAGTGTTGTATTGGTGTAAGAATAAACCTGGGTCTGGTGCAGTGGCCCACGCCTGTAATCCCAGTATCTCTGGAGGTCAAGGTGGGCAGATCATTTGAGCTGAGGAGTTTGAGACCAGACTGGGCAACATAGTGAGACACCGTCTCTACCAAAAAAATGTACAAAAGGTAGCTGGGTGTGGTGGCTAATTGGGAGGCTGAGGCAGAGGAGCCCAGGAGTTCAAGGTTACGGTGAGCTATGATCACGCCACTTCACTCCATCCTGGGTGACAAAAACCCTGTCTCTAAACAAAATAAAAAATAAAAGTAAAAATAAAGTTAGCAGTTAGGGTCTACTATGTTAACTTTTTTCTGCACAGACTGCTGTATCACACCACCTGCAAAAAAGTTAATTCAAAATGAAAACAAGATCTAAATGTAAGAGCTAAAACTATAAAACTCTTAGAAGAAAATGTAGGAGGCTGGGCGCGCTGGTTCACGCCTGTAATCCCAGCACTTTGGGAGGCCGAGGTGGGCGGATCACTTGAGGTCAGGAGTTTGAGGCCAGCCTGGCCAACACGGTGAAACCCCGCCTCTATTAAAAATATAAAAAATTAGCTGGGTGTGGTGGCACACCCTTGTAATCCCCGCTACTCAGGAGGCTGAGGCAGGAGAATCGCTTGAACCCGGGAGTCTGGGCAAAAAGAATGAAACTCTGTTTCAAAAAAAAAAAAAAAAAAAAAGGAGATGGGGTTTCACCGTGTTAGGCAGGATGGTCTCGATCTCCTGACCTCGTGATCTGCCCGCCTCAGCCTCCCAAAGTGCTGGGATTACAGGCGTGAGCCACTGCACCCCGCCCCTCTTTGTTTGTTTTTTAAGAGATAGGGTCTTGCTCTGTGCCCACATTGGGGTGCAGTGGTATGATCATAGCTCACTGCAGCCTCGAATTCCTAGGCTCAAGTGATCCTCCCACTTCAGCCTCCAGAGTAGCTGGGAGTACAGGCACGCAGCACTACACCTGGCTTATTTTATTTTTATTTTTTGAGACAGGGTTTCATTCCTGTCACCCAGGCTGGAGTGCAATGGTTCAATCTCAGCTCACTACAACCTCCACCTCTCGGGCTCAAGCAATTCTCCCGCCTCAGCCTCCCAAGTAGCTGGGACTACAGGCATACCTTGCCAGGATAATTTTTTCTTTTTTCTTTTTTTGCCATGATGCCCAGACTGGTCTTGAACTCCTGGCCCAAGTTGTCCTCCTGCCTCCCAGAATGCTGGGATTATAGGCATGAGCCACCACGCCCGGCCTCCTTTTATCATTATTTTAATTTTTTATAGAGATAGAACCTTGCAATGTTGCTCATGCTGGTCTTGAACTCCTGGTCTCAAGCAAACCTCCCGCCTTGGCCTCCCAAAGTGCTGGGATTACAGGCATGAGCCACTGCACCTGGCTCCCACTTAGATATGTTACCAGAAGCACAAGCAACCAAACAAAAAATAGATAAATTGGACTTCATCAAAATAAGTGTCTTTCCGTACCAAAAGACAATATCAAAAAAGTAAAAAGACAACACAGAATGGGAGAAAATATTTGCAAATCATGTATCTTATAAGGGACTTCTGTCTAGAATATATGAAGAAATCTTACAACTCAAAAAGACTTCAGATCTCTGGCTCTTTAATAAAAAAAGACAATCCCATTTAAAAATGGGCAAAGGATCTGAGAAGACATTTCTCAAAGAACTATATGTACGGTCAATAAGGACATGAAAAGATGCTCAGCATCATTAGTCACCAGGGACATGCAAATCAAAACCACAGTGAGATACCACTTCACACTCACTAGAAAGGCTATAATAAAAACCAAACCAGACAACCAAAGGAAAAAAAAAAAACAAAAACGGAAAAGAGGCTGGGCACGGTGGCTCATGCCTGTAATCCCAGCACTCTGGGAGGCCAAGGCCGGTGGATCACCTGAGTTTAGAAGTTGGAGACCAGCCTGGCCAACATGGCGAAACCTCGTCTCCATAACAAATACAAAAATTAGCCAGGTGTGGTGGTGGGTGCCTGTAATCCCAGCTACTTGGGAGGCTGAGGCAGAAGAATAGCTTGAACCCAGAAGCGGAGGCTGCAGTGAGCAGAGACTGCGTCACTGCACTCCAGCCTGGTGACAGAGCAGGACTCCATCTGAAAAAACAAAACAAAACAAAAACAAAAAACAACAACAAAAAAGAATTAGCCAGGTGTAGTGGCGCATGCCTGTAATCCCAGCTACTTGGGAGGCTGAGGTGGGAGAATCACTTGAACTCAGGAGACTGAGATTGCAGTGAGCCGAGATAGCACCACTGCACTCCATCCTGCGCAACAGAGCGAGACTGTCTCAAAAATAAAAAAAAAAGAGGGAGGCTGAGGCAGGAGAATCACTTGAACCGGGGAGACGGAGGTTGCGGTGGAAAAAGAATGGAAAAGAGCAAGTATTGGTGGGGACGTGGAGTCCTCGTACACTGCCAGTGGAATGTAAAATTGCAGCCACTTTGGGAAACAGTCGGGTAGTTCCTCAAAGGATCAAACAAAATTACCATCAACCCAGCAATTCCACTCCTTGATATTATCCAAGAGAAATGGAAAACATGTGTCCACACAAAAACTTTACCCAAACATTTATAGCAGCATGATTCATAGTTAAGTCAAAAAATTGAAACCCCAATATCCATCAACTAACAAATGGATAAATAAAATATTGTGGCTGGGTGTGGTGGCTCATGGGTAATAATCCCAGACCTTTGGGAGGCTGAAGCAGGTGGATCACTTGAGGCCAGGAGTTCCAGTCCAGCCTGAGCAACAAAGCAAGACCTCGTCTCTACAGAAAAAAAATAAAAATTAGCCAGGCAGGGCCAGGTGCAGTGGCTCACACTTGTGATCCTGGCACTTTGGGAGGCCAAGGTGGGTGGATCACTTGAGCTCTGGAGTACAAGACTATCTTGGACAACATGGTGAAACCCCATCTCTACCAAAAATATAAAAATTAGCCAGGTATGGTGGTGCGTGCCTGCAGTCTTAGATACTCAGGAGGCTGAGGCAGGAGGACCCCTTGAGCCCAGGAGGTTGAGACTGCAGTGAGCTATGATCATGCCACTGTACTCCAGCCTGGGTGACAGGGCAAGACTCTTGGTCTCCAAGAAAACAAAAACAAAAAACAAGGCCTCCAGTACACACTAAGGTTTGAGAAACACGGGTATAATGCAATGCAAAGGTGAGAGGCAGGAGTCATATCATAGCATGATCAGAGCTGATGTTTATTGAGTGTTGACATGATCTCATGTAGTTTCCAAAAGCAACTTATGAAATGCTGGTGCTACTATTATCCCATTGGACAGATCAGGAAACTGAGGTGCAGAGAGGTGAAGTGACTTGCCCAAGGTAATAGAGCTAGTGAATGGCAGGGTTGGCACCTGAAAGTCAGTTCCTTCTGCCCCCAAAGCCCATGCTATTAACCAGTGGGTCAGCATTTCCTAGATCTGGGTCCACAAACATCACTGGTCGTAATGGAGTAGTCTCAGGGGGAACTTGCATGTTCATTTTAAACTCCAATAGTTACATAACTATTTAAAGTAAAGTAGAAAATACATATATATCACCTCAAACTCATGATTTTAATAATGTTTCCCTTTAAAATAACTGAATGTATATTAAAGGTTAGTTGCTTTAATGAAAAATATTAAGTAAATAAAAGTACTGTTAGGTTCAGATATGGCAAATATAGTAGAAAGGGTAACAATGAAGTATGAGAAACACTAAGTCAGACTCAGTTTTTTTGTTTTTTTTTTTGAGACAGAGTCTTGCTCTGTTGCCCAGGCTGGAGTGCAGTGGTGCAATTTCAGCTCACCACAACCTCCGCCTCCTGGGTTCAAGCAATTCTTGCGCCTCAGCCTTCCAAGTAGCTGGGACTACAGGTGCAAGCCACCACACCTGGCTAATTTTTTATATTTTTCGTAGAGACGGGGTTTTGTCACGTTGTGCAGGCTGGTCTCAAACTCCTGACCTCAGGTGATCTGCCCGCCTCAGCCTCCCAAAGTGCTGGGATTACAGGTGTGAGCCACAGTGCCTGGCCCAGACTCAGTTTACTGTAAAAATATGTAACAATTTATACATTTTACTGTGTATAAAAACTGTACCTAAATAACAGGATGCCAGGAGCAGTGGCTCATGCTTGTAATCTCAGTACTTTGGGAGGCCAAGGCAGGACTGCTTGAGCTCAAGAGTTCAAGACCAGCCTGGGTAACATAGGAAGATCGCGTCTCTACAAAAAAAAAAAAAAAAATTAGCTGGGCTTGGTGGCATGCACTTGCAGTCCCAGCTGCTTGGGAGGCCAAGGTGTGAGGATTGTTTGAGTCTAGGAGGTCAAGGCTACAGTGAGCCATGACTGTGCCACTGTACTTCAGCCTGGGTGACAGAGTGCAACCCTGTCTCTAAAAATAAAAAAAAATAATAAAATAAAATGCCTCAGGTGCCAACCCTGCCATTCATTAGCTCTATCTACTCACTGATGGAACAGTGAATACATAGATTTGATGGGGGCTGGACTACATGATAAAACAACTGTAACAAAATGTTAACATAGAACAGGGTGGCGCATACTCAGGATGATTCACTGCACAATTCTTTCCACTTCTCTGAAAACTTTCATGCTGGAAAGAATGTCCAACATGATTGTTTACAGATTGTCCCAAACAATGAATGCATGAATGAATGAATACGTAAGGCCTCAAAGATGGCAGAGGCCAGGTACAGTGGCTCACACCTGTAATCTCAGCACTTTGGGAGGCCAAGGTGGGCGGATCACCTGAGGTCATGAGTTTGAGACCAGCCTGGCCAACATGGCAAAATGTCGTCTGTACTAAAAATATAAAAATTAGCCAGACATGGTAGTGACCACCTGTAATCCCAGCTACTCGGGAGGCTGAGGCAGGAGAATTGCTTGAACCGGGAAGTGGAGGTTGCAGTGAGCCAAGATCACGCCATTGCACTCCAGCCTAGGTGACAGAGTGAGACTCTGTCAAAACAAACAAACAAACAAACAAACAAACAAAAAAGGGAGAAATCTGCTGACATACCTTCTTTATGCTGTCTATATATAGGAAAGTGGGCATGTATTACTTTCATAATAAAAGTTTCTTTTTAGAGACAAAAACGATATAAGAAGTCCATGGATAAAATCGGCATTTATTCAGAAGGCATGATGCCAGGAAGAAACTCCCCAAGTGGGAGACAATGGCTGGCCCCCCTGCAAGGGAAACAAGGCTTCAGCCCTTCCCTACTCCCAGACCTGCCGGGAAGGCTGGGAGCACAGTTCATGGAGGGTCTCTGGGGTGGGCCTGGGTGTCTGACCTGTCCCTCTGCCCACAGGTGAATGTGACCTGCGTCCTGAGGATCCCGAGTATCAGGAGAGCTGGCAGAGGAAGTCATGCAGAGGCAAAGCCAGGAGCCCCGACAGGGAGATCCCCAGTGTGTCAGAGATGCAGGTGGCCGCCATTGCAAACTCCCGGTGCTCATCACTGGTCTGGGAGGGCAGAGAGCAGGGGTGAGGCTTCAGTCCCAGACATCCCTGCCCTGGGTGTCCCTGGACAGGCCACCCCCAGCCCTTGCCCGGCCAATGCTGACCTCCAGGGCGATGTTGTGGAAGGTGTTCACGTAGGCTGCGCCTCCCAGGAGCCCCTCATACAGAATGATCAGGAAGACGAGGTAGATGCTTGGCAGAAAGCCGAACCACACGTCTGCCAGCAGGAACACCAGGTTGAGGCACTGTGAACAGGGGGAGAGGCTAAGCCTGGGACCAGGGCGGGGCAGGGAAGGAGAGGTGGCCTCCCCTCCAGGGGTCCCTGGTTTTAGGAGTTACTGGTGAAGGAGAGGGCTGCCAGGTCTAGATAAAATCTCAACACCAGCCCGGTGTGGTGGCTCACACCTGTAATCCCAGCACTTTGGGAGGCTGAGGTGGGCAGATCACCTGAGGTCAGGATTTCGAGACCAGCCTGGCCTGGTCTCTACTAAACATGGTAAAACCCCATCTCAACTAAAAATACAAAAATTATCTGGGTGTAGTGGTTCTGTAGTCCCAGCTACTTGGAAGGCTGAGGCAGGAGAATCACTTGAACCTGGGAGGCAGAGGCTGCAGTGAGCCAAGATCGCAGCACTGCACTCCAGCCTGGGCAACAGAGAGAGACTCCATCCCAAAAAAAAAAAAAAAAAATTCTCAACCTCAGCCTGGTGCAGTGGCTCATGCAGGTAATACCAGCACATTGGGAGACCAAGGTGGGATGATCACTTGAGGCCAGGAGTTCGAGACCAGCCTGGGCAACATAACAAAACTCCGTCTCTACAAAAAATTTAAAAATTAGTTGAGCATGGTGGCACGCACCTGCAGTCCCAGCTACTCGGGAGTCTGAGACAGGAGGATTGCTTGAACCTAGGAGGTGGAGGCTGCAGTAAGCTATGATTGTGCCACTGCACTCCAGCCTGGGTGACAGAGCAAGATCCTGTCTCATAAAAAAAAAAAAAAAAAAAAAAAAAAAAATGGAGGCTTCTTAAAGGAAGTGGGACCATCGAAACCAGGATTTCTCAATTGCAGCACTCTTGGCGTTTGGTGCTGGTTGTTCTGCATGGTGAGGGCTGTCCTGTATATGGCAGCGCATTTAGCAGGATCCCTGGCCTCTGCCCGCTAGATGCCCATAGCATCCCTCAGTTGTGACAACCAAAGCATGCCTGCAGACGTTGCCAAACATCCGCTGGGCAGCAAAATTGCCCCTATTGGAAAAACCGTTGGTTCACTATGGTAAAACAAGGTGGGAGTAGCCGGGCATCCTATTCAGCTGGGCTCGAACTCCTGGTCTCAAGCAGTCGCTGCCCCCCTGCCTCAGCCTCCCAAAGTGCTGGGATTATAGGCAGGAGCCACCGCACCTGGCCAGGAAGCCTCTTCGATCCCCACCCCAGGGTGTAGGTCCCACCTCTGTGCCCCAGTCTCTCAAGGAGGTGCCATCCTCCCAGCACTGACCACGCCACATTGCCTCTTGTGCAGTGTGTAGGCCTCCTCGTGGCGGTTCATACTTTTCGTATATGTAAGAATTGCCTGGGGATCTAGGTACAAATGCCCCAAGCGGGGCTTACCCTAGAGGTCCTAATTCATTAAATCTGAGGTAGACTTAAAGATGAGCATTAAAAAGGACACACCTCTAGCCAGGTGTGGTGGCTCACACCTGTAATCCCAGCACTTTGGAAGGCCAAGGCGGGTGGATCACCTGAGGTCAGGAGTTCAAGACCAGCCTGGCCAACATGGCGAAACCCCATCTCTACTAAAAAATACAAAAATTAGCCAGGTGTGGTGGCACGTGCCTGTAATCCCAGCTACGCAGGAGGCTGAGGCAGAAGAATCGCCTGAACCTGGGAGGCGGAGGTTGCAGTGAGCCAAGATCACGCCATTGTACTCTAGCCTGAGCTACAAGAGCAAAACTCTGTCTCTAAAAAACAAAACAAAACAAAACAAAACAAAAAATTTGCTGGGCGTGGTGGCGCACCTGTAATCCCAGCTACTCGGAAGGCTGAGGCTTGAGAATCGCTTGAATCTGGGAGGCAGGGGTTGCAGTGAGCCAAGATTGCACCGCTACATTCCAGCCTGGGCAACAGAGCGAGACTCCATCTCAAAAAACAAAACAAAACAAAAAACATTATAGCTAAAAACATGTAGCTTAAAACCATAAGCTACATGTTTCAGTGGTATCTACAAGCACCCTGAGTTATAAATTTGGGGTTTTGTGGGTACAAACCCTGGGCTTGCAGCACTGCTCAGATAAATAAGGAAGGAGGCTGGAGGATATTTACATGCTTTTGCCATAATATGAAAGTGTAATCTTTTTTTTTGAGATAGGGTCTCACCCAGGCTGGGGTACAGTGGCATGATTATGGCTCACTGCAGCCTGGAACTCCTGGGCTAAAGCGATCCTCCTGCCTCAGCCTCCCGAGTAGCTGGGATTACAGGTGAATGTCACCACACCCTGTTGTTGTTTTTTGTAGAGATGAGGTCTCGTGATGTTACCCAGGCTGCTCTCTCAAACTTCTGGGCTCAAGCAATTCTCCCACCTGGCTTATTTTTTTTTTTAATTTTTTGTAGAGGTGGGGGGTCTCACTATGTTGTCCAGTCTGGTCTCAAGCTCCTGGCTTCGAGTGATCCTCCCACCCTAGCCTCCAAAAGCATTGGGATTACAGGTGTGAGCCACAACACCTAGCCTAAAGTATAATCTCTATTTCTGTATTTTGCTATCACAGAATTGAGTTCCTAAGTCTTTTTTTTTGGAGATGGAGTCTCGCTCTGTGGCCCAGGCTGGAGTACAGTACTGCAATCTCGGCTCACTGCAACCTCCATATCCGGAGTTCAAGCAATTCTCCTGCCTCAGCCTAGCGAGTAGCTGAGATGACAGGCAGGTGCCACCACGCCCAACTAATTTTTGCATTTTTAATAGAGACGGGGTTTCACTGTGTTGGCCAGACTGGTCTCAAACTCCTGATCCTGACCTCAGGTGATTCACCTGCCTTGGCCTCCCAAAGTGCTGGGATTACAGGTGTGAGCCACCAGGACTGGCCAAGTTCCTAAATTTCAAAGGCAGAAGACTTTCCTGTCACAGTTGACAGTTTATTGTAACAGTTACCTGCAGGGGCTGTGGATTTGTAACCTTGAAACAATGAATGCTGGTTATATGAAACTCCTTTTATTAGACTGTTGTAAGGAAGGGTGTTTGCGCCCTTAAAGCTGTAAACTACTGTTTGCCAAGGGCAGTTGAATTTGCTCACCACCCTCAAGATAAATAACCCACTGACTTCAAAGTCACCAATTCTATTATAATTAACTATCTAGAATAAAAGAACTGTACATTTTCTTATAGTTAGAAACATTATTTGAAAGCCTGTCTCTTTGCCTGAGGTAAATGACCTATGATCATGCCACTGTACTCCAGCCTAGGCGACAGAGGAAGGTTCCGACTTTTCCTTTCTTTTTTCTTTTTCTGGGAGACAGGGTCTCGCTCTATTGCCTAGGCTGGAGTGCAGTGGCATGACCTTGGTTACTGCAGCCTTGACCTCATGGGTTCAAGTGATCCTCCCACCTCAGCTTCCCAGTAGCTAAGACTACAGGTGTGCGCCACTGCACCTGGCTAATTTTTGTAGAGATGTGATTGTGCCATGTTGCCCAGGCTGGACTTGAACTACCAAGCTCAAATGATCCACCTGCCTCAGCCTCCCATAGTGCTGGGATTACAGGCATGAGCCACCTGGCCCGGCCCAATCCCAATGCTTAAAACACACACACACACACACACACACACACACACACACGCACACACACACACACACACACTACAAAATCTTGTTCTTCGATTCTTTCTCTCATCTCTATTTCTTACAACTACCCTGAAAAATAGGTATTGGCCACACCCAATTTATACATGAGGAAATTGAGGCTCAGAGAGGTTCTGAGACCTGCCCTAAGTCACACAGTGGCTGAGTACTGAAGCTCAGTTTTGCTTGGCTCCTGAGGCTATACATTTTACATGGAGCTCTGCTGGACTTTGGTTCCCTGTGCTAAGAAATGATAGTGTACAATTTACACTTCCCTGTAATCCCAGCACTTTGGGAGGCTGAGGCCGGCAGATCACCTGAGGTCAAGAGTTCAAGACCAGCCAATATGGCAAAATCCCATCTCTACTAAAAATACAAAAATTAGCCAGGTATGGTGGCGGGCGCCTGTAATCCCAGCTACTCAGGAGACTGAGGCAGGAGAGTCACTTGAACCCGGGAGGCAGAGGTTGCAGTAAGCCAAGATTGCGCTACTGCACTCCAGCCTGGACGACAGAGCGAGACTCTGTCTCAAAAAAAAAAAAAAAAATTTACACTTCCCACTGATAGTGGGAAGCAGGGGGTTTGGGGAAGCTGGGAGCCAAGCTGGGAGCCAAGGTGGGAGTGAAGTGAGGGGCAGGGGTTTGGTACCTGCAGCAGGGCCAGGGCCCAGGTGAAACGGATGCGACAGCAGCGGAGAGAAGAGCGGGAGGCAAAGACGCCAGCCTGGTACAGCATCTGGTACCTGAGGTTAGGGTTGGGGGGAGGAGAGGAGGCTCCTCCAGGGACCATCCCGCTCCCCCCGGTGCCTACTGGGCAGGGCAGCTGCATCACCACGGCGCCCTCCCAGCCCACTGCCCTCGCTCCTCTTACCAGCGGTATTGCTGAGCGTGACTCAGGGAAGTGTTCCAGAAAAAGAGGAGTTCAAACTGCAACAAATACCAGACAGGGGAGATGGACGGGGCTGTGTGGGTCCCAGCCCCAATCGCCACCTCCACACCCCTCCTAGCACCCCTCACTTACAAGTCCCTGGTTAATGAAATACTCGGCAAAGTAAACTACGACCAAGGGAACAATGTACCACAGCAGACCCTGGAAAAGGCAGAAGATATAAGCGGGGGGCCTGGAGGTGAGCAAGCCCCACAGGGACATACCCCAGCCATCATCCGAACCTTGAACACTGTCCACCTTTCCCGAAGGGAGAGGCTGGAGCTGGAGCCTGCAGGGGAACAGAGAGAGAAGGGCAGATGAAGTTTTCACACTGAAGACTCGGCAAAGAGGCACCGGTATGACAGAATTAACCAGACCACGCAACAGTGGGAACTCACTTCCATGCCACTGGATTGGACACTTAAAAATGGTTAAAATGGCTGGGCGCAGTGGCTCATGCTTGTAATCCCAGCACCTTGGGAGACTGAGGTGGGCGGATCACCTGAGGTCAGGAGTTCAAGACCACCCTGGCCAACATGGAGAAACCCCATCTCTACTAAAAATACAAAAATTAGCCATGTGTGGTGGCAGGTGTCTGTAGTCCCAGCTACTCGGGTGGCTGAGGCAGGAGAATCACTTGAACCCAGGAGGCAGAGGTTGTAGTGAGCTGAGATTGCGCCATTGCACTCCAGCCTGGGCAACAAGAGCGAAACTCCACCTCAAAAAAATAAAGTAAGATAAAAAATAATAAAATGGTAAACTTCAAGTAATATACATACTTTATCATGATGAAAATAAAAGCTAACCAGGTGAGACCTCTTCACGTCTCTTTGATTTTTAATTTTTTTTATTTTTTGAGACAGAGTCTCACTCAGTTGCCCAGGCTGCAGTGCAGTGGTGCAATCTCAGCTCACTGCAGCCTCTGCCTCCTGGGTTCAAGTGATTCTCGTGCCTCAGCTTCCCAAGTAGCTGGGACTACAGGCATGCACCACCACACCTGGCTAATTTTTTTATTTTTAGTAGAGACGGGGTTTTACCATGTTGGCCAGACTGGTCTCAAACTCTTGATCTCAAATGATCCATCTGCCTCAGCCTCCCAAAGTGCTGGGATTACAGGTATGAACCACCACGCCCGGCCAATGTCTCTTGTACAGCTCCACAGATGGCCATTGGCCCACCCTGCCCAGTCTCACTGGCCATTCTCTGGTTCTAGAACATCCCAGCTTATCCCCACCGCAGGGCCTCAGCACTTGTGATTGGAATGCCTGGCACATGGTAAGTACTCAATTAATATCCCTTCTTCTCTCCCTCCCTTCCTTCCTTTCTTTTCTTTTTTTTTTTTTTTTTTTTTTTTTTGCGACAAGGTCTTGCTCTGTTGCCCAGGCTGGACTCAGACTTCTGAGCTCAAGTGGTCCTCCTGCCTCAGCCTCCCAAAGTGCTGGGATATTACAGGCGTGAGCCACTGTGCTCGTCCTCAACAAGTATTTCTCAAATAGACAAAGGCTTTTCCCATAACCAGTACACTCACTCTCTTTCCCCTCTTAACTTTGCCTATTGCAGAGAGGAAAAGGCCAAACCCAGAGAGAAAGAAAGTGACCTCTCTGAGGGTCTGTGTCTCCTACCTGGCTTCGACTCCGGGGCCTCGGTTCTTATGAGGGGCTGCCGGGCTGCGCTCTCTGCTTCTTCTTCCCCTCCAGGGTCCTGGGCCTCAGGAGATGTGAGCAACAAGAAATAGCTAGGAGTAGGATGAAGGCAGGGTCAGAAAACCCTACTGGCTGGGAAGGTCCCCAGGGACCATCTAGGCCACTTTTCCCAGGGAACACCTCTACCTTTGAACACTTTCAAAGATGGGTAGCTCACTGCCTCTAAGGCTCCTACGCTGTGCGGGAGAGCTCCAATTGTGGACAAAGGCTTCTTTCTTTGGACCTGAATTTATCTCCTTATTCCTATTCATGGGCCTTCATTTTGTTTTGATTTTTTTCAGAGACAGGGTCTTTCTCCAGCATCCAGGCTGGAATGCAGTGGTGCAATCATAGCTCACTGCAGCCGCGACCTCCCAGGCTCAAGCAATCCTCCCGCCTCAGCCTCCCAAGTAGCGGGGACTACAGGCACGTGCCACCAAGCCCGCCTCATATTTTCCATTTTTTGTATAAATGGAGTCTCGCTATGTTGCCCAGGCTGGTCTCAAATTTCTAGCCTCTAGTGGTCCTCCAGCCTCAGCCTCCTAAAGCACTGGGATTACAGCTGTGAGCCACTGTGCTCAGCAGGCCCTTGTTCGGACTGCTGGCTCATACCTAGCGAGTCAGTTCTGTTTTCTGGCCATTATTATTCTAATGGTCGCTCTAGCTCCCATTAATTATACGTTCACTCTGTGCTAGGCCAGAACTTCCTCGATTTTAGTCACTTAGGTTCTGGCTTCATGTTATTTGCCATATCCATATTCCTCCTGTATATATATATTTTTACTTAATATTTTTCTTTAAATGGACTCACTTTTTCTACTTAGACTTGTCCTAAGCACTAATCTTGTGAAGGGCCAGGTGTGTCTGGCTAGTTCAAAGTGTGTGTTTTTTTTTTTTTTAGACGGAGTCTCGCTCTGTTGCCCAGCCTGGAGTGCAGTGGCACAATCACGGCTCACTGCAACCTCTGCCTCCTGGGTTCAAGCGATTCTTCTCCTCAGCCTCCCAAGTAGCTGGGACTACAGGCAAGCGCCACCAAGCCTGGCTAATTTTTGTATTTTTAGTAGAGACGGGGTTTCACCATATTGGCCAGGCTGGTCTCAAACTCCTGACCTCGTGGTGCGCCCGCCTCGGCCTCCCAAAGTGCTGGGATTACAGATGTGAGCCACCATGCCCGGCCAAAGTGTTTTGTAATATGCATGAAAATACACAGAACTAATCAGGCCGGGCGCGGTGGCTCACGCCTGTATTCCTAGCATTATGGGAGGCCAAGGCAGGTGGATCACTTGAGGTCAGGAGTTTGAGACCAGCCTGGCCAATACAGTGAAACCCCGTCTCTACTAAAAATATAAAAAATTAGCCAGGCATGGTGGCATGGGCCTGTAGTCCCAGCTACTCGGGAGGCTGAGGCAGGAGAATCACTAGAGCCCGGGAGGCCGAGGCTGCAGTGAGCTGAGATCACACCAGTCACTGCACTCCAGCCTGAGTGACACCATGAGACTCCGTCTCAAAAAAAAAAAAAAAAAAAAAAAAAAAAGGGAGTCGCCATGGTTCAGGCCTGTTGCCCTGGCACTCAGGCAGGCAAGGCTACACATTCGAGGCCAACCTGGTCAACACTGATTAAAAAAAAAAAAAAAAAAAAAAGGAACTAATCAAATAAAGTCCACCCTCATCCTACTTCTAATCACCTTGGGAACCACACTGTGCTGAATGCATTACCCTCATCACCTCCAAGGAAAGCAAGAACAACTGCCATTTGAGATATGGGGAAACTGAGGGTTCAGAGAGGTGGAGTAACTTGTTCAACGCTACAAAGCTAAAAAGTGGCAGCTCCAGGACTCACACCTGGGGCTATCAGAGTCCAGATTCCGCCTCCCTTCACAGCAAGGTAGGGACTTGAAGATTGCAATCATAATCAAGTTTTCTTTTCTTTCTTTTTTTTTTTTTCTTCCTGAGACAGAGTCTAACTCTGTCGCCCGGGCTGGAGTGCAATGGCACGATCTCGGCTCACTGCCACCACTGCCTCCGGGGTTCAAGCGATTCTCCTGCCTTAGCCTCCTGAGTAGTTGGGACTACAGGCACCCGCCACCACACCTGGCTAATTGTTGTATTTTTAGTAGAGACGGGGTTTCACCATGTTGGCCAGGCTGGTTTCCTGACCTTAGGCGATCTGCCCTCCTTGGCCTCCCAAAGTGCTGGGATTACAGGCGTGAGCCACCACACCCAGCCATGGCCAAGTTTTCTCTCCTTGGACCCCTCTCCCTCCCGGCTCAGGGCAGCTCACCTGGCCAGCAGCAGGGCAGGGATACCCAGCATGGACAGCAGGGTCTGCTGAGGGGAGAGGCCGGCCTGGGTGAGGCCCAGGTAGGACAGGGCCCCCAGCAGCCCAGCTCCCCCAGTCCCTGAGGACCACCAGGAGATCAC